>NC_000007.14:156205323-156518388 GCF_000001405.40 Homo sapiens | reverse complement strand
CCCTCTGGGGTGTCCACCAGGCCATTACATTCATAAAATATTCTGTTATTGATGTCTGAGATGGATGGTGTGGAGAGCCACCATTTGCCTGTGTGTTCCTCTGCTGACAGACATGTGGCCATTGTGAATAGCACCGCCATGAACGTGGTGACTGCGGCCATCACAAGGACATGGCCTCCTGCCTGCCCCACAGGCAGAATCCGTCAGAGGTGTGCTTGTTGGTGAGCCTCCCTCACACAGCCTCACTCGTACAGTCTCCCACACAGCCTCCCTCATGGGCCTGCAATACACAGCTTCCCTTACACGCCCCCCTCACATGCCTCCCTCACACAGCCTCCCTCACACAGCCTTCCTCACGGGCCTTCCTCACAAAGTCTCCCACATGGCCTCCCTCATGGGCCTCTGGTACACAGCCTCTCTCACATGCCTCCCTCACACAGCCTCCTTCACACAGCCTCCCTCACACAGCCTCCCTCACACAGCCTCCTTCACACAGCCTCCCTCACACAGCCTCCCTCGCATAGCCTCCTTCACACAGCCTCCCTCACGGGCTTCCCTCACAAAGTCTCCCACATGGCCTCCCTCATGGGCCTCTGGTACACAGCCTCTCTCACATGCCTCCTTCACATAGCCTCCTTCACACAGCCTCCCACACAGCCTCCCTCACACAGCCTCCCTCACACAGCCTCCTTCACACAGCCTCCCTCACACAGCCTCCCTCACACAGCCTCCTTCACACAGCCTCCCTCACGGGCTTCCCTCACAAAGTCTCCCACATGGCCTCCCTCATGGGCCTCTGGTACACAGCCTCTCTCACATGCCTCCTTCACATAGCCTACCTCACACAGCCTCCTTCACAGCCTCCCTCACACAGCCTCCCTCACACAGCCTCCCTCATAGCCTACCTCACACAGCCTCCCTCACGGGCTTCCCTCACATGCGTCCCTCACACAGCCTCCTTCACAGCCTCCCACACAGCCTCCCTCACACAGCCTCCCTGACAGCCCCCCTGAAACAGCCTGCCTCACACAGCCTCCCTCACACAACCTACATGACAGCCTCCTTCACATAGTCTCCCTCACACAGCCTCCCTCACAGCCTCCCCAGCACAGCCTCCCTGATGCAGCTTCCCTCACACAGCCTACCAGAAAGCCTCCCACACAGCCTCCCTCACATGCCTCCCTCACACAGCCTCCCTCACACAACCTTCATGACAGCCTCCTTCACATAGTCTCCCTCACACAGCTTCCCTCACAGCCTCCCCGACACAGCCTCCCCAACATAGCCTCCCTGATGCAGCTTCCCTCACACAGCCTACCACAAAGCCTCCCAAACAGCCTCCCACACAGCCTCCCTCATATGCCTCCCAGACAGCCTCCCTCACACAGCCTCCATGACAGCCTCCTTCACCCAGCCTCCCTCACACAGTCTCCCTCATGAACCTCCCATACATAGCCTCTCTCACATGCCTCCCGTACACAGCCTGCTACACAGCCTCCCTCAGCAGGGATGGTGAAGAGGGATTGAACCTCCAGCCTGGAAACAAGGGAGGCAGCTAGAGGAGGAGCAGGAGGCAGAAGGCTGGACAGGAGGAAAACGATGACTGCTCCCTGCATATATATGTGCTCAGAATTTCCTGGAAACACGCCGTCCTAGAAACAGATCAGGCTGTCAGACTGCGACACCTCCCCTTTTCGAAAGGCGACAGTCTTGATTTATGGAACGGACACAAATGACTCCCCTTCGCTTCAGCGACCATCTTCCTTTCGTGTTCGACTCAGGCTTTGTTAGGATGGAGGGGGCCAGGAAGGGTTTTGGTTGGAGAGCCCTGGGGCGGGCTGTGGAGTTGTAAGGCAAGTGAATGAGTAGAAACGGTTTAAAAAAGGACTGTGGACTTTAGACGCTCAGTGTCGTGAGTGACTGAAATGATAGTCAACCTAAGGTCATGTCCAACAGAAATGTCAACAAAATGGAATGCAAAAAAAAAAAAAAAAAAGCCGAACAAGCAAACGAAAATAAGGGTTGAGAGTCTGGTCGCTCTGACCTTGAATGAGTTAGTGTCATGTGCTGCCACCCAGTGTGAAGGCAAACGGCTTTTGTGAAAACAGCGTTCTTGGTGGGGTTCGGCTTCTCCGGCCTCTCCAGGTCTGGGCAGCAGAATCTTCATAGAAAAAGCCCCATGGGCCGCTCCAGTGTGGGTGCTGCCTGCAGCTGTGCCTGGCATTGTCTGCGTGGAACCTCCTGCTGGTGCCAAAGGTCCCGATGAGGCTGGGTGAGCCTATACAGTGCAGTGAGAATGGCAAGCACTAATGTGAGCATGAACAGTAGTAATGGCAGCATTAGCATGTGGCGTTTATGGAGTGCCAACTTTGTGTCGGGCACTGGTCTAAGATGGTTGCATGTCTTACAGCCGCCCAGTGGGGTTAAGCACGGTCATTGTCCCCATTTCTTAGAGGGAAACTGAGTCAAGACCGAGTTCCTTCCTGAGGTTATACAGATGGGAAGTACAGGAGCCAGGATGTGAGCCAGACGATGGCCTCCAGAACTTGTGTCCCCAGCTGCGAGAGGCCCACACAGCAGCCTGTGGGAATACCGACTGTGGGATGGAGTGTGAATTCCCAGCTCTCCTTCCCTAGGGGTCTGGGGGAAGTGTCTCTCGGATGCAAGAGAACACTCTTACTTTGATCCTGTCTGACTCTTCGCGCATTATGGAGTTTCTGTTGCCTTCCCTCATCTGACGTAGCTCTGGACCCCGCTGGTTTGTTCTGGGAAGGGCTCCTCTCCCTCAGGGACTCAGGAAACCCCAAACTGCCACTGACTTCCCAGGCCTGTGATTCACACTGTTCTTGGTGGCTTTTGTGGGGGAAGAATAAGCTTTAATAATTATAAGGCCCCTTAGAGAGCATCGGTAGCCTGAAGGAATCAAACTGTCAAACTCACTTTTCAATTTTCCAAACCTTACTGTCCCACCCAAGAATTTGGGCAAGTTAATTTTTTCCTTTAAATTATTAGTAAAAATAATGCCCTGTGAATGATTTCTTGGGAAAGCCAATGTAATAGAAACAAAAAAGTGTTAATTTTGGGAAAACATCTGGGGTTCAAACTGAAATGAAATTGACATAAGAGAGGCACAGTGGAGAGATTTGGCATGGCTAGGAAAATAGCTTCTGTATTCTCTTTTTCATCTGTGTCCTGCTTGTTTGAGGCGAGCATAACAACCGTTTCACTCGATGCAATATGTCTATTTCATCTTGAAGACTGGCACTGGGAGTTAGCAGGGCCACACATGAAAGCCCTGCTCTGCACTTCGAGGCCCTTCTAATCTTGTTAGAAGTCGAAAGTCCTCAGCTCTGAGCTATTAGAATATGTGGGACTAGGAGAGACATGAAATACTCTGCACTTTGGGAGGATGGAAAAGCACACTGAAGGAAGGAGGTAACGCAGCTGGCATCCCCAAAAGCTTGTTCACAAATACTTATTAAGTGTCTTCTGTCTGCAAAGTCATGTGATAGTGTTATGTGGATTACGACAATAATTACTTGAGCAACCCCTCTGCAAGGGAAATCCAACACATCAACACAAATAACCATGGCACGCGGTGCGCAGTGAGGAGCAACACAGTAAGTACAGGTTGTTCTTGATGTTCGAAGGAGGGAAACGCTGCTCCAAGCTCTGGAAGGTCCGAGAGCAGAGGCGGATGGGAGGGTGAGGAGCATCGGAAGGCGGGACATGGAACAGAGGACAAAGAATGGGAATGGTCTTGACAAAGTCCTGGGGTTTGAATGGGTAGAGACGGTGGAATGGGATTTGAAGTCACTGGATCAGATACGTAAACCATTTAGGGTTGAAAAGCATAAGATGTCTGTGGTTACCAAATGAATGGGTCTGTGGAAGACAAAAATGGGTAAGCAGGTGAGTGAGACAGGACCATACAGGGCCAGGATGCAGAGGCCCCGGGTTCCCAGCACAAGTGTCCTTTACTAAGTAAGCAATGTGGGGGTTTTCCCACACACACGTGAACGCACACACACACACACCCATAGCTTTATTGATGTATAATTTACCTAAAATGCACCTCACTCCATTAGAGTGTACTATTCACTGGGTTCTGATGGATGTGAAGTCCTGTAACTACCACCACAATAACGTTTCAGAATACTTCCATCACCCCCCAAATTCCCTCCTGTCCCTTTGCAGGTAATTCCAGCTCCTACCCCAGCCTCTGGCAATCACTAACCTGCTTTCTCCCTCGATAGCTTCACCTTTCCTGGAATTTCATGTAAAGAGAATCATACAGTATGGAGTCTCCCATGACTGGCTTCCCTCTGGGGCATGACATGGTAGAGTCACCCATGCTGCTGCATATGTTAAGAGTTGAGTTGTTTTTATCGCTGAGTAATATTTCATTGCATGGTTATACTACATTTTGTTTACTCACCAGTTGATGGATATTTGGGTTCTTTCCAGTTTTTGGCTATTATGAATGATGCTATTACGAACATTCACATAAAACTTTTAATGTGGACGTATTTCTTCATTTTTCTTGGGTAGATGCCTAGAAGTGGGATTGATGGGTTTGTTGGTAAGTGTATGTTTAACTTAATAAGAAATTGCCAAAACTGTTTCCATTTTCTACATCCAGCGATAATGTATGTATATTATTTCATCAACTTAGCTAAAGGTTTATAAATGTTATTGATCTTTCTAAGAACCATTTCTTGGCTTCATTGATTTTTAACTATTGCTTGCCTTTTGTCCATTTCATTGATTTCTACACTATCTTGATGATCTCTTTCCTTCTTACTTTGGGTTTAATTTGACCTTTTCCTAGCTTCTTAAAATGGCATTTCATATCATTGACTATAGACTTTAAGCTGTCAGCAGTAAGCATGCTACTTTAGCTACGTCTCACAAATTTTGGTATGTTGTGTTTTCATTTTCATTTTGTTCCAGATATGTTTTCCTTATGATGTCTCCTTTGACCTATTGATTATGTATAAGCATTGTGTGTGCAGTTTCCACATATTTGGGGATTTGCCAGAATATTTTTTCTGTTTTAATTTAAAATTTTATTCTGCTGTGGTCAGAGAACATACTCTTCATGATTTCAGTCTCTTTAAATGTATAGAGAATTGCTTTATCCCAGGATGTGGTCTATCCTGTTGAATGTTCCCTGTGTGTTTGAAAAGAATGTATATTTTACTGTTGTTGAGTGGAATGCTTTCCAGATGTCAGTTGTTTGACAGTGTTGCTCAAGTCTTCTATGATCTTGCTGGTGTTCTATCTACTTGATCTACGAATTATGGATGGAGGAGTAGTGAAACATCTAGCTATAACTAGTTGTCTATTTCTTCTTTCGATTCTGTCAGTTTTGCTTCCTGTATTTGGAGTTCTATTGTTAGGTGCATATATGCCTAAATTATTATATATTTCTTCTACATTGGACATTTTATCATTATGAAATGTACCTCTTTGTCTTGAGTAATATTCTTTAGCTTAAAACTATTCGTGTGATATTAACATAGCCAATCTACTGCTCTCATATGTACAGTTTGCATATCTTTTCACTTTTACTGTCTTTGTAGCTTTGATTTAAAATATGTCTTATGTAGAAAGCATATAGTTAGATCTAGTCTCACAATCTCTGCCTTTTGATTGGAGTGGCAAGTAAATTTATATTTAATGTAATTATTGATATGCTTAGATTCATGTCTGTCATTTTGCTCTCTTGTTCTTCCTTCTTTTGTATTAAATATTTAAGTGGAACATTTTTATATCTCTATTGATTTCTTAGCTATATTTCTTTGTGTGCTTTAAAAATTATTTGTAGTTGTTCTAGGGATTATGTAAGTATTTTAAACTTATCACGATCTACTTCAAGTTGTTACTGACTTTCTTCTGGTAAAATATAGGCACTTTGTACTCATATAGCTTCATTTTCTCTTCCCTTTCTTTTTGCTGTTGTTGATACACACACACACACGTACATATATATATATGTATGTATAACATATATGTGCATGATGTATATATGTATAAAATCTATATTTATACAATTAGAATTAAAATATATATAATATTACACATATGTATATACATACACACATATGCACACACACACACATTCGTATATGTTAAAATCCAACAACACAGTATATATTTTTTGCTTTAAACACTCTTTAAAAGAAATTAAGAGATAAAAAGAAAAGTATATATTCTTGTGTATTTATGCAGATTATAACTCGTATTTACCATTTCTGGCATGTTTTATTCTTTCCTATGGATCTGAGTTACTATCTGGTGTCATTTCCCTTCAGCCCACAGGAATTCTTTTATCATTGTTTGTAGTGAAGTTCTAATAGCAACAAACTCTGTTTTTTTTTTTCTTTTTTTTTTTTTTTGATATGGAGTCTTGCTCTGTCACCCAGGGTGGTGTATAGTGACGCAATCTCAGCTCACTGCAACCTCTGCCTCCCAGGTTCAAGCAATTCTCCTGCCTCAGCCTCTTGAGTAGCTGGAATTACAGGTGCATGCCACCATGCCTGGCTAATTTTTGTATTTTTTAGCAGAGATGGGGTTTTGCCATGTTGGCCAGGGTGGTCTTGAACTCCTGACCTCAAGTGATCTCCTGCCTTAGCCTCCCAAAGTGTTGGGATTACAGGCATGAGCCACCACGCCTGGCCTCTATCTGTATTTTCATATCTAGGAAAGTTTTAATTTCATTACCATGTTTGAAGGATAGTCTAACTGAATATAGAATTCTTGGTTGATAGTTTTATTCTTTTTGCACTTGAATATGTCATGTCTATTGGCCACATGGTTTCTGGTGAGAAATTAACTTTAAATTGTATCTCTGTTTCTCTATATGTGATATGTTATTTTTCTCTTGCCGCTTTTTAGATTTTCTCTTTATCTTTGGCTTTCAGCAGTTTGACTATAATGTGTCCAATTGTGGCTTTCTTATTGTTCATCTTACTTGGGGTTGGTGAGTTTCTTGGATCTGTAAGTTAGTGTTTTTCACCAAAACTGGGAAGTTTTTGTAAACTATTTCTTCAAATAATTTTTTTCCCTTCTTTTCTCCTCTACTTCTGGGGCTCTAATTACATGTATGTTGGTATGTCTAACATTGATCTGCAGGCTCTGAGGCTCTATTCATTTTTCTTTGTCTTTCTTCTCTCTCTTCTTTGGATTGAATATTTTCTACTGATCTTTCTTTAAGTTCATTGATTTTTTTTTTTCTTCTGCTACCTCATAGCTGCTGCTGAGCCCATCTAGTGAAATTTTTATTTCAGTTATTTTACTTTCCAGGTCTAGAATTTCTGTTTGGTTCTATTATATAGTTTCCAATATTTTGTTCTCTACCTATTCAGTCATGTTTAGCACATTTTACTTTAATCCTTTGGATGTATTTTCTTTTGAATTGTTGAGCATATTTATAATAGCTTTTTACAAAAATCTTTGTCTCCTAAGTTCAACTTCTGGCCCTTCATGGACTCACTTTATATTGATTGGTTTTTGTTTTTCTTCCCTGAGTATGGGTTATACTTTTATTTTCTTTTTGCATGTCTCATAATTTGTGTTTGAAAACTGGACATTTTAAGTACCACACTGAAATGACTATGAATTCTGGTTTGTTCCTCTGAGGGTGTAGACAATTAGCTTGCCTGGACTCAAAATGCAAAGTGTCTCCACTGTGTGTGCAGCCACTAATATCTTTATTTTGTTTTTCTTTTCACTTTCTTTTTGGCCTGGCTCCCCAGTGGTCTCCCAGTGGCTGCATAGGCTAGCAGTCAGCCAATGATTTGAGTAGAGGTCATGCTGTTCCATTCAAGCCAGGAAAGCTTCTGCTGTGCTATGTGGCTGTGTGTGGACTGCAGGATGTATTCAAAGGCATGGCAACTTCACAAGTGTCTCATGCATGTGATTTTGACAGACTTTTCCAGCATCTTCCGCGTGTAGTTTGGCAGCAGTGACATGTGATGAGCACATCTCGGCTCTTTCATGGCTTGTTTCCCTCCACAACCTCCTTCTTACATCTCTAGCTGCTTTGCCACCCACCCTGAACATTGGTGAGGACACATGAATTTGCTGTTGGGTGTGTGTGTGAGCTCATGAGTGAGTGTGGGTAGTGAGCAGTGTTTGACTGGAAATTGTGGGACTTGGATTTTAAGTAATTTCTCATTTTATCTGACGACTGAACCAGGCAGTCAGAAGCTTATGGTCAGAAGCTACAGACTCCATGGCTTCTGACCATAAGGCTGCACACCCTCCCCACCTGATGTGGGGAGAGGTGGTGTGGGAATGCCCCAGGAAGGAAGGCTGAAGGCTCATCAGTCTTACCTGGTGCAGGCTGGCTTTGTTGAGAACTGTAAACAGTTCTCAAGTTGTTACCTGCCTTTGGTTGTTTTCCAGTGCCTCAAAATGGACATTTTTAATTTTTTTTTTCCATTTAGTACATGTTTTCTGTGGAGGGAGAATGTCTAATATTCTCAGACCACCATAGTGAAGCTAGGTTGCTTTAGAAGTTGCCTGGATGGTGTGTCAGGGTGAGGAACGGGGTGAATGTGTGAAAAGGGTGAGCCATGGTGAGAGGCAGGGTATGGGGCCACACAAGGAGCAGTTGAGGTCATGCTGGAGAAGGTGGCAAGGTGCGGGCAGTGAGAAGAGAGAGGGAGGAACAGACGGTGTGGTGTGACTGAACATGGGCAAGTTACTGGAACTCACAAAAGCTCCAAACCAGGTTGCTGGAAATTAAAAAGGCAAATATAAGAGAGCGATAGCAATAGCTAGAAGGGAAGACAGGGCAACTGATGTATTATTTAAGATGAAAGTGACCTGTGCAACCTGGTAGGCAGAGAGGGAAGTTCAATGGAGAGGCTAAAGACAAAGAATAAAGAAAGCTGTATGTGGGGACATAGTGTTGAAGTTGTGTTCACTTCATCTGGATATTACATCTGGGACACAGTAGCCTTTGTTCTGGCTTAGATGGTGATAAGCTGAGAGGAGTGTCTTCCAAACATTGCCTGACGATGCACACCTTGCCTCTTTGGTTGAGGGAGCTGGCACCATCACTGACTGAATAAATGGACAGTGGACATTTCTCCTTCCTATGAATGCCCGCTTTTCTTTTTTGAGAGGAAGAAAGGGTATTTTTCTTTCTAGGACTATGGATATAATTGTGCAGACAGTGGAAAAAGGGAGAATGTGAACGGCCAGTTGGAATATTTGATCTGGATCAGTAAATGTCAACTTAAGGAGGTAGAAAAATGACCTATCATGTAGTTGACATTGGTGAGGACACATGAATTTGCTGTCAGGTGTGTGTGTGAGCTCATGAGTGAGTGTGGGTCATGAACAGTGTTTGACTGGAAATTGTGGGACCTGGCTTTTAAGTAATTTCTCATCTCAGCCCAGCAGTTTTTTCATTTCCCCCCGATAAATAGTATTTGATGATATCTAAAGACCGGCACAGATACATACTTTATAATGATTCTTGTGGTCTGGTTGGGGAATATGTATTTCAACAGACTTCTAGATCTTGTATTAGTTCTTCTTTGGTGTATGTGCAAAAGAAAGGCTGCCTCATAATAAATTGGTGAGATTGTTTTATAACAAGACTTTTTTTTTCACATTTGTGACAAAGCTTGAGATTTAGTTAAAATCCTTATGGCAATGATATTGTTTGGCTCTGTGTCCCCACCCAAATCTCACCTTGAATTGTAATAGTCCCCATGTGTCAAGAGTGGGACCAGGTAGAGATAATTGGATCATGGGGGCAGTTTCCCCCATACTGTTCTCGTGATAGTGAGTGAGTTATCATGACATCTGATGGTTTTATAAGGGGGTTCCCTTTTCACTTGGCTTTTATTTCTCTCTTGTCTGCTGCCATGTAAGACATGCCTTTGCTCCTCCTTCACTTTCCTCCATGATTGTGAGGTCTCCCAGGTCATGTGGAAGTTGAGTCCATTAAACCTCTTTCTTATTTATAAATTACCCAGTCTCAGGTATGTCTTTATTAGTAGCATGAAAACAGATGGATACAGACAATGTTCAACATGGCTTCTTCTTTTGCTGAATTCCTGCCTCTAATGAAGGGCATTATATTAATATTGGGGTGCAGTCCAACCGAGCTCACCTGTGAGTGGCCACAGAATCCTGCAGATGGGGGGATTTGAGTGATGGTACTCAAAAGGCTCACCTGCTCAAAATCATATTCCATCTCCAGGTGCTCTGGTACCTGGAATTCTACCCTGAGGAAAACCTTCCAAAGGGTCAAGGCATTATATTTCCCAGATTCATTTTCAGAAACTCAGTGCTTCATGGAAATAATGATGGATTACACCCTTGACACTGTAATGGGGTTGAGTTTATTTCACACTTTTTGGTCCCATGGGGCAATATCACATTGTTGGTGACTTGAGTGATACGGCGTGGAGAAGGGGACATGACCTGCAGGAAGTGCCTTCATGTGTCACTGCAAAGGTCCTCCTGAGCTGGGCTACCTGTGTCCTGTCTTCTTCCTTCTACTTTGTCCCACATACACTTGCTGGCCCACTTTTCCTGTTATAGTCAGAGTGCTTTTAGTTGCAAAAACTCAGAAACTCCTTAGGCTAGTTAAGATGGGGAAAGGGGTTTATTTTAAGGAGCAGAAGAACTCATGAAAGCCAGAGACAGGGAGTGAAGGACAGCTGGGTCCCCTGGAAGCTGAAAGTGGGGATCACACAGCCAGGAATTAGAACAACGGCTGCTGTTGTAACATCTTAGTTGCATTCCTCTCATCTGGTAGACCGGCTTCCTCTGCTAAAGAATGACCTAAAATGGCCAGCCTGGCCCCAGTCTTTAAGCTCTCCTAGGCCTGGTGCCCACCTCTCACTGCCTGATTCCTTCTGTATTGATTGGCTCAGATTTCTTTTTCTTTTCTTTTTTTTGAGATGGAGTGTCACTCTGTTGCCCAGGCTAGAGTGCAGTGGTGAGACCTTGGCTTACCGCAACCTCTGCCTCCTGGGTTCAAGAGATTCTCCTGCCTCAGCCTCCTGAGTAGCTGGGATTACAGGCGGGCACCACCATGCCCAGCTAATTTTTGTATTTTTAGTAGAGACGGGATTTCACCATGTTGGCCAGGCTGGTCTTGAACTCCTGACCTCAAGTGATCTGCCTGCCTCTGCCTTCCACAGTGCTGGGATTACAGGCGTGAGCCACTGCTCCTGGACAAATTTCTAAGAGACATACTCTTACGGACTCAGCTCAACTTGGTTGGGGGAGAGTCCTTTGCACCTGGTGACCCTTTAAGTTGCTGTGCCAGAAGGTGAAGGTCACAGAATCTGTTGGTCCCTACCCCAGAGTCAAGCAGGGGATTCCTGCAGACTCTAGAAGGGTGGGGCGGCAGCTGTGGCTGCCTCTAATGCATGCTAAGCATTATTCTGATTTTGTCATTCATTTGCACCAAAAACTTCAAAAAAACATCCTTATTTCTTGCAAGACTGTTTACGACATGGCCCGCGGTGTTTCTCTCATCCCACTTGCTGCATTTCTCCTTGCCCAGTGCACTGCCTCCATCTTCCCGCCCCGCTGCTGCCACAGGACGTCTGCACTGGCCGTCTGCAGCCTCAGGGCTGTTCCCCTCCCAGCCGTCAGCCTGTCTTGCTTTAGCCCCCTCAGGGCTTTACTGAAAGACCACCTTCTCCTCGAGACCTCCCTGTGCACCCTATCCTGAGGTGGGACGAGAAGAAACACTGACCAACCCTCCATGGAGCTTTGTCTGGCCTCACTCGCATAGTCAAACTGGGTTATGCATTTTGGGGAAGAGTGTCCTCGGTCTTTGGGGAAGACTGCCTAAGCCGGTCTGACCATGAGAGTAAGACCAGAAAACCCCTATCGTGGGACAGTCAGTATCTCTCAAAATGGAGGAGGACATGGAAACCCAGGAAGGACTGAGGAACTGTCCCAGACCAGAGGTGGCTAAAGAGACATGGCAGTGTTGTGACAGCTGCACCAGAGAAGGACATTGGTGGAAGGACCAGTGGCGCCTGGACGGTCTGGAGTTCTGCCAGCAATGGAGCAGTGGTGGGGCCCTTGTTGTCTGGCGATATAAGATGTTAAGTCTGGGGGAAGCTCAGTGAGGGTACTATCTTTGCAACTTTTCTTTAAGTCTAAAACTATTCTGAAGTAAACATTTTGTTTTAAAAAAGCACGTGTCCATCACCTTGACATTGCTTTTGCATCTTCCCTGCTGCTGCTACCCGAGGGGCAGCTGCCTGCGGGGCCAGCACTGCCCGCCTGCCCGGGGGCTGCCTCTCCCTCCTGCAGAGCCCCCTGCCTTGTGTCGTACGTTCAACTCTCTCCTTCAACTTCTGGAGCCAGTGCCCCTCCTTGATGAAGCTGCCCTGACCTTGAAACACAGGTAGCATTCTTCATGTCCCCGGACTCCCCTGATTCTTCGTGCCCCCAGACTCCCCTGGGACCTCCTTTCTGTGGCCGGGAACTAGCAGCAGCTGCCCTGAAACCTCCTGTGCTTCTGATCGCGTGATGTCCCCAGCTCAGGAATGACTTCTGCTCAGTCCCGGACTCCCACAGTGTGAGATGTAGGACGCCATGGGTGCTCACTGAGTGGATAAAGCTGAAGGCTCATGTCTTTCCTGCAAAGTCCCCTGCCCGTGTCCATTACGAGGTGGTTTGGGGGATAAAAGGCCAAGAGCAGCTTGGCGAGTGGGCTGGGTGTCCTGGATGTTGGAGGTCAAAAGTAAATGATGGACACGTGCTGAGACTGAAGCGTCTGGATCTGGATGAATGCTTTAAAAAGAGAGCGTGTGTGTCTGCAGGTGCTGAATTTCCACCCAGGCACCAGAGAGAGTGGCCAGAGGAGGAAAACGCCAGCCTGCCCGACGAGGGAGAACTCACCGGCCCCAGCAGAGCCCCAGGCTGCCCTGGCCTCCTTGCTCTGGAACATGTGACAAGCACCCACAGCGTGAGGAAGGGGCGAGGCCAGCCCTGCAGACCCCATAGGGACAGCCAGGCCTAGGTGGAGCTTGACCGCCTGGTGTGTGCAGGCCTTCGTGGAGCACTGCAGGCCTGCGCCAGGTTGGCATGTGACGCGCGGTTTGTGGCTTCCTTCTCAGGCCTGTTCCAGAGTGTGGAAGGCCTGCCAGGAGACCACGTGAGCAGGAGAGAGGAGGGCATTCCTTGTGCCCAACCATGGGGAACAGTATATTTTCCATAGCCTGATGAACTGAAGGCAAATTCAGAGCCAGTGTGCATGAGCTGATAAAAGGGGTGAGTGCCCTGCTTCTGTTGATCTTGTAGTGAGTTTGTAAATGCAGACATGCACACATCCAACCTGGTTGTGCTTAGAGACCAGGTGTCCAGAGGCCGCCATTCCCTAGGCGCAGCTACTGGGCAGTCAGCGGCCAGGGCGGCTGACCCCTGCTCACGTGGTGCAATGCAGACCTCAGCTGGCTTCCTGCACGCACTGCCTGAAGCTCCCCAAGAGAAGCATTTCCCCGTGAGAACAATACAGCCTTATTGAAGAAACTGAACACTGGGGACCCACGGGCCAGGTTGCTACAAGCTGAGTCAGTGGGGACGAGGCAGGCGGGAGGCAAGGGGTATTTACTTATCGCTTGGTGCCTCCCACAAAGACAGGATCCCCGCAGCCCCACCCGGCCTCTTCATTCTTCAGTCACCCTCAGTGCCTGGCACGGAGCTGGACTTAGGAGGTGCTGGGTGGTGTGTTTGGAAGGAATGGCCTAGAACCAACCTTCAGGAGGGCCCGGATGTGTGACCTCTCCGTAGCAAGCCTTTCTTCCTCAAAGAGCAGAGTGTCGGTCACGTTGCCCGCAGTAGGGCCACAAACGTTTATTCTCCTCCCTTTCCAGAGCTTCAGAGAGGTCGACGGTGACTTGGGGAGGGTAATACAAGGAAGGGCGGGGACAGCAGGTTTGACCAGGTCAGATGCTAAGTTGGCAAGAATTAAGGTTGCCAGGTAAAATCCAAGATGCCCAGGTAATTTGAGTTTCTTGAAACCGTGGCTAGAATGTGGTTCTCATGAAATTGGGATGTGGGTTGGAGGCCTGCAGGTAGCAGCCGGTCTCATGTGGAAAGACGTGTTTTTCACAGCTGCAGACCGGAGCCCTCGCCTCCAGTGCCTTCCCACAGACACTTGCTACTGGACGCTAGTTACGAGAGTTTCGGGAGCAGCTGCCCCGTCAGCGCAGCGCCGTCTTCACACTGCCAGGGCAGCCTGGTTTGGGATGAGCACGGGGGCGCAGGTGGGGAGGATGAGACGCCGGTCTTCAGACCTCAGGCCCCACCTTTCCTGGGATTCTCCTTCCAGCTCAGGCACGAGTTACTCCTGTGACTGTACTTAGAGGGTCTGAAGTTCTGTGTTCTGACCTAGACTCTTGAGAATTATTGGAGGGAGAGCAGGGACTAGTGATTCGAACCCATGCTTAGAAACCACACATTGTTACTGCTGAAAGGAGGCATCCACATCACTGTTACATCGCCTTGTGCTGCAGATGGGGAACTGAGGCTGAGAAGGTTCAATGAAATACTCAATGATGAGTCTCACGGTTCTCCTGCCCGATCGTCCCCACGCTCAGGGACAGATGGGAGGATTGGTGCTATTGGAACATAGCCAGGGTCTGGCTTTTCTCAGGTTTGAAGCTGGCATTTGTAAATGTACGTGTAGGAAAACAATGATTGCTTCTGAAAGGCGCGAGACAGAGTGATCTATGAGAGAAAGATGGCGCGGGCAGCTGTGTTTGAGAAAGGGACTTGGCTTTCACTAATACAAACTGTTGATATCACCTTGAACGATACAGGGCAAATGAAATCAGCTGCTTGGAGATTACAAAGTTAATCAAATATGAAGAAGTGAATTACAACCCGACATCTCACATCCCCAGAGTGACCGCTGCGTGGATGGCCTCTAGGACTCACA
This sequence comes from Homo sapiens, assembly GCF_000001405.40. Classification (NCBI taxonomy): domain Eukaryota; kingdom Metazoa; phylum Chordata; class Mammalia; order Primates; family Hominidae; genus Homo; species Homo sapiens. Next base: position 156,503,450 of record NC_000007.14, on the reverse strand, counting down.
GAATCCCATGGTTGAGGGGCCTAAAGGGCTGAGCACTTGGTCCAGCTTCACTCGGACACTAGAGGCTGCTCTAGTCAGTCTTTGCCTGAGCTCATTCCTAAGGGGAAATCCATCCCTTGTTTTCTCTCTTTTATTTTGACAGTTAAAATATTTTAAATCAAAAAGAGAATAAAAAATGCTGACGAGGATATGGAGAAAGGGGAACCCTTGTGGCTGACGATAGAAATGTATATCAGTATTGCCACTGTTAAAAAATAATATGGAGGTTTCTCAAAAACTTAAAAATAGAATGATGCTGTGATCCAGCAGTTCCACTGCTGAATATATAGCTAAAGGAAAGGAAATTAATATATCAAAAATTTCTTTTTCTTTGGGTGGATACCCAGTAGTGGGACTGCTGGGTCAAATGCATCCCTTGTTTTCTAAAGCAGGTAATTTTTGTTCCCAGGCATGGGTAGGAGTTTTGCTTAATCCCATTCATGTGCAACTTACCTGTTACTGGCAAGCCAGGAGACCCACATACCTAGGGGAGAAAACAATATCAGTTACCCCATGCCTTCTTCATTCACACTTAGTTTGAGATGACAAATTCTCCAAGTTCCTTTTTCTTGAGAGCAAAGCATTCATTTCCTATCTGCAGGAAGCGGACCTGGCACCTCTGTGAGATACTCCTTAAGATTTTACCTGGAACACCCATTTAACTGAATTTTTCATACAATGCTATTGTTTTTCATATTTTGATGCTTTAGTTAAGAATGTAGAAGTCACTTGGGGTTGTTTGCTGGGCTATAAAACATATGGTGGCTAAGATGGTATTTGGCTGAAGAAAAAGAACAGATTCAGAATGAAGATTGTATTATTTTGGATATGTTGGTTTTACTTGTTTTGAGAAAAAAAATCATTTTATCCAACGTGGTGCTATTTGCATATTCATTTCCTTGACAAGTAGCAAAGTTCTTGAAAACACAATTTCTTTGGGCCCTTTGATCACTGTGGCTTAGGCAGGTTGGAGACCTGCAGGCTCTGAACTAAAGACACAGATCTGGCCAGAAAATCCAGTTTTATTTAACTCAGCAAATTTGACTTGACTCAGGCTGGGTAACTCTTATTTTTTTTTTTAAATTATACTGTAAGTTCTGGGGTACATGTGCAGAACGTGCAGGTTTGTTATATAGGTATACATGTGCCATGGTGGTTTGTTGCACTCATCAACCCGTTATCTACATTAGGTATTTCTCCTAATGCTATCCCTTCCCTAGCTTTCCACCCCACCGCAGGCTCTGGTGTATGATGTTCCCCACCCTGTGTCCATGTGTTCTCCTTGTTCAACTCCCACTTATGAGTGAGAATATGCAGTGTTTGGTTTTCTGTTCCTTTGTTAGTTTGCTGAGAATGATGGTTTCCAGCTTCATCCATGTCCCTGCAAAGGACATGAACTCATCCTTTTTTATGGCTGCATAGTATTCCATAGTGTATATGTGCCACATTTTCTTTATCCAGTCTATCATTGATAGGCATTTGGGTTGGTTCCAAGTCTTTGCTATTGTGAACAGTGCTGCAGTAAACATACATGTGCATGTGTCTTTATAACAGAATAATTTATAATCCTTTGAGTATATACCCAGTAATGGGATTGCTGGGTCAAATGGTATTTCTGATTCTAGATCCTTGAGGAATCGCCACACTGTCTTCCACAATGGTTGAACTAATTTCCACTGCTACCAACAGTGTAAAAGCATTCCTAGTTCTCCACATCCTCTCCAGCATCTGTTGTTTCCTGACGTTTTAATGATTGCCATTCTAACTGGCATGAGATGATATCTCATTGTGGTTTTGATTCGCATTTCTCTAATGACCAGTGATGAGGAGCTTTTTTTTCATATGTTTGTTGGCAGCATAAATGTCTTCTTTTGAGAAGTGTGTATTCATATCCTTCTCCCGCTTTTTGATGGGTTTTTTTTTTCTTACAAATTTGTTTAAGTTCCTTTTAGATTCTGGATATTAGACCTTTGTCAGATGGATAGATTGCAAAAATTTTCTCCCATTCTGTAGGTTGCCTGTTCACTCTGATGCTAGTTTCCTTTGCTGTGCAGAAGTTCTTTAGTTTAATTAGATCCCATTTGTCAATTTTGGATTTTGTAGCCATTGTTTTTGATGTTTCAAACTATACTACAGGGCTACAGTAACCAAAACAGCATGGTACTGGTACCAAAACAGATATATAGACCAATGGAACAGAACAGAGGCCTCAGAAATAACACCACACATCTACAACCATCTGATCTTTGACAAACCTGACAAAATAAGCAATGGGGAAAGGATTCCCTATTTAATAAATGGTTTTGTGAAAACTGGCTAGCCATATGCAGAAAACTGAAACTGGACCCCTTCCTTACACCTTATACAAAAAAATTCACTCAAGATGGATTAAAGACTTAAACATAAGACCTAAAACCATGAAAACACTAGAAGAAAACCTAGGCAATATACCATTCAGGACATAGGCATGGGCAAAGACTTCATGGCTGGGTCACTCTTAATTGTTTTTTTTTGTTTGAGACGGAGTCTCACTCTGTTGCCCAGGCTGGAGTGCAGTGGCCTGATCTCAGTTCACTGCAACCTCCTCCTCCCGGCTTCAAGAAATTCCTGCCTCAGCCTCCCAAGTAGCTGGGATTACAGGCACCTGCCACCATGCCCAGGCCAGGTCACTCTTTATGGGGCAGACAGACAGGTGAATGGGATGTTGGCCTGAGCCTTGAGAAACGGATAACAGGGAGGGTAAAAGGGAACATGAGACGGGGCTAGAAAGAACAGAAGAACCAAGCATGTTCCATGGGAGAGTGGAGAGAGACAAAAAGAAGAAAGGTGAGAAAGTTTGATTCTGACATTTTGGGGCAGCGGCCTTGGAGACCAGCATGAGGCCAAAGTGTATCTAATTCCGCCACAATTCTCTGTTGTCTGCATTGATTGTGGGATTGAAAAAATATTTTGGAGCATTCCTGCTACTTTACCTTGGAGAAGATACTTCCCAGAGGCCAAAAAACAGCAATTTTCTCTGCTGGTCGAATGCATTATCCTCACCTTTGGCTTCCACATGACAGAAAGCAAGCTCACATTGATTCTTGGTATCGATTTCCAAATATGAAAGCAGTACTTGGAATTTTCGAAGCTTCTAAACAGATCTGGTACAAGGAGCCAAGCCTTCTTCCATCTTCTTCCAAATGATCTTTAGAAAAAGATGAAGAGTTTTGAGCTAATATCATACAGCAAGCCAGCCCTATCTCCTGCTCATTCATTCATTTTGGTGCAATTGAGGTTTCTGTGTGAAATCGGAGCTCATCTGAGAGCTGTCATTGGGACGTCTCATTGGCATCACACAAACTTGAAGCCTGCATTAGTGAGGATGAGCTTCCTTTTTACAGTAAATTCCTTTAAACCCAATACATATTTTGGTAAAAATGTATGTTTTAAAATATATATAATGGGTAAGCAAGATATGCTGCTGGCTCTGAGGTTTCTTCCACGTCTGAGAAAGCAATACGAAGTTTTGGCAGAGGGAGTTGCCCAGAGGTACAATGGATCTGAGCAGTGCCGTGCCATTTGTCGCAGAAGAGTTGATCCAAAATGTACACACCAGACGCTTTCAAACGGTGGAATTTTTCTACAAGAAGTCAAAAATGACAACACAGAGGCGTAACATGGTGCTAGACTCTTCATTAAAATCACCATGTTCTTTCAGAGCAAAGGGAGCTCTGTTCAGGAAATACTGTTCCCGTGGAATGAGTCAAATCTGAAAATTCTGGGTCAATGCTCCTCTACCTTTTGAAAAGACCTTAATAATTGTGGTTATTAGAATTCTGGGTCTCCGTGGAGAACGGAAAACATTTAGATGCCAATATTAATAGTTAAGTCTCATGCAAACTTGAGTTTGGGACAGTGTTTCCAAAAGAATGGAAAGAGGAACCAGTCAAAACAATGCACGGAAAGAGTGAGTGGCGAGACACAGGTGGTATGCAGCATACGGGTGTGTGTGTGTCTGTCTCTGGGTGTGTCTCTGTGTTAGTCTCTGTGTGTCTGTGTGTCTGTATGTGTGTCTGTGTGTATCTGTGTCTGCGTGTATGTTTTCCTGTGCCCATGTGTGTTTGCATGACTGTGTACCTGTCTGTGTATTTGTGTGTGTCTCTCTCTGTGTCTATGTGTGTCCCTATCTCTGTGCATATCTGTGTGTGCGCCTACATGTCTGTGTGCACCTGTATGTGTTAGTGTGTCTGTGTGTTTCTATGTGCACCTATGTGTCTCTGTGTGTGTGTCTGTGTTCGTGTGTGTCTCTATGTCTCTGTGTGTCAGTGTGTCTGTGTGTGCACTTGTTTGTCTCTGTGTGTCTTTGTGTGTCAGTGTGTTTGTGAGTGTCCTCATGTCTGTGTGGACCTGTGTGTCAGTGTCTCTGTGTCTGTGCACCTATGTGTGTCTGTGTATTTGTCTGTGGGTGTATCTGTGTTTGTTTGTGTGTTTTCCTGTGTGTGTACTTGCCTGTGTCCCTGTATCTATGTGTCTATGTATGTGTCTATGTGCATATCTGTGTGTGTCTGTGTGTTTGTGCATACCTCTGTGTCTCTGTGTGTTTGTGTCTGTGTGTGTGTTTGTGTGTCTGTGAGTGCATCTGTATCTGTGTGTCTGTGTATTTGTCTATGAGTGTGTCTGTGTGTGTGTCTGTGCGTGTCTCTGTGTCTGTGTCTGTATCTGTCTGTATCTGTGTGACTGTAGTGTGTCTCTATCTGTGTGTCTTTGTGTCTGTATCTGTGTGTGTATCTCTGTGTCTGTGTGTGTTTGTGTCTCTGTGCGTCTGTGTGTGTGTCTGTATCTGTGCGTCCGTGTGATAGCGAATGTTCTGTATCCATGTGTATGTCTGGGTGTGTGTGTATGTGTCTCTGTGTCTGTGTGTTTGTGTCTCTGTGTGTGTCTATCTGTGTGCGTGTGTCTGGGTGTGTGTTTGTACATGTCTCTGTGTGTGTATCTGTGTCTGTGTGTTTGTGTCTCTGTGTGTGTCTGTATCTATGTGCGTGTCTCTGTGTGTGCTTGTCTCTGTGTGTCTGTGAGTGTGTTTGTATCTATGTGTGTGTCTGCGTGTGCGTGTCTCTGTCTGTGTGGGTGTTTGTGTCCCTGTGTGTCTGTGAGGGTGTAGCTGTGTGTTTGTGTGTCTGTGTGTCTGTATCTGTGTGTGTGTGTGTGTGTGTGTGTCTGGGTGTGTGTAAGTGTGTTTGTGCATGTCTCTGTGTCTGTGTTTGTGTCTCTGTGTGTGTCTATGTGTCTGTGTGTCTGTATCTGTGTGTGTGTGTGTCTGGGTGTGCACCTGTGTGTGTTTCCCTGTGCACCCCCCTTCCCACCGGGCAATCTGCCGTGCATGCAGGGAGCCCGGGGAGGGCTCGTCATCTGGGAGTGTCAGCAGACACCGCAGCCATCGGCAGCAAGCATCCACCTGCTCCGCGGGCGCCTTTTTCAAGCGAGTTCAGCTCACCTCTGCTTCTCTTGGTTTTCCTTTGCTTAATTGCAGGTGATGATTCAAAAAAGCCTTCACCTGTTTGCGCCTGGCTTTCATCTTTCGCAGACAAAGCAGGCTGGGGCCTGGGCCTTGATCTGCGGCATGCTCAGGGCCTGGGTATTAAAGGGGCTGGATCACCCTCAGGCTTTTAAGGGTTTTTTTTTTTTTTTGGGTTAAATTGATGAGCATGTATAATAAATTGAAGCTTTGTTGTTTGGCAGATTTTTTTATATTTGTTATTCTTCTATCAGTGCAGAGACTGGTGGCGGGGGGGTGGTGGGGGTCACCTTCTCTCTCCTCTCCACGGCCCAGATTTGCCTTGGGACCATAATGGACAGATTTTAAGATTACAAATACTTTTGTTATGTTTCTGTTTCTTCAATAAGAGCCCTAAATGCAAGTGTCCAAGTGTCTAGATGTCCAGTGTTAATGCAGCCGCGTCTGCACTGGGCTGAGGGATGTGGTCCCCGGAGGATTGACTGCTGCGCTCCCCACATCTTCCCGTAGAGCATTTGACCCAAAGTGAGGCCGTACCCACCCAGGCTCAGCCTCTCAGCACCCAGCTGCCTCCTGGTCCGTGGAGGTGCTCGGCAAGTTCCTCTTTGTTGGACGTTGGCTGCTCATTCATCCCTGTGTAGTTTTCTTGTTCATTTCTTTGGAATGTTATTTTGTCCAAAGCAGAACCGAAGGAATTAACGAAGTACAGGTATTGTGCTTGGAAGCTACTGGCCTTGGAGAAGCACACCACACCTTAGAAAGACAAACGTGCACTGCCCCTAAGCTGCAACATCTACCAGTAATCAATTTCAGACACGCTTGCCTGGATCTGTAGACAGACTGGACTGTAAGATTGTACGGCTCCTGTTTTCTGTGTGGAAAGGGGAGCGTTGAATATATCTCTGATGCTTCTGTTACATACCAGAACATAAAATGACAGGGGTGTGTGTGTGTGTGTGTGTGTGTGTGTGTGTAAGTACACGTGTGTACTGATATATTCATTTTGGGGTGGGCGAAAGGGAACATTTATCAAATACTTTCTTTTTCTTTTTCTTCCAATAAGTCAACTCTTACTCTTGGTAGTGTGTGGACAAAGTCATGGAATATACAGGAAGGTTGTGTTGACTTTGTTTTCAGTCCTCACCCCTCTTCTTGGGTTGAGGTGATCGAACTCTGCCCGTACTTGCTAAAACGCTCCACTCTGTTTTAATTCTTTGTAAATAGAGCTCCCCCTCCCCGCTACCGTGGCTTATTCCTGCAGTTCCATTCACTACCACGTTCAGCCTAATCACATCTCCTGGAAATAATATGAGAAAGTTATGCTGTTTTACTCCATCAGATTTAATAAGTTTGGATGGTTTCCAAGTACTAGGCATTAATCACACTTAAACCTGGGCCTTGATAGTTCATCCACCCGGAGTATTCATGTCAGAGACATAAAACAATCTGCTTTAATGCTCAGAGTCCTCTTGAAAACTGAGCACTTGCCTCGTGTTAATAAAACTTGCTTTCTACAGTGGGGCTGGGAGAGGACAGGGCATGGGGATTTTTATATCATGTAAAGCATATCATGGGTGCATTTTCCTGCCCTTGTAGTTTCTAAACCCAGTTTTAAAGCTTTGCAGAATTATATGAAAAAAATTAGGCAACAAGGTAAGCCTGGAATAAGGAAGAATTAGTCAAACCTTGGCAGCACCCAGAGTTTGGTTTACATCAAAGCGGTGGAGAGAACGTTGTCCTTCCTACCTGACAGCTCTCCTCAGCTCAGGGTTTCCATTCTGGGATGACAGTGAAATTGGACACAACAATTGTCCATTTTCCAGTGGGTGGGTGTGATGTGCCCTTTCTGTACAACTCTCCAGGACAGGAGGTGGGGGCTGCGGGGAGACAGACGGATGGAAACTGACACACACAATGCTTTCTTCATCTCCCATCTACATTTGGTCTGTTCCTTAGGTTGGTTTGTGGGTTCCTTTGACATGGGGTTCCTTTTACTGCCTTCCCTCCATCCCCGTGAAGAGAATGCTTTCTAAAACACTTCCCATTGTTTTGTTTTGAAATGAGCATCTTCATGTCGCAGCAGGATTATTTTAATGTTTAACCAGAGTGACAAAAGTTTTCACTTGTTAGTATTTAGCTAAAGATTCTACCGTGTCATGAAGATAAATCTGCTCAGGTGGACAAAGAGTACGTTGAGGACATCTGGGTGCCAGTGGGTGGTGTTTGTTGATGCTGGGGTACCTAATAAGTGCTTTTGATTCTGAGTCTATAGAACGTGGATGCTGCAGGCTGTGCCCACCTGGCTGTGAGACACAAACACCAGTTACACTGTGCACTTGGTCCTGAAAGCCTCTAGGACAGCAGTCCCCAACCTCTGTGGCACCAGAGACCAGTTTCGTGGAAGACAATTTTTCCATGGACAGGGAGTGGGGATAGTTTTGAGGTGATTCAAGCGCATTACATTTATTGTTCACTTTATTTCTATTATTATTATTATATTGTAATATAGAATGAAATAATTATAAAATCCATCATAATGTAGAATCAGTGGGAGTCCTGAGCTTGTTTTCCTGCAACTAGATGGTTTCATCTGGGGGTTATGAGAGACAGTGACAGATCATCAGGCATTACAGTAACATGATCCTCTCATGCACAGTTCACAGTAGGGTTTGTGCACCTATGGGAATCTAATACCATTGCTGATCTGACAGGAGGCGGAGCCCAGGCGGTAATGCGGGTTATGGGGAGCGGCTGTCAATACAGAGGAAGCTTTGCTCACTGGCCCACTGCTCACCTCCTGCTGTGTGGCCCAGCTCCTAACAGGCCATGGACAGGTATCGTGGGGGAGCTGGGCACCCCTGCTCTAGGAAATACAAGGTGTGGCCATCTCTGATACAGGATGGTGTACATGCTAGGTGTGGAGGTAGCACTTGTGTGTTTCACATCATGAAACACAGGGCAGTGGCTACCAGCTGCTAAGTGGGGTGGGAAGATGATGAATTTGAGATGTTCTGAGAGTGACAGGCTAGGCTCGGAGATGTCCAGCAGCTGGAAAGTCCGAAAGGGAGGGAGGCCGTTCCTCACCCTGGTCTGATTTCAAAGTCCCTACTCCTTCCACTCTTTTCACAATTTCCCGATCCTCGCATGGGCCCTGGGCCTGGCCTTCCATTGGCTCTCACATGCCGCTGCCACTGGAGGATTTTCTGGGAGGGTGCGTGTCTGCATTTTATTTTGTTGGATGAAGATTACACGTGCAAGGTATTCCAGCCTTAATCTGGGAATGCAATACATGACCTGGGAATGCAATAAACACACAAACACAACAAATGAAACAAACCTTAACATGACCTGGGCATTTCTATTCACATCGTGGTTGACTAACATGAGGCATGTTAGATGGCTGAGTAATTGTTTTTGTTCTTCTTTATAATCCATGCTGAAGAAGAAGTTTGTCTTTAGAAAATGTGGCTCAGATAGAGATGGAATTCATTTGCTTCAATTGTGTGAACATCTGAAATCGGCACCTGTCTAGGTATTAATGTTCCGAGTTTAGAAGGTGTTTAGCTGGCTGTGTGTTTGTATACACGTAAACCCGGTATTGATTTGAAATACACGTGCACATCAGCAAGTCGCGGTGGAGTTTGGTGGCACACCTTGCAATGCTGATGGGATGCTGGGAGAGAGGGCTTATGCCTCCCAGGGAGCTTGCAATTTGCATGGTAGTTGTAATCCTTCCTGAAAAATGTCTTGATTCACGTGACATCCGACTGGGCAATACCATGCATTGTGTGATTCATCCCTTAGACATTGATTTAAGAAATATTTATTGAATGTCTGTGATGAGCTGGCCACCCTCCAGATGTTAGAAACAGAGGAATGAGCAAAACAGAGCAAGTCCCTGCTTTCATGGGAAGGAGGAAGGCAGAAAATACTAATAAAATAGATAAATAATATAAGTTAGGACTGACAAGTGCTGTGAAGAATGAGTGTAGGGTAGGGAGAGAGGGGAAACAGGTAGAAGGTTGCCATCCACTGTGGTCAGGGAGGGCCCACTGGTACAGGACGCTCCAGCAGAGACCCTCACTTGAGTGAGTGAGGGAGCTTTGGAGGTAGCCTAAGGAAAGAACATTCTAGAAGGAATAATGAGTGCAAAGCCTCTGAAGTAAGAGTGTGCCTGGTGTGTTCAGGAAACATCTGTCGTTCTCCTTCAGTATACATTATTGTCCATATAGATTTTTTTAAATGTAACCGGAATGTTCAAGTGTAAACAAATTACCTTCCCAGGCAGATTTATAACTATTTGAGGGCTGGAACTTTTATAACTATTTGAGGGCTGGAACTACATATTGTAAATGTATCTTGTACTTTTTAAATGTCCAGTCCAATGTTGAACCCATAATAGGTAATCATCAAATACATGTTAAATTTGATGGAATCAGTGATTTAAAATATGAAATTATTATTAACTGTAATGTAGTGAATATGGAGTTGACATGGGGCATTTTCCCAGGAAAAGAAAAAAATTTAGCCATCTCAACCTTTCTTTTCAGTTGCCCCTAATGTTAAGATTTTATATAGTCTCCTCAGGCTCAAGTTAATCATCGAATACTGTCCCAGGAAATGGCCCAAACTGGATATTTGATATAATTTTTTCTGATTATAGAATATCTGTAAGATTACAGTTCTGTCTTCAGAGATTCTACAGTTTAGCAGATCAAATGGACAGTGGTAACATCCTAATTATAGTGCAGTGACACACAATATGCATTTTGGAAATTAATTTTGACATCACTGTAATTTTTATTATCATTTCACTATATATGAACATACACACCAATACATCACATTGTACATCTTAGATATGTACAGTTTTTATTTGTGAAGCATACCTCACTAATTGTACATCTTAGATGTGTACAGTTTTTATTTGTGAAGCATACCTCACTAAAGCTTGGGGGGCGGTGGGAAAGGCATGTTTTCCTTTGGAGCAGAGCTGTGCCCTGGAAAGGAGTGCATGTGAAGATGGAAAGGAAGGAAAAGCTCTTCGTGCACGTGGGGATTTTGGGCTTAGAGGGAATCTGCGGTAAATCACGGGGAAGCCAGGAATCCTCATGAGAGTACTCAGCCCTGGCTGATGTGGAAGCCGTGTGAGTGCAAGCTTGCGTTTCTCTGTATCATGTAGTGCTGTGTAAGGAAGAACATTCCAGAAGGGTCGGGGGCACAAAGGCCCTGAGCTGGATGGTTCTTGGAACAATAGGGAATGTCAAGGCCACCCTCTTGTATTCCTGCAGTCCCTGTTGTCCGTACAAACCCCTGTTCATCAAAGCCAAGCCTCTGGGCCCCTTAGGCAATGGTGTCTCAGGTGGGAATCGCATTGTCCAGGCTGTGGGCATTTGCTATCTAACCACACCATGTCTTCCTCAATACCACAGCCCCTGCACCCATCCGCACACATGCACCCACTTGACACACTGCTGGGGGTCCGCCCTGAAGGTGCTCTCCGGCGGGGGCTTCTGGGATGAGCAGTCCCACTGGCCCGGCTCTCACGGAGCCTGCGTCCTGCTGGGGACACAAAGCCCAGGCAAGTGAACAGTGGGTTGGCAGTGGGGACAGTGAGCAGGGCTGTGAAGGAGCAAAAGGTGTGCTGGGGAGAGACAGCCAGGGGCTGGTTCAGATGGGGGCTAGGGAAGAACTCACAGAAGAGGTGCCAGTTGAACGGAGGTCAGAGCAGGCAGAAGGAGTGAGCTGTGCAAAGGTGGGGAGCAGAGAGGCTTAGGGACACCAAGGAGGCATGAGCGGGAAGGCCGGGGCACAGCAGGTCAGGTGCAAGCAGAGGTGGCCTTGCACGCTGAAGTCTGGGGTGAGGCTAGCATGTCTGTCCTGCTGAGGGGAAGGGCCTGCCTCTGTCCCTTGGATCTGGGCGGCGAGCTGAGATAGGGAAGGTTGCAGGAAGGAGGTTGCTTTAAGCCAAGTAGTGGGATCGGGTGGGCTCACCCAGGAAGGAAGCGGGGATGGAGACGGGTAGATGATTACACTCTTGACAGAATCTCACCAGCACTAATTTGCCTTGTCAGTTTATGTTTTTTTTTAGGACCATCATTGATAATTACCCAAGAACGTGATTGAAGTGTAATTATGAAAGTTTGGCTTGGGGAGAAAACATTTTATACTATTTTAGACCCAAATTCTGTATTAGAGCAACATTCAAGATTTTCTAATTTCTAAAGTTTAGAAAAAAACACTTTTTTGGTGGCAACTGTGTAATTGGTGTATGATGAGTAAGCGTTTTTAAGTGTGTGCCCGTGTGATTAATGGAAAAGTTACACCCTGAAAGTTGCTATTTAAAAATGCAGCCGGTAACCATTATCTAGGAAGGCATCCTGCTTCAGTTCAATATGAATTTAAAACCGTGTCATGTACCTAGTAGAATATTAAAAAAATTCTGCATATGAAAATCCATTATAATCTCAAAAGGAGATACTCCTCTTATTAATCTTGGCCAGAGTCAGATTTTTCCAGCTAGCTGTTTAAGTTTGGTGAGGGTGTTAAAACCAGACTCAAAGAATAGATGAGAACCCCATGACCTGCGAGGTGCAGGTCAGCCAGGCTGAGCCTGTTGAAAAATTAACAGGTGAAACCCGCTCTGAGACGCCGCTTTATTGCAGATTTTCACCCGCTGTGCGGAGGAGGATTGGGAGATCGATGCTTCCTTTGAGGGTGGTGGAGAGTGGTGAGGGGAAGCAGTCCCCGCATCCCCCAACTCCCCCTCAGTAGCCAAGTACGGTTTTGAGAGAACCATTCTGCTAACTTGACATGCGTCAGATGTCCCTTGCCAAGTGGCACCAGCATACCCAGGGTCCCAAATTGTGGTGGCTACCTGGGCTCATCTGTCCTTTAAGACATATCCCGGATCACTTTCTCTTCCGTTGCTGCTCCTTCCTAATTCCGAGCTCTAATTGCAAAACACCAATTGCTTTAATAATAGAAAGCGCGTGTCAAGAATCTTTCAAGACATTTCATAGAATTTAGTATCTACCATCAACCTTTGACTCGATTGACAGAAATTATTAATTGGGCAATTCGAATGATCTTAATATTGATTTAAGCTTTTAAATGGTTTTTTAGACATTTTATCCTAATGCCATCATGAGAATCAGGAGGGCAAAAATGATTTTCTAATTCATCAAATTTCTACATCAAATGGTGTAAACCAACATTGAGACTTAACTCCTTTTACTTCTAATGCATACTTTCACATTTCTACACAGTTCAGATGAACTGAGTGCTTTCACGGCTGGCTGGTGATCCCAGTCCTGCATCCATGCTTTCTGGAGTGGTGTCCAAGAGCCCTTGATTTAGCAAATTATGGGCAAGAATGTCGTGTGGATTGGGATTATGTCCAAACAGAAATAATCATTGCTGGTGATTTTCCTTTGGCATTTAGATGGATATTATGAAATAATTCTATTAAATAAGTTTACTTATTCAGCTGTTCATTTTGTATGCAATCTACTGGCACATATAATACAAGACGCGCACGAAAGTTCTGTAGGTGGGAACTTGGCGATATCACCCATAACACAGATTAACTAGGTCATACTTCTTTGGTAGAGAACTTTAGCTCCAAGAAATCACTATGAAGCCACAAACACTGAGCCTGCCTAGGGTTTCTCGGGCTTCTCACCTCCCTGCAGAAAGGTGCTGCCCTCCACTTTGGCAAGGACACAAGCCAGGTTCCTGTGCCAGTGAAATAATCTTTGCCATCTACGTGGCTGAAAAATCTCTCATTTTGAACAGCCTTCCCTGTAACTCTTATGGAAGGCTTGACTGAAATGAGGATGTATAAAAGATACTTAAGGGAAGTGCTAATAATTTATATCATTCCCCATTGATATCTCTATTTTTCAAGATAGATAAGGCTCCGTGACCTGCACTGTATCATTCTGACCCTGGAGAAGTAACTGTGCATAATTATGCTTTTACATTATGCCCAGAAGGCCAATAAAAGAAACAGCCATATGTAACTTAAATTTGCATTTTAATAAAACTTCCATTGACGGTATTGTTCAGAATTCCTTTGCTCAGTGTCCCTCTGATAGCTCATGACCAAGAAGAACCCCAGCTTCACATTAGCTGTGTATTTCCTCCAAATATGGACAAAGTAACTCTAGCCTGACTGCCGGGGAGCTTATTCAGAGCAAAGTTTTGCATTTAATTTCTGCAACATCCATCTATCTATCTATCTATCTATCTATCTATCTATCTATCTATCTATCTATCCTATCCATCTGTCTGTCCATCCATGCATGCATCCATCCATCCATCCATCCATCCATCCATCCATCCATCCATCTCCTCTATTGATTTTCTATCTATCTATCTATCTATCTATCTATCTATCTATCTATCTATCTATCTATCTATCTAATCTGTCCATCCATCCATCCATGCATCTATCTGTCTGTCTGTCTGTCTGTCTGTCTGTCTGTCTATCTATCTATCTATCTATCTATCTATCTATCTATCTAATCTGTCCATCCATCCATCCATGCATCTATCTGTCTGTCTGTCTATCTATCTATCTTATCTATCTATCTAATCTGTCCATCCATCCATCCATGCATCTATCTGTCTGTCTGTCGGTCTGTCTGTCTGTCTATCTATCTATCTATCTATCTATCTATCTATCTATCTATCTATCTATCCATCTATCTATCTCATCTATCTGTCCATCCATCCATCCCTCCATCCTTCCATCCATCCACCCACCCACCCACCCATGTAGGTAGAAAGACATAGTGACCTTCCTTACCCCTACGGTCAGTCTTTACTTCCTTTTTTTTTCTCAGTGTTGGTTAATTTTGGTCATATTATGTCTATATTGTTGTAAGCCATCTGAAATCCCATTTGGATAGACTGTAAGTGAAAGAGAACCCATTAGTTACAAATGTTGATGGTTGATTATGGTGTAATATTGCTAATCACCTCTCTGAAAATATATTTGAATTTTAGCATAGGCCTTAAATTTAAATAAATGACTCATGTTTGGATTTCAATCCCTGATAGTAAATGGCAGGGAGGTTACTTAAGAGTCAGGGAAGGATTTCTGCCTTTTCCTATGAGCCCCACTTTCAGACAACCTACTGCAAGAGAGAGAGAGGCTCGTTGTATATTTTCATGGCCCGTGCATGATTTCAGTTAACCAGATATAACTAGAGAAGAAAACTGAGCCACTCACATAAGTCGTTGGTGCCTGTGAAAAGGAGTGTGTAAATTAAATCCAAAAAGCCCATAGCTGTTAGCTTTTGCAAGCTTTTATCCTGTGAAGCTTTATTCTTGTGACAGCCTTGTTGATTTGCCTAGTGGACAATTAACAGGCACATCATTCATTTTTATTCAAAGAATGTGTGCTGAGTCTCTACTGTGTGCCAGACACCCTTGTAGGTGGGAGGGATGTGGCTGCAAACAAAACTTAGGTAGCCCTTGCCCTCTGAACCTTGAGTCAAGTAATGAAGGTGAAACATGGTTGCTATTGTCATAGAGAAGCAGAGAGTGTGGTGTGGCAGCCCTTGCCCTCCTGAACCTATAGTCAAGTAATTAAGTTGCAGTGTGGTTGCTATCATCATGGAGAAGCAGAGGGTGTGGTGTGGCAGCGTGTAGGGGCTTGCCTGCCTGGGGCGGGGAAGGCCTTGTGGGGAGGCTGAGGCTGAGTGGTGGGGAAGATCGGGAGGTGCTCAGGCGGAGTCCTCCTGGATTCTGCAGCAGAGAGGGGCTGTTAGGGGCTGTGTTCAGGCAGGGGCCGGCTACGGTGCTTCTCTGCACAGGCGCTGTTCTCTCATGAGAAGACCCCTCGCCCACGTGCTCCCCACTGAGCCCACGCTTCCTCAGGACCCTGCACTGTCCCATCCCCTTCCCTGGGCCCTTGGCTCCTCCCACAGCACCACATCCTGCGTTTACAGCCACTTGTGTGTTTCTCTGTGAATATCATCTGTTAGCTTTTGCTTTTCACGAAGAGTGTCATTTTCATCATATTTGCAACAAGGCCTGAGATATTCCATAAATACTTACTTAAAATAACTCATTATTCAAAAAAATTAGTACTTAATTATTAATAGCATGTGCTCTTGGTAGAAAATATAGATAAGCAAATAAGAGGTAATAAAATCTGCCCACAACTCAGCTATTAAGAGACAGATACATTGACATTCTGATGTAATAAATGAACTTCTGGGCTTCTGTCTTTCATCTAATTATTACTATAACATATAAATATATGTGTGTACATAGGCACATATATTTACATAAATTTACAGACTACAAATTCTTTTTTGTAAATGTTGCTTAATAATATATTATTAGCATCTTTCTATGTTAAAAACTATTTTTCCACAACACTGTAGAGTTTATTTTGATGATAAACATACCTATGGAAAATTTTCAGGAGATTCAGAAATTTTAAGAAGAGAATTAAGAGCACTACTTGAGCATTCAGATGTAATTTTTAATACCCAGTGTTTATTTCTCCCATGACTAGATCATAATTTCTCCCAACAATTCCCTATTGTTGAATATCAAATTTTTTATTTTTTCTATGAAAACCAATGCTGAGATAAGCAGTCTTGTGGCTCAATCTTTGCATACATCCTAAATTATCTCCTGAAAACAGATTCTTAGATGTGAAATTGCAGTGTCAAAGGGTAGGTCTAACCAAAATGCTTATTTGGAAAAAGTTTAAATTTCCTTTTCTTTTTTTGAGACGGAGTCCCACTCTGTCTACCAGGTTAGAGTACAGTGGTGTGATATCGGCTTACAGTAAGCTCTGCCTCCCGGGTTCGAGCAATTCTCTTGCCTCAGCCTCCCAAGTAGCTGAGATTACAGGCATATGCCACCATGTCTGGCTAAGTTTTGCATTTTTAGCAGAGACGGGGTTTTGCCATGTTGGCCAGGCTGGTCTTGAACTCCTGGCCTCAAGTGATTCACCTGCTTCTGCCTCCCAAAGTGCTGAGATTACAGGCGTAAGCCACCACACCTGGCCAGAAAAAATTTAAATTTCCGTCAGAATGTTTTGACCCATCTGCACTTCCGTCAGTATTTCATGAGCATGCCTATACTCTAGACCACTGAGTTTTTCTTTTAAAAATATGTATTATTAATTTTCTCTGATTACAAAATCAATGCATATTTGTAAAAGCACCCATTCACTTTCCCTGCTCAATATCTCAGCGTTCGAGGCACAAAGACACCCAACTCAGTGAAGCAGGGTGGAGGGGAGAAGGGGGTGGGGGCAATGTCCTCCGCAGAGCATGGGTCTGCACACAGCTGGGGCTGGAAGGGTGGGTGGCTGGCCAGCGGCATGAGCCTCACTTTTAGGCTTTCTGAATGAGTATTCTGGATAAAGGGACACTTTGATTTCATGAATCTTTTTCTTCCTATAAGCACAGTAGAGACCCTGCGTTTAAAATGCTGGTTGAAATTAATCAGACAATTACAGCATCTCTGTATTGTAGCCTCTGTATTCTATCCATGATGTTGTCTGGGCTTTCCCTCCAGACCATCAAAATGTGGCACCGATGGATATGCAGCCGTAAGAGAATGCCTGCCGGGTCCCCCACACCAGCTCCGTGCAGCAGATAGTAGGGTCTTCATTTTATCCGCATGCGAAACACTCAGGTCATGGAGTTGTCTCAGGGCACATAGCTGATAATTTTCAAAGCTGGGATTTGAATCCCACCCGGGGCTGAAACAACTGCCCACGTGTGTGGGTTGGGAGCCAGTGACCTCGACCCTGCCTGAAAATTATCGACCCAAGCTGGAAAATTATCAGCGTGAGGCACAGTTTTCACATACTTTAGTCAGTTAAAAGAAAATTTAAAAGAGCTATCAGACAATCAGACCTATATATTTTGGATGGATTGGTAATATATTTGCATCCTTTGCAGTGGGAAAACCTGCTTGAAGAAAAGAAATGGCAAGATCATGACCTGGTTACCGGACTGGAACTGAGTGCTCCGTGGAACTGAGGCCTCTCTTCCTCTTGCACTTCTGCAGGATAGGAAGGGGATGCTTTGAGTTGGCTTGGCCTGTGTCTCCTTCCTTGTTTGATTGACATGGGCGGGCCATCCTGTTATATGTCCCACCTCTGTTTGCTTCCTGTCTTTGGACCATTCAGTGATTCTCAAGTTGGGCTGCATGTGAGCATCATTTGGGATTTTTCTTTAAATTTCAAAGCCTAGGTTTCACCCCAGTGCAATTAAATCAGACTCCCTAGGGTGGAGCTCTGGCAGTAGCCTTTAAAAAACCCGCAGAAAAGATTTGGTGATTCCAGTCCACAGCCAAGATTGCGGAACCACTGGTCTATGTCGGTTCCCTTCCTTATTGATGCTATGTGTTCTGGCAAAGTTGGGTGTAATGTGAATTTTGGGGAAAGAATTTCTTGCACTTTGTTGTGATTAAACTCAGAACAAATAACTATAAAAAGTATTAGCCACTAAACTGAGTTGACAGTCTTTGGTAAATTAAGCAGTTAAAGTTGGTGACATTCTAAACATTTTTGTTGCACTTTGAAAACGTGGGTGTATATCCTATATACTGGGTTCTATTTGTTGTCCTCTATCTCTTCTTTCTCTTCTACCACAGAGTCATCTCCTAGATAAGTATCTCCTGACACTCACTTACAGCCCTCTCTATTTAGCTTTTCTCTCCTTTTATTTATGGTTGGCACAGAATAAAGTCACAATATCCTACTTTCTTGGCTGGTACTGTCTTACTCTTAGGCATGATATTTTATAGCCTGAAAATGCGTAAATTCTGAATCTAAGTTTCAATGTCTTTTTTGCTAATCCATTGATGATCGATTTTTGAGGTCTCTTCAACAGCACTCCAGCCTATGGGGATGGGAGGAGAGGTGTGGGTGCTGGGACTGTTGGGGTTTTGCAGGGACCATCTGTCAGCCTCTCCACTTGACGACTGAGGATATGGAGGCCTAGAGAGATCAAGGAACTTGTCCAAGTTCATAAATCAACCAATTTCGTTACCTGAGTGTGGATATAAAGTACTGATGACAGAAGGGTTTGAAATTGAACTGAAATGAGGTTTCTGGATTACCCGTGGGCTTCAATTACCTGATCTATCTCTTTCTCGCTGTGGGACAGGTATTCTGTGATTTTATGTAATGAAGGTTCTTTTTGAAATGGGCTCGACCCAGAGGAAAATGGCAAAATGAATAGCATGCTAATGGATTTTGTGGGTTTGTTTTGTAGATGAAAGTCTAATTTTGGGTTTTGGGATAACTATATCAACATGCCATTCTATCTCATCATTATTGCTCCTTGTTTAGAAAAAAATTTGATAAATTGGAAATTTTAGGCTTGAAAGAAGAAGCTTGAATGAGACAGAATACTGATTTACACGTAACTTACATAGCCTGAGGGGGAAAATTCAGTAATGTAGAAATAAATTAAGAAATGAGGGCTGGGCACGGTGGCTCACGCCTGTAGTCCCAGCACTTTGGGAGGCCAAGGCAGGCAGATCACTTGAGGTGGGGAGTTCGAGACTAGCCTGGCCAATGTGGTAAAACCCCATCTCTATTAAAAATACAAAAATTAGCTGGGCATGGTGGCACACGCCTGTAATCTCAGCTACTCAGGAGGCTGAGGCAGGAGAATCGCTTGAACCTTGGAGATGGAGGTTGCAGTGAGCAGCGATCACACCACTGCACTCCAGCCTGGGTGACAGAGCAAGACTCTGTCTCACAAAAAGAAACAAAACAAAACAAAACAAAACACAACTGAGATGACATCAACATAAATTAAGAAATGATTATTTGTGTTATTCCAGTAACTGTTGGAATTACTGAAGGGCAATCTCTCCATGCTTCTGAAGCTGGGATACCTGATACACTGAGGCACTTTGAGAAGCTGAGAGAGGACGATCGCTAACATTTGCTGAGTGCTTGCTGCTCCCAGGCTGTTCCCATCTCAGCTGCCTCCCACACCTTGCGTCTTTCCAGGCTTCTGGGATTCTGAATGTTTCTGAACACAGTAAACCGTCTCCTGCCTTGGGGTCTTGGCACGTATGCCTCCTGGCCATGTGTCTTTCTTGCTCTCTGCGTGGTCTCCCCTCATTCCCTTCTCAGTGTGTCTCTCCCCACCCTATCTGGATCTACGTCATGCCCCCTTCTCCCTCCCCCTCCTGTCTCCCCCTCCTCCTGTCTCCCCTCTCAGAGAACAGCATCACCTAACCCATGAAACCCAGGCCTCAGCACGGCACTTCCCATAGCGAGTGGATTACCACGCCCTCTTCATGTGACCCCTAAGCACCTCTCCAATCTGCTCACCTCTGGCCTATACCTGAGTCTCTGCTCTTGGCGTCTGTCATGTATGCTGGACGATTTTCTCCCAGCTGCTTTGCCTGCTCCTATTCTTCTAGAAATATGTGGATAATGGTGAGATTTAGCTGTTACTGCATAGAGCCGCTATCCATCCATTTGCAGCTGCATAACATTCCTTTATGTGACTCTGCCACAATTTGTCCATTCCCCAACTGAGAACACCGGAATTGTTTCTTTGACTATTGCAGACTCTCCTGCTATTCACACACTGAATGCTTCTTCAGGTGCAGGCGTGAGGCTTTCTCTGGGATATGTACCCTGAGGTGGGATTGTTGTGTCTAGGCAAACCCTCACCTTCACAACATGATAACAAGTTGCTTTCCAAAGAGGTTGTGCAAGTTTCTCTCTGTGATTCAAGGGTCCACATGCTCTCTAAACTTTGGTATTGTCAGAACTCTTAACTTTTGCTTGTAGAGTAGACATAGAGTGGGTCTCACTGTGCTCCGTTTACATGCAGCTGATGACCAGTGAGACTAATGTCTTTTCCCATGTGGACTGGATTTTCCCTATGGCCAGTTCTATCTTTGGAGTCAATACTGGCTTTATTTCTTCCTTTCCAAGCCTCTGACTTTAACACATTCCAGCTTCCTTATAGCGTTACCTCTGATGTCCGGGGCGGTGCTGACGGCAGCCACTGGGCCTATCTGGCCTGGGCCTGATTTGGAGGGAATGTTCCTTCCACGGTTTTCTCATGAAGAACGATGTTCATGGGAAGTATTTCATACACACTCTGCCAGACTGAAGACGTGTCCTTCTATTCCTAGCTTGGATGATGTTTGATGAGATCAAATGTGTTTTCTCCATTTGAGATAACCAGGTAATACTCTTTCTTTTTCTTTCTTTCTTTCTTTCTTTCTCTTTCTTTCTTTCTTTCTTTCTTTCTTTCTTTCTTTCTTTCTTTCTTTCTTTCTTTCTTTCTTTTCTTTCTTTCTTTTTCTTTCTCTCTCTCTCTTTCTTTCTTTCTTCTCCTTCCTTCCTCTTTCTCTTTCTTTCTTTCTTTTTCTTTCTCTTTCTCTCTCTCTCTTTCTCTTTCTATTTTGAGACAGAGTCTCACTCTGTCACCCAGCCTGGAGCGCAGTGGTGTGATCCAGCTCACAGCAACCTCTGCCTCCCAGGCTCAATCGATTCTCCTGCCTCAACCTCCCAAGTAGCTGGGATTACAGGCACCTGCTACCATGTCAGAATAATTTTTGTACTTTTAGTAGAGACAGGGTTTCATCATGTTGGCCAGGCTGGTTTTGAACTCCTGACCTCAGGTGATCCACCCTCTTCGGCTTCTCAAAGTGCTGGGATTACAGGCATGAGCCACCGTGCCCAGCCTACTCTTCTTTAATCTTTTGATATGATGAATGAAGTTCATGAATTTTCAAATATTAGAACACTCTTGAATTTCTAAAATAAATCAAACATGGCCATGGCATGAGGTATTTTCTTATTCACTGCTGGGGCCGATTCACTAATATTTCGTTTAGGATTTTGGCATGTATATTCATGAATAAGGTTAGTCTTGCCTCAATTCAACAGGAAGGTTACACTACCCTCATGGAATAAGGTGGAGATAGTCCTCTTTTTATTCCCTAGAAAAATAAGATTGCATGAGATTGCAATGACCTGTTTCCTGAAAATTTGTTAGGACTCACTTGTAAAAACTATCTTGCTTTGTGTTTTCTTTCTAGGAAAACCCTTAACTATGGCTTTGGTTTCTTTAATAGTGAACAGATTCTTCAGGAATTCTATTTATATTCAAGTTCTTCTAAGTTATACTATAAAAAGTTATCTTTGTCCACGTGTTCCCATTTTTGGCATTAAATCATTTTAAGAATTATATCTGGCATCCTGTTTCTTTACTCATGACTAACATTTCTTTGTTGTATCTTCTGTCTTTTTCTGTATCCGTTTCTCCAGAAGTTTTCCTATTAACTCTTTCCAAAGAACCTGTTGATGGTCTTCAGATTCCTGGAGGCATTTAGGGAGGGAGCAAGTTTGGGAGAGGAGTGAATTCACCTGGGCTGCAGCCCACTGCTGAGGACAGACCCTCCAGGGATACAGGTGTCAAGTCCATCAATGGGCTCTGACCCACTGGAGAAAGGGCAGCATCAACCATTGGCCAGGCTGCGGGACCAAAGCTGACTTATGATGGTGTCATCGGGTAAGACCTCGCCTGCCCTTGGATCTCTCCTGCCTCCCACAGCCCCTTGAACCCCAACAAGAAAGACATACTTGGTGGTGGCTGATGGCATCAGGCACCTAAGCTGCCAGCTGGAGGAGGAGCGTCATGAACCGTGGAGCTGCAGCAGGAGCTGGGTGGCCATAGCGGCCTTGGTGGGGTGGCAAAGGTCGATTTATTCAGGGCAGAGTTTTTGGTGTCTGGAGCAGACTGGGCATTTTAAATTGCTGACTTTGGATGCATTTGTTGACTTCACGTGGCCAAAGCGCTTCTTATTTCCTGGGACTGATTAGAAAATGTATACGTCCCACCTGGGTTTTCATCCAGGGACAGAGAGTGTCCAGAGAACAGGTTTAAAAGGGACAGTAGGAAACAAGCCAAAGCTGTCTCAGGTTACATCCAGAGCACCTGCCTGCTCCTCACGCAGCTCCTCAGACGTCTCCACCTAATCACAGAATGACGGAGCCTCACGTTTCCTCTCATGGCCACCAACGCCGTGGGGCAGCCAACTTAAAGAATGTCTTCACTTCAAGATGGGATACAGCCTGAAAACACGAGCAGCGAGTGTAAAATGGGTGGAAGAGGTATGGCTAAGCCTTTCGAGGTTGGCACTGGGACAGCAGTGGCACCTCCTCCTGACACATCTCTGAAGGTGAAGGCTGGGCTTCCACGGAGCATGCGGATGCCTAACGTGGTGTGTTTTCTTACTTTTTCGTGAGTGAGGTTGAATTTACTATTTTCCCTGGCCCGCGCTGTTTCATTTCTGAGGGTGCTTTTGCGACAGTGTCTGCTATGGAGCAGTCTATCAGCAAGGATGATGTGTTATCTCTCCAAAAGCTCAGATGCTTGGCATATGTCTGCACAATTTAAACATTAGTAACCAATTAGCTGCACAGAACCCATTTTTATTTTAAAAATGTCCTACCATTATTTCATTCCCTACTTTAGGAAATTTTGGAACTCCCAAATAAATAGCAGTCAGATATTTTGAATGATAGTGTCTCCGACAGGAAACTAGCCCGAGAAGTTCTTTACCCACTAAGAACATCTCTAAGTCACCCTGCAGATTCTGTTTCTATGTCTTAGAATATCTTTTCCCCTAGGGATTCTGCAGTAGCTTGTGCACCCTTATTTGGAAGAAGCACTTGCCAGAAAGTGAACCGGGTAAAGTACAACTCAATTCTCCTTCACCCTTCTTAGAACCTCATGTGTCCTGGAATGGAGCTTATTGGCTGTTACTTGGGTTTGGGATTCCCTTTTGAGCAATTCTCTATCTCTGGAAACTTTCAGAATCGCATTCCCTAGCCATCTAAACATACACACACACGCACACTCTTACACACTCATCATTGTGACACTGAAAGGGCTGAGTGTCTGACCACACGCTTCAAGTGTTCAAGATAACTATCCCCACCCCAACCTCCCCCTTCTCTCTCTCTTCCTTCTTTCCTCCCTCTGTCTTCATCTCCTTCTCTCTCTCTCCCCTCCTCTTTCTTTTTCTTGTTTCACTAGCCCAGCCATTATGCCTCTACTTGCCCAAGAGAGTGTCATTTAAAACACTGTCAGTAAGAGCTGCACGTTATTACTTAATTTGGGGGATATTGCTACATCCTTTGCTTTAAGGGAAGTGTTAACTGATGTTACAGTGCTAATGATACAGGTCTGCCTCTCCCAAAAGAATTATAGATCAATAAATTACAGGGTGAATTATAGAACAATTATAAAATAATTTACTACAGTGTTCCTTCAAGGGTTGATATAATAGATTTAATTTATAAAGCTTTGTTTTTTCCCTCTTTTCATAACTATTGAGTAAAACAACAGTAGCAGTCATGATGGCGAGTATTATATTCCAGTGAATATCCAACGATACCACCAATCAGTAATTCCATGCTTAACTTGTGGGGAACAAGCTATTCTCCATAGCAGCTGTACCACTCTGCATTCCTGCTGCACTGTGTGAGGACCTCCATTCTCCATGTCCTCACCGACACTTCTTTCCCAGTTTTTGATTATAGCATCCTAGTGGGTGTGAGGTGCTATCTTACTGTGGTTTTGATTTGCATTTTCCTAATGAGTAATGACATTGAGCATCTTTTTATTGTGAATTACATAAAATTGGAATGGAAAAATAAATAAGAACTGTAGATGCAGCATTTTTTTTTCTCTCTCTCACTTTAAATTGATTTCCCTCCCTCTCTCTGTCAACACACACACCCCTGAGATGGCAGACCTTTTGGCTAGAAGGGCTCTGTGGGGGTCGTTTAATCCACACCCTCGGCTCAGGGGGCCCAATTCAACACACATTTGTTGGGTGCTGGGCCCTGCTGGGCCCCACAGTGATGCAGAAACAAGATAGGCTCGGTTCATGCCCTCAGAATTGACAGCCTAGTGAGGAGAAAGCCCTCCAACCGGAGTCACAC
This sequence comes from Homo sapiens, assembly GCF_000001405.40. Taxonomy (NCBI): domain Eukaryota; kingdom Metazoa; phylum Chordata; class Mammalia; order Primates; family Hominidae; genus Homo; species Homo sapiens. Next base: position 156,478,935 of record NC_000007.14, on the reverse strand, counting down.
AGATAAGCAAGGAGGTGAGTGTGCAGCACACAGGTCAGCTGTGGACCAGGGTGGGGCACAGGCCTCTGTAGGAGCACATAGGCAGTCGCATGGCCTGCCTGGTGGGTCAGAGAGGGCTGCTCTTGGGGGTGACTCTCAGGCTCTGACACCTCCGAGACAGCTGGGGCTGGGGGTGGGGGCAGCCCTGGCAAAGGTGCCAAGGCCCGCAGCGGGCAGGGAGGACGTGGTGGGTGCTGGAGGACACAAGGATGAGCTCGGCTGGCAGCCCCGAGGCTGGCATGTGAATTGCAAGGCAAGGGGAGCCGGCAGCTGGGGAGGGTGGCTGGGATGAACGGACCTCAGGCAGCAGGAACGTCTGACCCAGGAGGCCTGCCTCGGGCTGGGCAGCACCCAGGGCTTCCTCACCTCCTGAAGTCACTGCCTCCAGGGTCAGCAGAGGCAGAGCTACCAAGCCCTGGTCCAAGGCCCTGACCTGGGGTTCCTGGGTGAGCCACTGGACTCCCTGTGCCTCAGTTTCTTTACTGGGACATGAAGAAGTAGTTTAGGACCATTATAGCCTTCCCACCCTGCCATTCGGAGAATCTCTGAGGCCGTCGTCCGAAGCGTCACTATCAAACACAACTTTGTTACCTCCTTTATCCTCACTTCCATCTCAGTCCTCCTGGCTCGTCCCTCACAGAAAAGAATTTTCTCAAGAATTCAGGCTTGGACAACATGGGATCCAAAGATGGATCTTTTCAGATCTTTTGTCCATTTTTAAAAATTGGGTTGTTTTCTTACTATTAGGTTGTTTGAGTTCCTTATGTATTTTGGGGACTAACCCTTTATCAGATGCACAGTTTTGCAATATTTTCTCCCATTCTTAAGTTGTCTCTTCACTCTGTCGATTGTTTCTTTTGCTGTATGGAAGCTTTTTAGTTTGATGCATTCCGATTTGTCTGTGTTCGCTTTTGTTGCATGTGCTTTGAGGTCATATCCAAGAAATCACTGCAGACGCCCATGCCTTGGAGTTTCCCCCTGTGTTTCCTTCCAGTAGTTTCATAGTTTTGGGTCTTACAGTTAAATCTTTAATCCATTTTAAGTAGGTTTTTCACATGGTGGGAGACAAGGATCTAGTTTTATTCTTCTGCATGTGGCTATCCAGTTTTCCCAATATCATTTTTTGAAGAGACTCTCCTCTCTCCATTGGGTGTTCTTGGCATGTTTGCTAAATATCACCTGGCTATAAACACACAGATTTATTTCTAGGCTTTCTATTCTGTTCTATTTGTCTGTGTGTCTGTTTTTGTGCTAGCACCATGCTCTTTTAATTACTATAGCTGTGTAGTATATTTTGAAGTCAGGTAATGTGATGCCTCCAGCTTTGCTCTTTTTGCTCAGGATAACGTTGGCTGTTCTTTTGTGGTTCCATATAAATTATATATTTTCTATTTCTGTGAAGAATATCGTTGATATTTTGATGGGGATTATATTGAATCTGTAGATCACTTTTGGGTCATACGGATATTTTAACAATATTATTCTTCCAATCCATGAACATGAATATCTTTTTATTTCCTTTTTAGTGTCTTTCATCAATGTTTTATAGTTTTCAGTGTAGAGATATTACACCTCCTTGGTTAAATTTATTTCTAATTATTTTATTTTTTGTAGCTATTGTAAATGGTGTTGTTTTCCTCATTGCTTTTTCCAATATTTCCCTATTAGTGTACAAAAAGGCTCCTGATGTTTGTATGTTGATTTTGTATCCTGAAACTTTACTGAATTCATTTATTAGTTCTAATAGTTTTTTGATGGAGTCTTTAGGGTTTTCCATAGATATGATCATGTTGTCTGCTAACAACAATAATTTAACTTCTTCCCTTCCAATTTGAATGTCTTTTCTTTCTTTCTCTTGCCTAATTGCTTTGGCTAGGATTTCCAGTACTACATTGAGTAGAAGTGGTGAGCGTGGACATCCTTGTCTTGTTTCTGATCTTAGAGGAAAAGCTTTGAGCTTTCCCCTGCTGAAGTTTCTTGAGAAGGAGAGTGACATACATTTCACAAAGGAAAGCAAACCCTTGTGGTCACAGACAGGGATTCTGGGCTGGGAGCCCTGTGCACTTCCCCACGGTGTTCTTGGGACCTGAGAGAGGCTGCCTGATCATGAACCTACTGCTGGACGAAGCTTTAAAAATCATACAGAAACATGGATGATGCCCCCCAAAGTTAAAAATGAGGTGGACTTATAGGTAGTTGAAGACTGCAAAGCCTCTCAATATAATTTTCTGAAGCCCTTTTTGTAATACCCATGCTAAACCTTCCTGTTGTCCGTGCTTTTCCCCATGCAGGGACGTGCTGTGGGCAGGGGTTGGAGATAGAAATGGATTGACTTTGGCTCCATGACTCGCTCACTGGGGAAGTTGTAAGCTGGTTGCTTGGAGGAGACAGAGGGCTTTGCAGAGAGAAAAACCTGGTGTGGATTTTTGGTGCTCTCAAAGCCATGTTGGATTCAAACTCATTAACCACTCTTCCCACCTCCTCTAGTGGAATCTGGCACCATGAGAGATGGACACAGAGTGGTTTCTTTTGGAGGAGAAGGAAGGTGGGATTTGGGATTCTCCTCTGCCTGAGTAGGGCATTGATGGGACCCTGAGGACACAAAGCATGGGTGTCTCCCATGTGGACCCTATAAGTTGGGGGGATGGCAGTGTGCCCACTTGCTGTCTTCAGGTCCTAGGCCACGTGCCCTTCCCTTCCTGTTCTTCCTTCTTCCCTTCTCACGGCCTCTCCTGGTCTCCATCTCTTCTTGTTGTTTTCTTTCCTTCTCTCTCATCTGCTTGTGCATTTGTGCATTCATTCCATCAGCGTTTACTGAGCACCTTGTACCAGGCAAGCATGCGAACTCTGCCCTCAAGAGCCTGCAGCCCAGGGCTCAGGACACATCAATGAGGTTGATCAGGCATGAAATAAGATCAAAATGGAGGAAGGAGCTGCTTGAGCATGGGGGGGTGGGGTGGAGGCAGGGCTGGCCCTGTTTAGGGACTTGAGGACACTCCTGGGAGGAGCTGGCTTTGGGCTGAGTCATCCAGATGAGTAGGAGTCTGCCAAGTGGACAGGCATTCCAGAAAGGCACATTGCACGTGGGAAGCAAGGGAAATGGGCCAGGCCACGTCCTGAAAGAATTAGGTTTGTTATTCCTGGGGCAGTAAGCAGCTCTGAGGTTGTCAAGCGACGGAGCTCAGTGTGGCAGGAGCATGGGGAGTGGTGGGGATGAGCCTGTGGGCCATCCATCCTGTAGACGTGGGACTGCAGTCTATGGTTGGTTTATAGCTCAAGGGAGATGCCAGACCTGTTGTACAGACTAACAGATAACTGCCAGTGACCAGCTGCCTTGGGGACATTGCTTCTGACGTTCCTTGTATGGGTTTCTTGTAACCCTCATAGCAACCCTGCACAGAGTGCATGATTGGCTCCATTATAGGAACGAGAAAGCCAAGGGTCAGAGAGGTGGAGTCAGTCATCTGAGGTTAGCACCTGGCCAGTGGGTGACGTGAGGCTGAGAAGCCTGACATGCTTCCTCCTTCATGCCAGCACCCCCCTCCGTGTGTGGTGAGCCGCAGGGATTGAGTGTGGACAGTGGTAGTAGTGTGTGGTGTGTGGCTGCATGGCTGTGGCTGGAGGATGTGGTGGACTTGAAGTGTTCATTAGCATTGGCTGCTCTCAGCCTTCTCAGTTAAACATGCACAAGCCTGCTGTCTGTCACTGATTGCCGTCTCCTCGAGCCTGTGCTGAGGTGTAGGTTCACATGGCCATGCAGACGTGGGTTGCAGAGCAGGCAGAGCTGGGTGGGATTCCAGCTCCATCATGTTCCCGCTCAATGGCTTTACCTTTTTTGCTCAGTTTCCTCATCTTTAAAGTGAAGGGAATAATAGCGTCTACCTTAAAGAGTTTTTAGATAAATCACTTAAAACATAGCAATTATGTAACAACTGCCAACAAGTACTAGTTATCATCATTGGACACTGTAAAATGTTTAGTGTCCAAACCTATAAAATAGCTCCTAAATTGAATGATCTCATGGTCTAGCTGGGAAAATAATGTGTAATTCAAAAATAAAAATAAAAATGTCAATTCTGTACAGAAATTCCCAAATGAATGTGTAGAATCTACTATCCGCACCAAGGAACGTGGAGAGATCACAACTTGGAGCCCCTGCAGAAAGTGTTTAGGGAAACAATGGGACTTGAACGGGAGCCTGGAGGCTTTAGGTAATGAGAGAGGAAGGGAGAGAATATTCTAGAAAGGAAGAATACCAGGTGAGAAGGTTTATGATGTATTTGGAAGCCACCTCCTGTGCCAGTCGGGCTGAAATACTGAGTTTGTGTGGAAGAATATGGGGTGAACCATGGAGAAAACTGATGAAATAAGATGGTGGGTCAGCATCATCCCAGAAGCCAACTACTGCTTGGAGAAGAGTTAACTCAGTGGCTGTCTGTACGATGAACTGAAGTCAAGAAGAAATTAGAAGCAAGGATGAAACAAGCGAAGTAAACCCTTCTATGTTTAACCACAACTTTGTAAACGCAGTGACTCATCTCCATTCATGGGTGTCAGCTTGGTTCTGAGCATGCAGATGAATGTATCCAACCAGGGCTGAGGAAGCCGGGTTGACCCTGAGCTTTGGCCTTTTAGTTCCGTTCCTTTGCAGGCAGATACAACTAGGAAACGAGGCCCATATTTTGAGAAGTAAAAATATTCTACTCTGAGATCTTTGCAGTTTTATTTCCCTAATTATTTTGGATAATCAACATTTTCATTTTTTTTTTCCAATTTTCAAATCAACTTTAGATTTAGCCCCTTAAATATATCTTTTAGGAAGTAGCATCTTGTTGCCTTAGGAACAGTGTTTGAAAAAGTTCTCATTTGTGCTGTACACTTCAATGATAAAGAAAGTTCACTGGCATCCCCCTGTGGAAAATGCTTTTATCATTTAAAAAAACATATGCACATAGAAAGAGTTAGTAGAAGTCACTATGTTGTAAGAGCCCAGGGTTGGTATTAGCAGAACTTAATGTATTCTCTCTCAAAATAAGATCATTGTTGGAAAAACTATAAATAATTTTCAAGTTTATTTTCAGATTGAGTTTGTTGTTAGTAGCACTTTAGGATTTACTGTGATGAAAGACAACGGTTGTGTTTTTAAAAAGTGTTCCCCACTTGGACTAACAAAGGGACTCAGCACTGCAGCCTCGATGGAACGTTCTTTCTCTGTGCAGGCACCAGATGGCGCCAAGCCGCAGGTCCTTCACCTGGATTAGTTCATTATTTTAAAAAAGAATTTGGGAATTATGGCTGCTGGCATTCAGGGCTCACTAAAATTTGTGTAATGTTTCCAGCTGTGGATAGAAGCGTCAAACGCTATGTTTAATATGTTTTTCCGGAATTTATTCTCATCAGTGGCTGGAATTGGAAGGCCATCTTCCCTCTCAATTCTTGACTTTGGAGGGAAGTGAGGGAAGCAGCTTTCTGCTTAGGCTGTCCTGGGCAAAATCTGGATATCTGCACCACCTTCCTTACAGTTTTTCTGTTGTGCTTCCCTTTAACCTGTGTAAAAGTGATTTACTAGGAGTAACTTACACTAAAGTGTCAGTGACTTATTTCACTAGAGGAATAGTCACAAAAAATAATGTCAGATGCAAAGGGTTAGGTTGCTAGAGGATTTTTAACTCTCAGTGACAAGGCAGTTCAGAAACTATGTTTAAGATTTACATTTACTTTTTTACCTCTAACCTTACTAATACTGTTTTTATGTGAACAGATAATAAAAACATATGACATTTTGTATGATGAATTTTTCTTACCAAGGCAAATTTGGTTTTGGATGTTTTCACAAGAGTAGTAAAATTAAGATTAGCCACGCTGAGCTCACAATGAACAAAAAAAAATAGTTTTTGGAGGTTTGATTTGAACTCTGAGAGGAACAGCGTAAGAAATAGAACAGGAAAAGACCTCCGAATATCCAGGAATGTTGTAATTGACATATTTGAATCTGAAAACACTGTTTATCCTTGCGGCTAATGCAGGGTAATATACACTGCCAATGCTTAAAACAAACGGGGTAAATGCCACTGCTGAAATTACAGCTTCTGCTTACATTCTTTCAGCTTATCCTTTATTTTTATAAAAATATTCCTCTTGCTGAACATATATTTTGAGATTAAGCAGTGTCTTTTCTTTCTCAGGGAAGAATATTTCTCAGCCCTCCGTTCTCAAGACAGATGAGTGCTTTAGAAAGAGGACTCTGCAGCGGTGAGGAGGATGGAATGACAGGCAAAGCACGCAGGACCAGGAGATGGCTTCGTTCCCTCAATCACTCATCCAAAGACGTTTAATGAGCACCTATTGTGTGTCAGGCATTGTACCGGGCAATGGGGATATCGTAGTCAGTAATAAGTGAGGAGAGATGAGTTCATTTGTGAGAGGCTCTGACCAGTGGAATCAGAGGAAGGGAGTTCCCCTGGGTGGGCCAGGTTCAAAGACATTTTGGAAGTAGAATCTGCAGAACATGATGATCTTTTGGAAACAGGGCAGGGACGTGAATGAGCACGTAATGTCCCCATGGGTTTGTCTTTCCGAAGGTTTAAAATCCTCAAGAATAAGGAACATAGGCATGTGTCGTAACGGTCTCCACAGTGGGGGAGTATTATGTTAGTGCACCTGCATGTTAACTCTGCTCATGAAGGGGCCACGTCTTCACCACCACAAAGCCTCAAGCATGCATATCTGGTCCCTCCAACCCCCTCCCTATTGAGGTGCAATAAAGGCCCATGTTTCTCCTAGTATGGGAACAGAACTAAGTCCTTTGTTCTATTATTTGACATGTATTGACTCAAGCATTCGATGAGTATTGATGAAGTGTGTTCTAAGCTTGTACCGGGCTAGGTCTTCTACTGCAATCCCCACGCTTATAAACCTTGCCAACCTGAGCCACCTGCAAGCTTTCTGACCTTGGGCGTCCTCATCTCTTCACCTCCACTGGTAAAGATGAGCTAACTGGTAAAGATGAGCTATGGAAAGAACGTGGAGTAGTCCTCGGCACATAGTAGGAATTTAGTGAATATCAGTTCTCTTCATTCACAAGCACTTAATAGGCCAGGTACTGGAACAAAAGACAAATCAGATGGAAAGAGGCTCATACTGCATCCCGGCCTGGCAGAATGAGAGCGGCTCCTGGAACCGGGATTCCACGTCAGCTTTCAGCTTTTTTTCTGCTTTTTCCTTCTTCTCAGGCCTTTCAGGATTTGGTTCTTGTTTTAAAGCTTCTGACGGAGAGAGCCAAGTAGCCTGTCCTTGCTCTACGGGCTGGGAAGCAATGAGTGATTGCTGAAGAGGCTTTTTCTCAGCAAAGGGCAGAGGCAAAGGAGAGAAGAAAGGAAGGGCCCTGTGCTGTGAAGCAATTTTCTCATTTTCTGCTGCTGGTGCTTGCGTTGTTGTCTTCCTCAACATGCAGGGGAGGCCCAGAGAGGCACTGCTACGGGTTCCAGACATTCCTTGTATTCTCACTGCCTGGCTCTGTCCTCAACCACTTACTTTCGGTGTTAGCGGTGAGTCTCAAAGGAACATTGTGCTGAACTGTTCTCCATCTCAACTACATGATCCTGCAGCCCTCAGGATGAAGGGTTTCGGTCTTTGATTCCGGCGACCTGGAGGCTTGCTTACTGTCAACTCCATGCGGAGAACTGTAGAAAACAGGATAAAGACGAAGACTAGGCCGAGCCGTCCAAGGCAGTGAGTCCACAGTAAGTGGGGCGAGTTAGGCCGTTTCCGCACTGCTATAAAGAAATACCTGAGGTTGGGTAATTTAGAAAGAAAAGAGGTTTAATTGGCTCATGACTCTGTAGGCTGCACAGGAAGCATGGTGCAGGCATCTGCTGGGCTTCTGGGGAGGCCTCAGGAAACATCATCATGGCAGAAGGTGAAGGGGAAGCAGGCGGGTCTTAATGGCGGGAGCAGGAGCAGGAGAGCGGGGAGCTGCCACACACGTTCAAACGACCAGATCTCGTGAGAGCTCCCTCACTATCACGAGAACAGCACCGGGGACGGTGCTAAACCACTCATGAGAAACCACCCCTGTGATCCAGTCACCTCCCACCAGGCCCCACCTCCAACACTGGAGATAGCATTTCAATGTGAGGTTTGGCAGAGACACACATCCCAACTATAGAAAGTGGGCAGGATGGCTGGAGCGGCAAGTGTGGGGAGATGAGGGAGGGTGTCTGAGGGCACTGGAGGCCGCCGGAGGGCAGCCGCGGATGAGGGGAGCTGAGCTGGGCTCGTGGAGGCGGGGTTTCTGTTGACCCGGATGGAGAGACTGGGCGGGCCCGGCCCCAGCCATCCCTGCTAGTCCGCTGAACTGTGGCCTGGGAAGTGGCTTTTCTGTTGGGCCACATTAGTGCTGTTGAGTTCAAGGCTGAGAGCACAGGAAGAATCCTGAGAAGCCTTTTGTGGGGGCCCATCCCGTCCAGGGCCCGTGCATGAGCAGCTGTCATCTGCATGCCATGATGACCGTCACTGTCAGGACCGAGACATCCTTGCGGCCCCACAGGTCGCCACCCTCCTGGCACAGCACACCTGCCAGTCATTTGGTCTTTGCCCGGGTGTCTCGCTGGGACCTACAGTTCAGGTGAAACATCATCACATAGAAACCACTGCAGAGAAATTTCGTAGAGTGCAGTGTCCCTCCAGCTCAGTGAACAACAGTTGATGTTAGGTGATCCTTGGCAAAAATGCTTCATCTTAATCAGAGAACACCTCGTTCTTAGAAGCTCTGTATAGCAGTTTACTTCATAAGCTGGAAGGGCCTTAGAGCTGACCGATCTTTGCTGAGTTTTGTGATTTTTCTACTCTGCTATCCTGACTTTGCCTCTTACCACTTTAAGAATTCCAACCATTCCAGCCAGGAAAACTCACTTCAGCTCCTCAGCTACCAACAGCAAAGACACACATAGAGCTGCCCTCAGATCCCAGAGAAGGAGAAACGTTTGCATGGTGCCCTCTTGTTCTCCTGGGTACAAAGTGTTTCATTTTAATTACTAATTTACCGTAGGAACCCAGGGATTCGTGTATTGCCTCACTTTGTCTTGCAGATCACGAATGTGGTTTTAACAGTTTATTTGTTACGACAAAATTCCATTTTAAGAGAACCTGTAGAATTTTTTTTGGTTTTATTTGTAGGGATTTAGACCATATAATGAGTCCCTTTATAAATGGGTTTAGATAACACAGCGCAGGAGTAGCTTTTGTCTCCAACAGACTGGAGGAATAATAAAATGTAGTCACTACTAAATTATGTCATGGACTGAAGTAGATTTTTACCATTAATTGGATCTAGGCCCTCTGACCTTTTTGCAGGAAGCAAACTAAAGGTATAATAATTTTTACAACGATGAGCTTTCTGCACTTCCAGTAATTTTTTTTTAGAACACTGAAATAATTTCTGGACATTGAAAGAACTCTGACATACTGTTCTTGAGATAAACAGAGCTTTGAATTTCAAGGTTGTCACATTTTTCTTTCTCCATACCCTCTGCCCCCACAAAGTGAAGATAATACAGGTAAATGAACTCAAAGATAACCTGCATTCAGGAACAAAAATCTAATTGAATCACATTTATATTTCTACTGGTCAAGTTTTAAAATGATCTCATTCAGTGTCTTCCCAAGAATATCAAGATAAACAGAAGCAGATTACAACATTTGGCAAATCTAAATGTATATATTCAGTGGCATTTTTTTTTCTTCTGAGATTAAATACTTTTTATAAAACTCAGAAAACTCTGAAACTAAAATTTTGAAAGGAGGCTAAAAAAATGGGAAACTCCAGAAGGGCTTTCCAGGTAATACAGGATGGAGAAGCAAGAGAAAGTTGTAGATGGGTGTTACTGTTGATTTCATATTTCAGTTTATTTTTGCTTTTTCACTTCTGTCTATTTTGCATGTTCTTTGCCCCACATGTTGGTGGGGCCACTATTGTTCTTACCAGCTCCGCTAAACACTGTCTGTTGGTTCAAGATTTTTATCATTTTTAAAATGATGCTTACAAGTCAATTGATAGAACGGAACAAATACTGTGGGTGATTCACAGTCTGTCATTACCATGCTGAAAAGGGAGACTTTTCTGAGTTTAATAATAGGAGGGCTGGGTCAAATGCTAGGTCCGTAAGAGCTGCTTAGTAAAATTTTTCTCTTTTTTTTTTGAGACAGAGTTTTGCTCTTGTCGTCCAGGCTGGAGTGCAGTGGCATGATCCCGGCTCACTGCAACCTCTGCCTCCCGGGTTCAAAAAATTCTCCTGCCTCAGCCTCTGGAGTAGTTGGGATTATAGGCGTGCACCACCATGCCCGGGTAATTTTTGTGTTTTTAGTAGAGATGGAGTTTCACCATGTTGGCCAGGGTGGTCTCAAACTCCTGACCTCAGGTGATCCACCCGCCTTGGCCTCCCAAAGTGCTCGGATTACAGGCGTGAGCCACCACGCACGGCCTGCTTAGTAAATTTTTTAGTGACAGTTTAACCCAGCTAAAGACTATACAAAGAAAAGAAACTTTCCCAGTACCGTGCGCTGCATCCTGCTCTCTGAAGGTGGAGAGGGCGTTGGAGCTTCGGTTTGAACCACTTGACAGAACCCATCAGATCACTGTTCAGTTTTTTTTTATCAATTTAATTAAGAAAACCAAATAATTTAACCTTTAGATGTGAAATAATTGCCTTGGGATAATAGTATAGAATCTCTCATTTAAGGACTATTGTATGAAAGGTTAGAGCTAATCATTTTGTTTTAGAATTTAATATGCAAAAAGTATGTGTCTCTTGGACATATACTTATATCCATGTATTTTATGAAATTATTTCCAAGACATGGATGCATCTTTTTTCTATGCCTTCTTTGTGCAGCTGCGGAAAGATAATTAGCAACATATAGAAAGTATTTTGAAAGTAGAGACGTGACAAGCAATCACTCATACTTCTGCCGAACTGTCTCAGGCTGTTTATAAGTGGGGTCAACAACATGTTGACGACATGGTTGAATGCTTTATTTGAAGTAAAGATGTGTGATCTTTGAATGAAGTTATTAATGATGTGACAGAAATCTTGAAAACCTCTCATTTCAATGGGAAACGACAGTCAAAGCCTTGTACTAACAAGTCAGTTGCCAGGACGCAGCTTGGAGCACAAGATATTGCACCTGTGGATGTTGGCTGCAGCAATATGAAGTAGGAAAAGCATTAACGCTGCGAATCTCAGTCTTTCTGCCTAGAACCTTATCAGGGTAATGTAGTACATGGCTAATGGTTTTCCTAATCAAGTTAGAACTTTCTTTTTCTAGTTTTGCACTGAATCAGTATAGATACAATTGTGCTAGAGAACAATCAAAAGATTTCATTTCATGTTAAATCTTGTTCTTACCACTCCCACAGTACAGGGGACCTGATGGAGAAAGGGTAGGCGCAGATGTGTGGGCCAGGCCGAGGGGACTAGGCAAAACTGGGGCACCTAGCAGAGTCCCCAAAGGTTGGAGGGTGGCACAAAGAGAAAATAACCATTTATTCCTGAAATTCCAGTATTCTTAAATAGAATTCTAGGTCCCACATCTCCCCTCAAGAAAAACATTTCAGGTGGACTAAAAACGAGGGAACCACTCCCTTAAAACAAAGAGAAAGTTTCCTCCCAGGAAGTGAGGAAGTGATGTGGAAGCTCCGTCCACCGAGTTGTGGGTGCAGCTGGACAGTGAATGGTGACTGGCCCGTTAGTCCCGGGGTCACTGCAGGAGGAACGGAGGCTCCTCCCTCTTCTCCTTCTGCTCTGTCGGGCCACGATGTCACTGAGAGTGACTGTCCTTATGTTCCTACATAATCAGATCATGCAGGTAATAGGAGCTCTGGTCCTTTTAAAAATAATTTGAGGGAAATGTTTTTAGGAGAGGATTGGAACAAACGCTTCTTGGGTTTCTTCTAGTTTACTGCACAGAAACCATTTACTACTAGCAGCTTAATGAATCCCGATTGATCGCGAACCGTAATGTCAGGGTAACCGTCCTCATTTTCTCTGTTTTCAGATTTATTTTGGTTACTCAGATATTTACCTCTGCTCCTCAGAGGTAGTGAGCTGATAGTGTATTTTTCATCAATTTAGAACAATGCATGAGAAAGCAAAATTCTGGCTTCCCCGCACCCTCTCACTTCACTGATTAACATCCAGATACAATTCACTTCTGAGCAAAAAGGTTCCGCTCCTCTGTCATTTTTTGCAGCATGCTGTGCTCCCTGAAGCTGCAGGTATGTCCCCTGTTGTTTACGGGATAGCCTCATCTATGTTTATGCTGTTTAATTGTGTGAGTTCCCTGTAATCTGTAAGAAGAGAGCCGCCTGTCCCGGGCCATGAAACGCCTGAGACAGCCGATCGTTATGCTCCGGTTCAGACTGTTAACGCTGTAAAAACAACAATCTCGGTTTGAAGGGAGATCAGCAGAGCTTATTCTGATTAAAAGGAAGCAAAGTATTTTAAGTGGCTGGTGGGTGAGGGGAAGTCAGGTACAGCCGCGGTATCTGATAGGTGGGGTCTTAGCCAGTGTTGACAGCTGAGGTTTAGGAGAAAATGCTCGGAGTAAAGAATGCCATTCTCTTCCCAAACATCCAGCTATTTGTTTGAATATTATCGGCATTTTCAAGAGGGGTTTTCAGACATGTGCAGAGCTTCAAGTATGTAGTCCTTCAGTTCAGCTTTTTGAAGCCTTGGGAAATCCAGTGTAGCAACAACCACCGTTGGACATTTTATTACAAAAATGACCTGCAAGTAAAATGTAGAGTGAAGGTGTTTTTCCCACTAACTTTTACAACTATGTTTTAAAGCTAAATTTGTTAAAGACTCTTTAATACACACACATATAAACACATATGTGTTCACTAATGTGCTTGTAACCTAGAAATTGTGACCTTGTAATTTATCGTAAACAGGGTAAATAGGTGCCGTGTTGTTATAAAAGCCATTTTATGCTTAGCTAATTATATTTTCCTCTGCTTGATACACACATCATATGGATTTCTTTTAACAACATTACCTTCACATAAAGGGAAACAATCAGCATACACAGATTTCGAGTTTTAGAAAAAGCTAATATTTCAGAGAAAATACTCCTCTCCTTTTATAATCAAGCCGGATGTAGGTTTCATTCACTCACTCACTCACTCACTCACTCACTCACTCACTCACTCACTCAGCAGGTACAAGAGGTGGGCACAGAGCACCTGCTCTGTGCCAGGCACTGTTCGGGTGTTTGGGAAATGTTAAACATACAGAGATCAAATCTGAGCTTTAATAGAAATCACATTCTCATTTGAGGAGACAGACAGTAAATAAGCGAATAAGTTCCATGCCCATTAAGTCAGCTGGCCATGAGTGCTGTGGAGAGAGACCGAGGCAGGGCGTACTGGGTGGGGTGGGGGCCAAGGGTGGCCTGGGCCTCTCTGGGCAGAGGGTGCAGGAGCATGGGCATCCCCTGGCTCTTGGGAGATGTGTCTGCCGGGTGGCTGCAGGTGCTGTGGGGAGAGGCCCACATGTCGGGGACAGAGAGAGCAGAACGTGCCCTTGGCCCAGGCCAGTGGGCAGTGTCGTGAGCACAGAAGCGTGGTGAGCAGGAGCCCTGAGGGTCATGCCCAGCAGAGACGGGGCTGATCTGAGCTTGAAAATCACGCTCTGGCTTCTCTCTTTTTTTATTGTGGTAAAATATGCATGACATAAAATTTACCATTGTAACTGTGCAACAGCATTAAGTACATTCACACTGCTGTGCAACCATCACCACCATCATCTCCACAACTTGCTCATCTTCCCAAACTGAAACTCTGTCCCCATCAAATTACTCACTCCCAATCCTCCTGCCAGCCCCTGGCACCTACCTTTCCACTTTCTGTGTCTCTGAATTTGAGGACTCCAGGGACCGCATACGAGCGGATCAGACAGTGTGTGTCATTTGGTGACTGACTTCCTTCACTGAGTGTTGTGTCCTCAGGGTTCATACCCACTGTGGTGTGTGCCAGGATTTCCTACCTCTCTAAGGCTGAGGAATATTCCCCTGTCTAGATGGACCATGTCTGGTTTATCCCTTCATTTGTTGATGGACACTTAGGTGGCGTCCACCTTTTGTCTGTTGACAATAACGTTGTCACAGACATGTGTTTGAGTCCCGGTTTTCCCTTCCTTGGATGCACACCCAGAAGTGGAAGTGCTGGGTCCTGTGGTGACTCCGTGGGATATTTTGAAGGATTGTCACACCCTTTTCCACAGTGTTGCACCGTTTTACATTCCTGCCGGCCGTGCATAAGGGCCTGGGTATCTCCACATCCTCACCGATGCTTATTTTCTGCTTTTTTGATAAACTGGCTTCTCTTTGGGACAAGACTGTAGGGTCAAGGGCCAGGGCAGGAGGAGCTGTCCAGGTGGGAGCAGAGGTGCTGAGTGGCGGTTGTGTCCTGGGATGGTGGGAGGTGGGGCACAGGCGTTGCTGCTTGGTTAAACGTTGGGTTGAGAGAAAAGGAAACACCGGGGAGGGGTCCAGTGTCTTTGGCCTGAGCAACAGACAGGAAGGCATTTCCTCTGCTCTGAGGGATGTGGAAGGAGCAGCTGGGGACAGGAGGGCCAGAGGGCTAGAGTTGGATGCGTTATGTCTGAGATGCTCTTTGGCTGTGGATGTGGTGGGGATGGGTTAGGGCTGAGTGGCAGGTGGACGGGTGAGACTGGGCTCCGAGGGAAGTTTCTGCTGCAGATACAAATGCAGTCTACTGTGAACCGCCTGCATCTGGCTATGAGACGAGGAAAGGGGTCTGCTGTGACCTGTGTATCTCTGGTCACATAATGACCCAGCTAACAGAATGAAACACAGAAAGCACCTGATGGGATGCAGCGAGGGAACGTGAGAACAGCCACTCAGCAGCAGCGTTAGAAAAGGCTCCTCCTTGGAAGGGCTGTGGCATTTGTCTTCTCATCCTCCCCTGTCCTCTGTACCTCTCGGTCTTTCCTCTGTCCTTTAAGCCAGCTCCCTCCTTTTCCCCTAATCTCCCCTCTTCCCCCAGGTGACACCTGAATCCCGAGGGCCAAGAAATTCCTTTTGTAGGTCTCACAGAAACCTTTTATTCTCAGGTCACAGTGATTTCCATTTCATATCCCAAGCTGCAGCTAGGAGCCACCGAGTCTTAATTATGGAAACTCTTATGCAAACCTGACGAATGTTCGTGTCTTCTCGTCAGGCCTATGTTCATGGTCTGATGGCTCTCTGGGCGTCAGCCATGTGGGAACGAGAGGAACAGGTCCCACATGGAATCTGCCCGTGTGATTTCCTGGCTGGAGCTCTCCCTGGAGCTGGAGAAGCCTCCAGCCCCCCATGCGTCCCCCCAGCGTCTCGTTTTTGGGCCTCACTTCAGCTGTCTCCCTGCATGAGATGATGTCATGATAACCAATTCTTCCCACCTCTTCCCCCTGCTCCCACCACCACTGAGGTTCTTCCCAGGTTTCCAGGGTACTCCAAGACCTGCCCCCTTTGTAAGATCCTTTCTCACCATCACAGCCTGTATTCTTTCCCACTTCTCTGAAATCTCAAAGCTCTTTTGTTGTTGCTGGTTTCAAGCCATCTGATCATGTAATCATGTTGTTTTGTGGGAAGGTCTTGCTCTTCTACTCTGACAGGCAGAGCTTCTGAGGATAGAGGTCATGTCTGTGATTCGTTTGGTCTCCTGCTGGTTTTCTGGCCCCGTGGTGGGCAGATCAGAACAGGCTCCACCAGTATTGTTGAAGGAGAGACAGAGCCTACCCTTCATACACCTTGCACATGAGGGTGTCTCACAGTTTCTTCCACATAAATAGATGGCTTCTTATAGGGCATTACAGGGTAAACAATAACAGAAGCAAGATTACCCTGAAAGATGGCCCATTGTTTTTGGTGACGGTGGTCATCTTCCTGCCAGTAGTTCAATCTAATGTCGGTACAAGTGTCTGGATGTGGAAACAAAGAGCTCCTTGTGGGAGGCTTTAACCTGGCCCCATGCTCCCATGGAGATCTGGCGATGAACTAGAGCTAAGATGGGTCTGTGCACTTTGGAAGACAGCAGAACTGGCTCCATCTTACTCTTGAATCTTCACCAGGATCAAATGTTTGGGGACATGGGACGTTGGTGTGTTGGAGGAATGTGTGTCTTTGGTTGGCCCAAGCACTGAGGAACTGTGTCTCAGAAGCCCAGTGCGTGCTCCAGATGTTTCAGTGAGACCGCATAGTATGAGGGCAAGGAGAAGCGCCTCTCAACACAGCACCGGGTGTGCGCCTCCATCTCAGGCCACGCAGAGCCACTGCAATGCAGCACCCGGATCTCCCTTCAGGAAAAAGGATGAATTCCTCCAGCTCCCGGGAATGCTGCCAGCAGACAGCACTCACCGTCGGCATTCCCTGGGAACCGCTTCAGGTGAGTGGACAGACCTGCCCAAGTGCACGTCTCCTCAGAGAAACCCACATTCAGTGACAGAGAGAAGCAGGTGTGCAAAGGCCTGGTCTCTCGCCCTGTGAGGGAGAATGCCGACGGCCGTGGGGTAGGTGGAGGGCTCCCTGAAACTGTAGTCCTGCTCTCCTCCTCCCTGCAGGCTGAGATTCTGGAGGCTGTCCTGGCATACGCCTTGTGTGCCAGCCTCCTGTGCAGGGTTTGCCTCTTGTGGAACCCACGAGGACAGCCCCAGGGCGTCTTGGCTGTTCACTCCCCAACAGCACCTTGCATTAGCCTTCGTGAGTTCCATCAACACCACCTTGGCCTTCAAGCCTGCTCTCCCCCCAGAGTAAGCATGGTGTACTCAGATGGAGTTCATCTGTAAATCACCCTGGATGCTGCAATTCATCTGAATTAAGTAACATGTACACAAAACCGGGTCTCACAGGGGCCTTGCACATGTGCACATGTGTTGTGAGTCCTCTGGGTTCGAGATGATGCCAAACATCTTTAACACTCCCCCGCACACCCTAGGCTGCAGCATCTGACTGTCTCTTCCTGTGCCTGTCAGGGGCAGTGGGTGAGCTGGCAGCCCACTTTTTGTGTCCTGTGAACTCCATGGCTCCTTGTCCCAGTGTCCCTGTCTTGCATGGCTCCATCTGCAGCATCTGACCATCTCTCTGTGGGGAGACACTCTCAGGGCACCCTGACTGTGTTGTGGGTCCCATCGTAGTAGCTGGTGTCTTACCCCTTTCCATTGTTTTTATTCTCAAAGACCTAGCTCAGGGCTTTTGCCTTTCCTATTTGATCTGATACCATTTAATCAGCTAGAAGTCTTTTTCCTTTAAATTGATGAGCAGAATTCTTCATGAAGTTGTGTTACACTATGAGTTCCTTGCAGGCAGAGACTGTGTTTTATATACCCGAGTATGTCCCTGGGCACCTGACTTTCTGCTTAGTCCACAGCAGGCGCTCACACCTGCTTCCTGAAAGAGTAAGAGAATGCTGCCGAGGTCGGACTGCACCAAAGCTCCCAGCCTGAGCTTGGCAGGTAGAAATGCCTTCTGTGGTTACCAAGGCAGGTTAATGTTCGGTAAGAATTCCTTTCAAATGCCTTCTAGTCGCCTGGAAATTCTATACATGAACAGTAACCTGCCAGGGATTGAATTGCAAGCCAAAAGTCATCCTGTGAGGGTGAATAGAGTTCTCAAAGTTTTATTTAGTAACCTCCCTTTACAAAGCTATTTTTTTTCCCTAAGTGAGAAACAAAACCAGAATTCTAACTCCGAGTTAAACCTAAGCAAACAGTGGTGAACACAATGGATTATGGAGCTGTAACCGGAGCTGGGCCCAACCCTGAGCAAATGGTGCAGCCAGCGAAGTGTGTCTTTGATGCCCTCTCCTTTCTGTGGGCTCCACCTGCACCCTGATCTGGGCTCCCTCACAGGCATCTCCATGAACTTCAAAGCTGGAACTCCACCCACAGCTGAGCTGCACCCAGACAGAGATGCGGGCAGAGCTTTCTAAGGAACCCAAATTAGCAGCTCATGGACGCAGCGTTAATTTGCTCTTGCTGCTGGCTGACTTTGAACTTAGTATCTCAGTTTTCTCTCTGTGTCACCGGCTTTGAACTTCAATGCTTTGGTGCCTGCATTCTCTTTATAACCCACTGTGCCCCGGGACCTCAGAGGGCCCCACGAACCCCAACCACCACCTGCCTGGACTCAGCCTGCCTCTGCTGCTCAAATCCTCACCTGCCTCAGCACCCCAAGACAGACACCTCGGGCCCCGCATGGGTTGGAGACATTTATTGGCAGTCCTCATGCACTTCTCTGACCTTGGAGGGCTCTTTTGGTTTAAGACTGAAGCCCAGGACGGAGCAAAAGGAGATGGAGCTGAGAAAATGGGATCATCCTGTGTCTATCCTGGGATTCTGGGCTTTTCTGTCCATTAATTCACCGAAGGAGGAAACTTAGCTCCCTGATCATTCAAAACACTTGTGCCTTTTCCCCTCAACTCCTCATTTTCTTTTCCTGACCAACCTCCAGTCGTCTGATAAATAAATCAGTGTGACTTGCCAATAGCGACAAACCCTTTTGTAATGTAATGTAGCTTCCAAAGTAGTGGGTGCATTTCCAGAAGGTGTCCCTTTATCCACCCAGGCCTTATTTTCACAGGGACTTCAGAACAGAAAATAATTTTGGTGGCTTTTAGTTCTCTTCAAACGATAGGCACACAGCTAGCTACCAATTCTGCCTGTGTAAGGTGGGCATCCCGAGCTCAGTAGAAATGAGGGCTGAGGAACACACACTGGGAGAACTTTAATCACAAAATAAGAAAAATAAACACAACCGCAACTTGCAAAGGAAATAAAAATGAACAGCGACTTAGATTTTCCCCTACAAATCCCACACATTTTATGATTTGAACACCAGGATATAACCAGCATCCCAGAATTCTTGAGCTAGGCCTGGCTCCAGCCCCTCATTTTAAAGATGAGGAAACTGAGGTGCTGAAGGGTTAAACGCCCAAGGTCAGGGTTTGTGGCAGTGGGTGGCAGGCAGGCCAGGTGCTGCCGGTTTCTGGCCATAACTCCAGGTCTCTCCAGGGGCAGAACAGGGCGGCGGGGCTTTGTCAGGCGGTGCTGCAGCTGTCCATAGCCCACTCTAACCTCAGTTCCGCTTCTCCCACATGGACTCCTACTCCTGACACGTGGCTACTAGAATATAGTGCACGCGAGGGTGGGTTATTTGTTTTGTCCACTGATGGATCCCGGCGCCTGGACTCATGCCTGCCACAAGTGTGTTGGGCGAATATCTGGGGGTCTCTGAACACATCCCGTGTCCTCCAGACTCCATGGCTTCAGATGGGCTAACTTCTCATCCTTTCCACCTCTCCAGAACCTATTCCCTTCTTGAAGTTTCAGCTCAAATGCCCTTTTGTGCAATCATCATTCTGAAATGTTTTCTCCTCTCCCTCTGGATTCCTGTGGGATTCCTGTGGCATCCCTGTGCCTGGTGATTTGAAGTTGCCTTATTCTCTCACCATATGATAGGTGCTCAGAAACATGTCTCACCTACCTAAGATGCTGCCCATCAACACCTGTTCATTGGTTGATTGGCCCCTGTCAAGGAAGAGTTGCCCTGTTTATTGGTTGGTTGGCCTTGTCAACGAAAAGTTGCCCTGTTCATTGGTTGATGGGCCTTGTCAAGGAAGAGTTGCCCTGTTCATTGGTTGATTGGCCTTGTCAAGGAAGAGTTGCCCTGTTCATTGGTTGATTGGCCTTGTCAAGGAAGAGTTGCACAATTCCTTTCTCTGGATGCCCTTAGGGTTTGCTTCAAGGGTGGAGGTGGTGAGTCTCTGGGTCTCATGGAATAGACACTTTGCCCAGCAGGGGCAAGTGCTGGAGGAGAGACCCAACAGCAGCTGTGGTGGAAACTCATGACAGGCAGGGAGGACTACTTCAGTTCCTGAAGGGAAGATAGGACAACTTTCAAGGCAGTAATTCAAGGCAATTTCAAGGCAGGGTGCTGGCAGAGTCTCAGCGTTTTTGGGCTGTGGCAATCAGCCCCATGCCAAAAAGGACATAGTTAAAAAGAGCCAGGATGTGGATCTCAAAGAACCGAGAAGAGCAGAACTGCCATGCTCCGGACGACCGGGCTGGAGGTGGGTGCGGGAGAGAGAGTGAAGCCACCTGAGTTGGGGGCAGGATGATTTGGGATGGTGAGCTGGCCAGGTCATTCTATTAACAGTTTTCTGATTCTTCTATATTTCTTAGTATTATAATTTCAATCCTGATGACTTTCGTCAATCCAACGACTCCTAGTGATCAAGAGCTCTTGAAAATCATGGGTCCTCAGATGGAAACCTCAGAGCACACAGACATTTTCTGTGCAGTGTCACCTTTATTTCCATTGTCATCGCAGAAATTCCTGAGTGGATGCTCAGTGGCTCTGCCAGACCGAGGGCTTTGGAAAGAGAGCTCCATCTGCCTCCTTAAAGCCCAGGGCCACGGTTTGCCCCACGGAACTGACAGTCGAAGGTAACGCCCAGGTGATTCCCTCGCTTTTGCTGAGGAGGCTGTGGCTGGGGAGGGCCAGTGTCTTGTCGGAGACCTCATCTCTTCTCAGTGGTGTTGACAACTTCCTCCTGAGGTCCAGCTCACTTCCTGTTCGGGCTTCTCTCCGGCCCTTTCTTCCTCTGCCCTCCCCGCCCAATGCTGCCCTGAGAGCTTGGCCCTGGACTGGCGGCACACCCAGCCCCGTCCCTTCTGTCCGCTGCAGACCTTCCTCGGGCTCCTCGTTGGGAATGCTCCCCTCCTCCTGTCTGATGCTTTGTCATCTCGGAAGGTCCGGCTGGTGTCATTCTCCCCGGTGTATGTTTGCTTATTTTTCATTTTACCCCACACAGATTTAGAGCACTAATAACTCCTATTCTACCCATCATCAGTGGCACACCCTGAATTATTCCTAGACTCTTAGCTGAAACATCTCCATCCTGAGGGCAGGGGTTGCACCTTCTTTTGAATCCTGGTCCTGTCTATTCAATCAATACCTGACTGACACTTCAGAGTGAGCTGCCTAAAGTAACAGCTGAATTTTCTCTGTAAAACATAAGATCATAACTCATAACTCATGTGCTCATACAAAAGATGGACCTTGTGGGAAACATGCTTATCTCTACTCCAGAGGCCTGCATCCTTTCTGCAATGGGATTCAGGGAGCCCCAGGGCTCTGCGTGGCTCCTGCAGTCTTGTCATTATTATTATTATTATTATTATTATTATTATTATTATTATTGTTATTTGAGAAAGAGTTTCACTCTTGTCGCCCAGGCTGAAGTGCAGTGGCACAATCTCGGCTCACTGCAACCTCCACCTACCAGGTTCATGCAATTCTCCTGCTTCAGCCGCCCAAGTAGCTGAGATTACAGGCATGTGCCACCACACCTGGCTAATTTTTGTATTTTTAGTAGAGACGGGGTTTCACCATGTTGGCCAGGCTGGTCTCGAACTCCTGACCTCAGGTGATCCACCCGCCTGGGCCTCCCAAAGTGCTGGGATTACAGGCGTGAGCCACCACGCCCAGCCAGTCTTGTCCTTATTCTTAAAAGGATTACCTTTCAGGACTTAGCCACTTCCCTCTGTCCCCTCTTCCCATGCCTGTCAGGGGCAGTGGGTGAGCCGGCGGCCCACTTTTCATGTCCTGTGAACTCTGTAGCCCCTTGTCCCACTGTCCCTGTCTTGCGTGGCTCCAGCCTTTCAGCCTCCACAGTCCATTGCTATGTGGTTTTGTGATGTGGAAACACGTATCCGTTAAAAATGGAATTGAGAGCATTAAGCCATTGAAGCTAATAATACATTGCACTTAAGCGCCTCGAAATTTACCCATAAACTTGGGAAGGCTTCGCAGTCTTGACCTGGAATCAAAAGCTGGGATGTGTTACAAAGGCTTTGATGCAGGAGTGGAGTCAGAAGCCTCCAGGTTAGTTAATGATTAGGCAAGAGAGCCATGTTCTCATCGTGGACTCGTTCCAGCCAGCAATGACATCTTATTTCCTGGGTGCCATGCATTTAAAGGCCCTTTCGCAGCTCCGAGTTAGCCCTCGGTACAGTCTGCTGAGGTGGGCAGGGCGGCTGGGACAGGTCTCACTTTATCAGTATGCAAAACACAAGCGAGAGAGAGGAATGTGCTTTTCCCAAGGTAAGTCCCTGGGGCTCTGGCCATGAGAATGGCTTACGTGAGACACCTCACAGGTGCCATCCAAGGCAACCTGACCCCACTCCACTCCTTCAGCCAGCAGGACAGAGCCCTCACCCTGGGCCAGGTGTGGTGTTTAAGAGTGAGGCAGTCAAAACAAATCCCATCTCCCAAATTTGGAGGAGTCCTCTTCTTGCCCCTAATGGCATGGCACATGTGCAAATCCCTGCTACGTACGTGCTACGTTCTCCATTCCAGACAGACACCCTGCTAGGATTAGCCTCTCTGGGTTCCCACTGTAAACCTTGGAATCGTGTTATTGCTATTGTCATTCTCCCCTGGCATCCAAAACACTTCACATATGTTCACATTTCGCCCCCATGCATGCCCATGCACGTAGAAAACCCCACCAAAGTCACAGCTGCACCTCACACTGAGAAAGTTCTGCTAGTTTCCGTAACCCTGGAAGAGCTACTTTTACATTTTTATGAAGGGATTGCACAATATTATAAGCTGTAGTTACTTTTAGTAATTTAACCATCCCTGATCGAGATCAGCAACGTCAACGCAATGCTCTCAGACTGCTCAGTTTCCCCAAATGGACTTTTAAATTATTTGGCTGAATCTTTAAGGGGCCTGCCAAGACTAAATGCCGTTCACTCAATTGCACAGCACTTTAATGTGACCAAAACTACATCAGATCAAAAGCTGAAGGCTTTCTCCCTTCATGTTTATTTGATAATTGTGAGCCATTAAAAAGATGGATTTGCCGTAAGCCTCTGAGCCCGTAAGCATTTCAGCAGTCTTCCCTTTGCTGCACTGTGGGTGACAGGAGCTGTGCACCAGTGTGGAGGCCACGGAGGCACAGGCACATTGTGTTGAGGTGCGTTTCAGCTTTCCTGGTTGAATTTCATTTTGACAAGGAATATGGGAGGAGTTGAGACCTGAAAGCTCTGAGCTTCGGAATCTTGTTCTAAGCTGTCATGAGCTTGCTCTCTGCCCTTGGGAAAGTTGCTTATCCTTGTAGATCCTCGATTTCCTCATCTGTGCGAGGGTGATATAGCTATGACCCACCCCATGGGGTTCGTGAAAAACCACAAGATAGCATCTAAAATAACATTTGGGAAAACAGAGCATTCACAAAATACGAGGATTACAATGAAGTGAAATCATGCATGTGTTTAATTTACGTCAGTTCGACTCTATTGCCCTGGGAGAGGCGCCATTCAAACAGAGCCCAGGTTCCACCTGCCGTTTGACATCGGCTCGCTGCTGGAGTTGGTCCCGTGGCTGGTGGTGCAGACCTGGGGGCCTCAGGGGGCTCAGTGCCCTCATGCCTTTGGTAGCACGAGTGTCTCACGGAGTCACCTGCAGTGACAGGGCTCAGAGACACCTGTTGCCTTACATGCACGACTCCCCACATGCATATCAACCACTGTGTCTACCCACTTCTGCATCAGTGATTTGTGGAGTTTTGGGGAGATTGTCATTTCAACACCTCCATCTTATTTATTTGCTCACAGTTGACTCAGGTCTTCTGAACGTTTCCAGACCTATGGGTTCTGGATTGCTGGGGGCTCATGTTAGAATTTCTGAAACAGGTTTCACAGACCCAGTAAGGAGTTCTGAGTCACAATCAGAAAGGTAGTGCGGCACCTCCAGACAGAGCCTGACTCGCGAGTAAAGAAAATCACCAGGCAATCCCTTCTCGAGTCTCCTTTACCTGCTCAATGGAATTCTTTATAAAGAAATAAAAAGTTTGATCCAGCCCTGGGTCTCCACACAGGGGATTAGGGCACAAGCAAAACAGAAGCTCCAAAGTCATGAGAGGGAAGAAAAGGTCGTAGAAGGAATTAGATTCTTTTTTTTTTAAGCATTGAAATAACTCTCATGAAGAAATCAGAACCTGTTGAACTTCTTCACAACCATTTTATTAAAGAATTGGGTATGGGCTGAAGCAATTTTTTCGGGAGCTCCAGAGCTCCAAAGGTCTTTATCTCCCCTTGACTCAGTACCACACTTATAAATGTGTTGGCCGGGCATGGTGGCATGCATCTGTAATCCCAGCAGGAGTTCGAGGCCAGCCTGACCAATATGGTGAAACCCCATCTCTACTAGAAATACAAAAATTAGCTGGGCATGGTGGCATGGCTTAGGCCTGTAATCCCAGCTACTCGGGAAGCTGAGGCACGAGAATCACATGAACCTGGGAGGCGGAGGTTGCAGGGAGCCGAGATTGCGCCATTGCACTCTAGCCTGGGTGAGAAGAGTGAAATTCCGTCAAAAAAAAAAAAAAAAAAAAAGAAAAGAAAAGAAATAAGAAGTGTCAGTGATACTCCCTGAAGCTATGGACATGGAAGACAAACATTCGTGAACACTAGGGTGACGGTGACTTCGATGTTTTCATCCTGACAGCACATACGATGTTAGAAGGCGGGGGGAGGGGTGTTAAAAAGGTGCTATGGATGTGTAAACAGCGAAAAGAAAAATCAGTGCTGCAGAGGAAAGCCAGCCTACCAGACATCCCTGTGGCTGCCTCATCTCTGTTCCTGCAGACACTTTTGCTTTGTGTCCTTTGAACACTGAGGGGGGGAGCACGTTCTGCACATACAAGTTTAACTAAAGACACACATAGGGTAAGCAAGAATATGGGAGAGTTTTTCACGCTGTGCAAATTAATGATATGCTTCCTAGAATCAGAAGAAGTTGAAGAGCTAAAATGAACATAGTTGCCTGAGTTTGAGTGCATTCTTGCCTCCAAAAAATGACCATCTGTTGCTAAATACATAATGAGCTCATCTGAACCACTAGGATGACCACAGTATACTGCATGATAGATAAATGACTCATATTCTTATGATTTACAGACAATTAGCATTTTAACGAAGTCTTGGCACCTGTGGGAGACCCACAAAATATGGAAAAGGAAGACATTTTCCTAATAGTGTGAGCTTATTCATTTTTTAGTTAGGTAAGTTGATAATGAAAAACTAATTACTATCTTCACTAGTTCACGTAGTCAACTGAAAGTCCTGAAAACCGTCTTCCAGTGGACAGCAAAGTGAAGTGGGCACACTTTGTTGTCTCCCTCCAGATCAGGGAATTAAGTGGATCACAATTCATCCCTTTTGTAGTCTCTGGACAAACGTCCCTCCATGTCGGGAATGCCTGAGTGCAAGGCTGGTTCTCAGCCCTTTGGAGAATGATCTAAGATGCCCAGAATTCATCCCACAGTTCCGATTGCCCCATTCAAGACTTCCACCAGGCAGGAGAAGCCCCGTGGCCCCTATAATCTGTGTGGGCTTCCCACCCACGCATATTATAGACAAATATGTTTGTTTTCCCACTGTGGCCTGTGGCACAGGGTGCTTTGGCACCGTGCATGCTAAATGCACCAAAAAGAAATCATCTCCACAACAGAAAGTCATCTACTGCTACAGTGATAAACACCGTTTAATATGAAATGTATCTGGAGCCTTATGTAAAATCAAGCAATATATTGTCAATGCTCCTTCGTTCTCCTTTCTTAACATTTTTCTTTTTGCAGGGTGTGCACTCCGTAAAGGATGATTTTCTTCTGGGGGCATTTGGATGATGTTCGCAGCAATCATCTCTCACCTTTTTAGCTCTCACCTCCAACCTGAGCAGGCTGCTCTCCATTTCCAGGGAACCATGTATATTCATTCCCCACGTTGAAACTTTCCCGTGTTCCTCTTGGCCAAATGGCCCATCCTCTACCCTGTGACTCTCCAACCCTTAGGAAGTTGCTCGGCTGCTCTGGGAGTGCCTCTTTTCCATCCCCAGATCACATATTTCTTCCTTCTACAGGTGACTGCTATCATTTTTATGATGACTTTGCTCTGGTATGTAGTAGCTTTCTGTACCCATACCTTTCCCTGACTGTAATTTAAGCTTCTGAAGATCGGGGAATTTGGTTTCTCTGTCTCATTTGGTGTTCAGCAGGGTGCTGAGCACATAGTTAAGGCTGAAAAATGTTTACTGAATGGTTGGTTTCTGCAAGTATCTACCAAGATGTATTTAGTGATGTATGCTAGGAACAGATATCTTTAGGGAACCTGTATTCATGCCTGTGTTTTTCTAATTTTAACCAAAGTCTCTCTCTCTTTCTCTCTCACTATCTCTTACACACCACACACCCCCTGCCCCACCTGAATGTAAGTATCACTGAGCCTTTGTAAGGCATTTTGGGGAATCAGAGCTGTCCTCAGTCAGTCCCTGTCCCTGCGTAACTTTGCTTTGCACGATGTCTGTGCATTGCGTCCCTGCTGCTGCATCTGTTCAATAACTGAATATTTGTTGACAGTCTGTTGTATTCCAGAAAGTGTTCTGGGCAGTGAGGACACAACATGGCACCAGACAGAGGAGGTCTGTGTTCCCAAGGTGCTTATATTGTATTGGGCAAGCTCAGCAAGGAATAAGGAAGCACTGGGATAAGTACCACGCTTCCCCTCTCACTCAAAATACCAGCACAATGTGATGAGAGTGACAAGGAGGGGTCTGGATGGTCAGGAAGGGCCTCTGTGTGGACAGAACATGTGGGCTGAGGTTTCTATGTCCAGAGGAACCATGTCGGTGAAGACCAGGAAAGAACATTCCAGGCAGAGGGAACAAGGCCAAGGATCCTGTGTGGGAGCTTAGAAGAAATGAAAACTTTAAGCCTACTTTACTAATGTACATGCATGCAGTATCCTAAAGGAATATTAGTTTCCTTAATCCAACAGTGCATTATAAATGCATCATGGTTTAGCATGGTTCATTTCAGGAAAACAAGACTGTTTTATCATCAGAAATTTCTCTAAGCAATTCACCATATTAATGTACCAATTGATAATTACTTCAGTAGACACAGAAAAAGCATTTGATGAAGTTCAACATTTACTTATGATGAACCTTCTCAGAAACTAGGAATAGAAAGAAATTTCCTTAACCTTGTGAGGTCTGTATAAACAAAAATGAACAGTAAGCAACATAGTTCATAGAGAAATATAAGATTATTTCTTTATGATTAGAATCAAGACATGGATGACTGCTATCCCTGTTAATGTTCAACAGACGTGCCGACCCAAGAAATAAGACACAAAGATAAAAAAAACCCACAAAGATATAGATGTAAAGATAATAGGAGATAGACACAACTATCATTTTTCATATGATATGATTGTCTATATGGAAAACCTAACAGAATCAACAGATAAATTATTAAACTCATAAGAAAGTCTAGAAAAGAAACTGGATTCAAAATTAACTTACAGTTTTCAGTAATGTTTTTCTTCATCAACAGAAAGCAACTCGATTATATAATACAAAGAAAGCAACACTCGAAATAGTAATACAGTTATACAATATTTAGAACCTAACTGACAGAGATGCATAAGACTTTTACAAGAATATTGAAAGCTCTGTTCTACAACATAAAAGGGGATTTTAACTGATGGAAAGCCATACCAGGTTCATGGACGGAACAATTTAATACCATAAAGATGTCAATTTGTCCCAAATTAATCAATAATTTCAATGTAATTCCAACAAACATTTCAGCAAATAATTTTAGGAACTCAACAAGATGATTGATTTAGAAGGATAAAGGCACATGGATAACCCAGCAATTTTTGTAAAAGCAGATCAAAAATAGAAACATTTCCTGTCACATGTGCTGAGAAATGCAGGGGTGAGGGGAGCCCCAGAATCTCTCAGAAGCTCAGGAGCTCTATCCTATGGAAGCCATGGACAATGGAAGGAAATGCTGCCTTTGAAATGGGCAGTTTTACTAGTAATTAAAGGAACGCAAATCAGGACGAGAATGTTATATGCACTGCTCTGTACACATCAGGTTAGCAAAAAGTAGAAAGTGTTTTAATATCAAGATAGGCAAGGATGTGGGGAAATGGGAGATCTCATGCACCATTGGAAGAGGGGTGGGTGGGGCTGCCATTCTGGAAGGCAATCTGGAATTCCGTAGCAAAATTAAATATTCATATATCTGATGATACAGCAACCCCACTCCTGGGCATACCCCAGAGGAACTCTCATACAGGTCCATGTATCCCATGTTTGGGGTGTTTGCTGTAGCTCTGAATGCGAGGCTAGGTGTTGGAGGCAGCCTAGGGGTTCATCACCTGGGAATGGCTGGGTCAAATGTGGCAAATGGACACTGTGGGACACGGGGCAGTGGTAAGTGATGGATGAGGCATGGCTTGAGTAGCAGAAACAGATCTTAAAAATGTGTCAGCCAAAAAAATAACAGACAGAATGAGATCTATACTTCATGACCACTTAGATCAATGTACAACATACACACAAAAAGCTGCAGGTATTGTCTGTTGAGTCTTCCTGGGTAACATTGTTTTATCCTCCAGTGGAATATCTCTTGGTTTTTAAATACCCACTTGTCAGAGAGGCACATTTCTTTCAATGCAACATTTTCCACCTGATGTTTTACAAAAAATAATCTTATGTTTAGGATTCTAAATGTCAATATGAATACAGTATTTAAAACAAAACAGGAAATAAGCAGGGAGATCTCATTCCATTCTAAATTCAATGACTGGATGGTCAGAGTCCCAAGTGGATGTTTTGTGAAAGACAGGGCTGTGTGTCTTGGATGCTGTTAACACTGGGTAAGGCCACATCGCTGCATGGAGCATAACTCATCTGAACACAATAATTTGCTTTCCAGTATGGAGGTGTTGTAGTTACATTTGGAAAAGTTGGCTTGGAGTTATTGGCTAAAAATTTCCTTTGAAAATAGTAGATATAGGTTCCCAGTTAGCATTTTCACAATTTTTAAGAATATATTGCCTATGTTAAGTGGCAATATCTGTAAAAAAGAGATATACATATATATGTGTGTGTGTGTGTGTGTGTGTGTGTATGTATATATATGTGTATATAAATAAATAAAATACAGTTAACTCAACTGTCCATTCTTGAGGTTTACAAAGAAAAAGTACCACCACCACTACCTCTGTCACTACTACCTCCACCACCACTATCATCATCACCACCACCATCATTACCATTACCCCACGACCATCATCATCACTGTCACTTCCACCACCACCATCATCATTGCTACCACGACCACCGTAACTATTACCTCCACCACCACTACCACCATTATCATCATCACTATCACCTCCATCACCATCATTACCACCATTACCATCACCACCACCACCATCGTGGTCACTGTCACCACCACCACCACCACCACCACCATCATCTCTATCACCTCTACCACCACCATCATCATTGCTATCACCACCAGCACCACCACAACATCTACACCCCACTACCATAATTACCGTCACCTCCACCACCACCACTACCACCGTTCCCATCACCACCACCACCATGATGATCAGTGTCACCACCACTATCACCACTATCATCACTGTCACACTACCACCATTACAATCACGACCACCATTGTCATAATCACTACCACCTCCACCACCATCATGCTCACTATCACCTCCACCACTGCCACCATTATCATCATTGTCACCACCACTACCACCATCATTGTCATCACCACCATCACCATCACCACCACCATAACTATCACCTCCACCACCACTACCACCATCATCATCATCACTATGACCTCCATCACCATCATCATTGCTATCACTGCTGCCACCACTACCATAACTATCACCTCCACCACCACTACCATTACAATCACCACCACCATTATCATAATCACTATCACCTCCACCATCACCACTACCACCATTATCATCACTACTACCACCATCATTGTCATCACCACCACCACCACTACCACCATCACTTCCATCAGCATCGTCACTACCATCACCTCTACCACCTCCAACCCCACTACCACAACCACCACAGCAACAAAACTTAACAAAATTCATGAGAAACAACCAAAGGCAATGGCAAACAAGAAATCAAAAAAGCATGTTTATTATTAGTAATAGTAATACCTGATGTGAGTGGGTAGGACCATGGTAGAGCTAAAATACTGGTCAACAGAGCATGGAGGAGGGGGATGAGTTAAGAAGTCAGACACTGTGAGATCTCTTTCTCCTTGGTAGGCATGAGTAGCCCATGGCTTTACACTCTTCCATGGTGGCTCACTGGGAAATGGTGAGACTGGGATGGGCAATTGGTGTCCTTGCCTGAATCCCATCCATGCCAGTTTATGGACTGCCAAGATGCTGGTTTATTTTAATGTAAATGTAGCCTCCCATTCTCTAAATGAAGATCAACTTCAGCTTTCAGCCTTAATGTCTTGAGAGAGAGACTTCTCTGTGAGAGTAAGTGTAGCGCCGTAAACTATTTCCAGCTGAACTCCATTTCCCACTTCATCTGAATGAGCCAAGTCCTCATCCTGGAGCTTTTTATGACAGTTTACACCATGTTGCATAAATTGAGAATCTCGTCGAAATAATCCCCTTCTATCCTCACTGCTTCTACTCTTTAAATATCTGATGATGTTTGTCTTGTCTTCACTTAGTCCGTGATTAGGAAAGCTGTACACACTTAGCGTCCTTAATCTTTCTTCCTAAATCAATCCTTGAAACCAGCCCCTTAATATTGTTGTTACTCTGTTCTTCTCTGAACCTCTTCCAAATTGTCTATCTTTCTTGTATTGAGCTGCCAGGCCTGAGTAAGCTGAAAGCACTGTTGTAATGCGTACAGACTCGCTAATGCACCCTTGCAGCATGGTAATACTTCGGCCCAGGTCTCCTAAGATTGTCTTCTCTCTCTCATCTCCCATTTCTATCTGTAGGTATAAGCCAGATTCTCCGCTCTCTGCCGACTCTATTTTTTCGTGCAGGATTATTGCTTTTTAATAATCTCCCCAATGTGTTAGAGAATGGAATGCAAACGGGGAGGAGAAGAAAGCTCGGTACTGTAAAAGGAGGTGTGCGTTACTTCCTTCCCAGTCCTAAGAGTCAGTGCCCCTTATCTCCTTCCCTGACGATAACGGTATTTTACACGAATCTCTCCCTTTAAGTTTCCCCACGAGCTTTCATGTAAGATCCTGACAGTCACTTCATAAAACAGAGAGGCAACATCTGATGTCCCATTTTATAGGTGTTGCAACCTGAGGCTCAGAAAGACGGGAAGTCAACTGCTCAGGCCACTGTGCGTAACTTGAGCTTCTTCCCATTTCATAAATCTGTTCTTATGCTCCCTTCGTAAATGAAACCTTAAAATAATTCCTGTAATACCCGGGTAGACACATTTCCAGTTTGGCAACCTTTTATCATCTCTTATTTGCCCTCTTGTTGCGGGATTTCTGCACAGCTATAATAGACATGACTTATTTATATGTTATAAATGCTAGGATAAGTTACCAAGCAAGCTTTTAGGACAGTCTGTCAGCTTTATTCTGATAAGTTCTAATGCATGGCTGGTGATAGTTTCAAGTCCCAAAATATGTAACTGCAAAACCCTGCTTTTTATATGAAGAACTGTTAGGGGTGGTGCCACAGTTTGAAAGTCCCCTCCAAAACTTTTGTTGAAATTGAATCCCCCATGTGGCAGTATTGACAGGTGGGGCCTTGAAGAGGTGATTGCATCATGAGGGTTCTGCCCTTGGGAATGGATTAATCTATTCATAGGTTCATGGGTGAATGGGTTAACCTGGGAGTGGGTATTGGTGGCTTTGTAAGAAGAGGAAGAGAGACCTGAGCCAGCACACTCAGCCTCCAAGTTGTGTGATGCCCTGGGCCACCTCTGGATTCTGCAGAGACCTCCCACCAGCAAGAAGGCCCTCATCAGATGTGGCCCCTTGACCTGGGACTTCTCAGCCTCCATAACTGTAAGAAATAAACTCCTTTTCTTTACAAGTGACTCAGTTTCAGATATTCTGTTATAAGCGACAGAAAATGGACCAAGACAGGTGGGAAGAAAGAGTGAAGAGCAGGGCAGCCCCATCTGGCTGAACTGTTGAACACTGCATAAGCCTGGGAGCATCATTCTCACAGACTCCGATGTGAACGGCCACCCCTGCAGTTCTGTAGTGCACCTCTACGTCAGAGACACCGGCAGGGGTGAGGGTGTACTGTGCAGCCTGCACATCCACGTCAGGGACCCCGGCAGGGGCAAGAGTGCTCTGTACAGCCTGCACCTCCATGTCAGAGACCATGGCAGGGGTGAGGGTACTCTGTGCAGCCTGCACCTCCACATCAGAGGCCCCAGCAGGGGCAAGGGTGTTCTGTGCGGCCTTCACCTCCATGTCAGAGACCCTGGTGGGGGCGAGGGTGTTGCCAACTGCAGAAGCGGGGAGCTGTTGTGCCCAGTGGCTTCATCACACCCCATGCCTACAGGGAGGGGTTCAAGGTAGCCTTTGAGATAATTCCCAAACCAGCTTCCATTCACACTTTAAGCCTTGCCTTCCTCCATTTCCCACCCCAAACCTGTAGAATTCCCAAATCTCCTCCTTTGGCTCTGAACTTCCTTCTCTCCCCACCCAGTGCAGGCCCGTTCCTGAGACATCTCCCCGACTCCGGAGCGAGCTGCTTCCTCCCCTGTGCCCTTACCTGTGTGCAAGTGCATGATTGCCTGACCACATGGATCAGTAGTGAATTCCCAAATGGGCTGTGAGTTCTGAGGGGACCGGGCTCTCGGTTCAGCTGCTTCTTTCCAGCCCTTTACACAGGTTGCGTGCATGGCTGGCAATCAGTTTGTTGAATGAATGTTTGAAAAGACAACATTCTCTATTCTTCTTTCTTTTCTCTTATCCGTGATCCAGATTCACAAAATGCATTCTTGGGGAAATAATGCAACGACCACAGGCTATCACAAGAAAAGTTTACTCAAAAATGATCCGTTCAATTAAACATGAAGTGTCTAATATATGCCAATTCTATGTAAATTTTTTAAAAAAACTTTTGTTCTTGCTTTCCAGGAGTTTGGAAAGGCAAGGTCAGCATGCTCTACAGGAAAACTGGGTTGGCGATAACCTTGTTGGTCAATGGCACTGCCTGGAGACTTCCCAAGGGCTGCCATTTTGTTAGGCTCATTGAGAGATATAGAAAAACAGGAGTAAAAGGTTTCGCAATTTTAAGCATCCTGAGGAAGAATGCTGTGCAAGGGGTTGGATGATGCCTCCCCAACCCCCCAAAATTAGTCCACTTGGAGCCCATGAATGGGACCTCATTCGGACAAAAGGGTCTTTGCAGATGTAATTAAGGACCTCAAGATGAAATCCTCCTGGACTAATCAGGTAGGCCCGAGACCCCATGACACAGACAGAGACACAGGGAGAGTTCCATGTGACAGTGGAGGCAGGGACTGGAGTGATGTATCTGTGCCCAAGGAACACCAAGGATTGCCAGCAGCTCCCAGGAGGAGATGGGATGGAGCTGACGCTCTCCAGAGCCTTCAGAAGGAACCAAATCTGATACTGGATTTCCGTCCTGCAGAACTGGGAGAAAATGCATTTCTGTTTGAAGTTACCAAGTTTGTGGTCATTTGTGAGAGCAGCCCCAGGAGATGAACACAGGGTGGCTCCATGCCAGGACAGGGGGGCAAGAGGCTGGGGCTCTGTGCTCCTCCAGGTCTCACTCAGGCTCACTCTGAGCATTCAGCGCAGTGTTTGGGGCACCCGGTGACCCTGGGTGTGAGGAGACGTGGTCTGTGCCTTCTGGCCCATCGTCATTTGCTCTGGGTGCTGATATCAACCACAGGCAATTTAATTCTAGACTGGAATGGAGCTGGGAAGGGCGCACCTTCCTGCCAAAAGCAATTTCGTCCAAAGTCTGCACCTCGGTGGCTGAGCATGGCGGGCCGGGATGTTTTCACACTGCCACTCTAGAAAGAGCGGAAATGCAGACGCTTTCCTCCTTCACAATTTTTGATTGCTTTGACTTTTGGTGTGTCCGAGAGGCTGTAACTCAAATAACCGTTCCCCACCTTTGGTTAGATCCTAGAGTCTCTGGTACATTGTCCGTCAGCGGTGCTGCTTGGAGGCTTCCCAAAGGCCGCCATTTTGGTAGGCTCATTGAGAGATACAGAAGAAATAGGAGCAAACGGCTCCACAGTAGAGATACAAGCAGCTTCTACCTTCAAATTACTGTGGTTTTTATTTGACCTGTTGGAAGTTCTGGGGTTTCTGTAAAGGATAAAAACTCTCTTTGGGCAGGCACAGTGTAGATCTGAAAAGTCCTGACTACGGCCCCTTCAGTTTATGGCCTGAGGAGCTTGAGGGCCTGAGGGAAGCCAGTGGCCGGAACACACGGGCTCTTTAGCTGAGGAGGGACTTGAACCCAGGTGTTCCGACGCGAGGACTCTCTCCCACCACATACAGCACAGCACTGCTTGCGTTGTTTGGTTTTGTATTGCTTTGGAATTAGTCCAACTATCATCATCGATGTGAATAAATAGACATATATCTTTTCAGTTTGCACAACTACAACCATAAATGAATATTTATTAGTGTGAAGACACCCCCAGGTCCTGGAACACTCAACACATGTAGAGCCAGGTGAGTGCCGTTATCCAAATGAATCACATTTTGTGGATGAAGCAGCTCCACTCATTTCACGCTCCTGTAGAAAACCAACCAGAGCCTGTTTTTCTTCGTAGCAGCTGGAAGTCAATTGATCTTGATTCATTATTCATTGTATTTTTTTTAGATTACTCATTTCATTATTTTATGAAGGATAGGATTTATTTAACTGTGATTGCTATGATAACTTCCCTCCCCGCCCCCTGCTGTAAGGTACCATTTCTTCTAATCAATATATCAAGATCTTGCAGTAAGACTGGGATAGTGTGGGATATTTGGGAAGAAATTCTGATGGAGTTTTAGAACATGAAGCGAGATTGGAAATACAAGTTCTGATTGGGAATATGTTGCAAATCCTGCAGACGAGTAAAGACTCCAAGAGACACGAACCATGCAAGAGCTGGTAAACGAGGTGGCTCAGTGGCAGCCCTGAGCGCAGGCCAGGAGTGGTGCCCATGTGCAGGTCCAAGGGGGAGGCAGTTTGGGTGCGGAAGAGGGATACAGAGGAGTCAGCGATAGGATCTGGCTTTAAAAGGACTTGCAGCATCATGAATGAGCTGGGACATAATTACAATTAGGGTGCAAGTCAAAACGTGGCAAGTTTCATGGAAGAGATAAAAATAAAGTACAGTGGGAGCTCAATGGGGGAGTGATCACTTCTACATGGAGGATCAGAGCGCCTCTGCAGAGGAGAGGCATTGAGCTACGTCTTTATTATTACTTCCGGAAGCCAGTGAATTTTATAATCTTAATTTTCTAGATGCCTCAAAGCATGGAGTATACTTAACTTGCCCAGAGCTTAACTTAAAAAGGAAAAACTCCATGCAGGTGACCCAGGCAGGCCAGCACCTGGCACATGCCACCCTTCCCTGGCCCTCTCTGGCAGTGTTGAGTTCAGAAAAGGTTATGCTTTCTGTTTCTTCACAAGAAAACTGGGGGGTGGGAGGAAGGACAAAAAACGTCAGGGCACTGTGCTGTTTAACAAACCCCCTATCTTTTTCATTCCTCTGCTGCTTCCCCAGCTACAGAGAAAACACTCACAGGGATGATTGCTAGGAACTTTGAAGGAGAAAAAATTAAAAAAAGGAAGAAAACCTAACAGAGCTATCTCAGAAATGAGATAATCTTTTCATGTGTGCACTTTAATGATCTCTTTCATTTGAAGCAATTGTAAAAGCCATAATTACTGTTATTCCTAATATTCTAATGCCAAATTGTCAACCAAAGGCGCTGGGGGAATAAACGGGGTGCTGCTGTTTGATGATCTCACGTGTGATAGGACGCTGCTGATAAGACAGATTAGGACCATTGTAGAATTTGATCAGGTAGCCAAGAAATATGTCAGCAGCTTACTGCATTCACGTGTGTGTTTGCTCCACGCCGAGTTCTTCACCCTGGAAAATAAGAGCAATTTGCAGAAGTGCATGTGACTTAGTTGGTGGAGTAGCTTCACCCGGTGAACACCCCAGGCGTTCTGGAAGGCTGTGATGCAGGAGACGAGTATCAGAGGTTTCTCCCTGCAGCCAACGAGGCTGCGGCTCTGCCTCGCAGCTCTGGAAATGCTAAGCAGGTAATTAACAAATCACAAGGCACAGGTGCGCCAGGTGAAGTTTGGTAAATTGCTTTTGATCTAAATTGAGATGCTTTGGGGATTTAACTTCTTAGACAAAAAGGGCATAAATAAATAATCAGGATTTTAAGGTTGGAACTTGCAAGCAAGCTCGAAAATGTCTTAATGCACTTGAGGAGATGAAGCAGGGAGACTGTTTGAGGCCAGCCCTGGAGGTTGTCTACTGTGCCGTGATGTTCACGCACCTGATTAGCTCAGAAAGGCAGCTTGGCCAATGTCACACAAGTTTGGAAGCTGCACATTTTGTAAGGTGCTCAAAATGCCTCCAGTTTTAGTTTTTGTATCATAAGAAAAAAAGGGGAAGACGAGCAAGGGCCACATGGTCAGCCCTGTTTCCTGGACAGGGCAGCGGTGACCCCAGGAGTGCGGTTCCTAAACCAGGTTCCTGTGGTTCTGAGGAGAGATGCTCCCAGGACACCTGTGTATGATGCATAAGCTCTGAGCCGTGCCAACAGCCAGCACCTGTTGCTTCACTAAACCCCACACAAAACAAGGCCTTGTGTGTGAGAGAAGAGAGACCTCAGCTCTTGGAGGTGGGAGCTTTCTCCATCATCTTTCTCTTATGTCCACCTGGCAAAAGGAACAGGTGTGCCTGGAAGTCCCTCTTTGTCCTTTCAGACCCATATGCTGACATTCCACGTCCGGTCTGGGCCCTGGGAGGCTGGTCTCTAGGGACTCCACCCTCCAGGGCTCTGGCCTTCGGTTGGGTTTGGGCAATGGAAGGCCCTGGTGTAAGATCAGAAGGGGGTAAGGGGAGAGGCTGGGGCCTTTATTTCCTGGCAACTTTCCTGCCAGGTCGTGTTTGGATGGGGTCTCATTTCTCTCTCTGCGGCCAGTGGGTTCGGGTAATCACTCTCTCCCTGGTCCCTTAGGGCTGGGGTTTGTGATGGCCTCCCACTGTGTGACTCCGGGTGCCTTAGTCCCCTGCTGAATTCCAGGCCCTGCTGTGCCTCTGCAGGGTCTGTGTACCCTCTGCTCTGTGGCTCCTCCGAGCACACAGTCTCATCATCACTGTCATGAATTGTCGTAGAAAAGTCCTAAATCCCAGAGTTTGCAATGGTCTTTTTTGCACCAGTTAGAAAACACACCACCTTTGGAAGCAATTAACCTCTTGTGGTTCAGGTAAATTGGATCTGATGTAATGCAGGAGTGCACAGCGGTGGTTTCTGTTGTTTGCTTGCTGTTTTATATTTATTTATTTATTTATTTATTAGGTGTATTCAGGAGTCCATGCAGCAGGAAGTGGAGCCATCATCACAGGGTACGAAGGGAGGACAAGTGCAGTGTCGTGAGCATGTACAGAGGGAAGTTGACAGCGGGGAGAGGCTTTGCTGAGGAAGTGGCGTTTGGAAGAACGAGAATGAGGTAAGTGAGGGGGGTGAAGAGCAATGGGGGCAGTTTGTGCAAAAGCCGGAGGTGCAAGGATGCTGCCGAGCTGGCGGAAGGAGGCCAGAGGGACTGCTCACGGCCTTGGGGGATGGGAGGTGAGGTCGATGGGGGCTTATGATGAAGCAGGAGAATGGGTCTGGAATCGCTTTGGAGGGTCACGGAGAGCCATGGGAGGGTTTTGGGTGCAGGAGTGACCCAGTCAGATCAGTGGCAGATCAGACACTCTGGCTGTCGTGTGGGAATGGGCTGCAGAGAGTGTGGTCCATCCTACACAACCAGGACCTACTGCCGGGGGGGCAGGTGAGAAGCGGCGGTGTCTCGGATGGGGGTGGGAGAAGGGCCGAGGCAAATGTGTGGAGTGTGGAAAAAGCACAGGCACAGGGGAAAGCCCGATGGGACGTTGGTAGCAGCTTGCGTTTGATTTTGGGGATGAAATGGAAAGTGTGTCAAGGAGTGTGCCCTGGTTTTTGGTGTGTGTAGCTGGTGGCGCTGAGACAGGGACCCTCAAGGAGGCCGGGGTGCAGGGGAATCGCCGCCTGGGTGTAGAGCCTTCAGGACCCGTGGAGGGGCTGGCAGCTGGACCTGCCGGTCTAGAAGGGAGGGCTGTTGCGACCTCAGCTTGGGCTTGGGAGGCATCAGCGTCGATTTCCTCACTGACTTTTCCACTGGGCAAGTGCCAGGGGCCTTTAAGGATCTCATCGTTTAGTCAGTAATGATTTTTGAACATGAAATAATTAGGCAGAAATGTGACCAAACAAGCCTGCTATCACATAGGCCGTGTGGAAAACAGCTGTTAGGGGAAGCCAGGAGAGGAGGATGCACTGTGAGCCAGGGGTTCGACGGCCTCCTTCCTGGGCATCTAAGGGACCTGGTGCCCCATCTGAGCCAGCCCGTTCTCCTTCCCTCTTCCCTAACTCTGGCGGGGCCAGAGTGGAGGTGTCCATACAGGGCCCCCTCTTCTTTCGTCTTCTAGGCCAGGCACCAAGCCCACACTCCATCCATTCCCAGGGAGCAGCCGTGGGCACAGGAGTGACTGCAGAAGTGAGTCAGATTGGAGCCATGTGAGGTCTACACCCAGGTGGCCAGGCATGGGCTGAGAGTCCAGGGCCAGAGAAGGAAGGGGCATAAGTGAGGACAAGCAAGTAGGTGCCCAGCACCCCGACACGCAGTTGGCTCGGCACCCCAACATGCAGGTGCTCAGCACCTCAAGACACAGATGGCTCAGCACCCCGACACACAGGTCTCTCAGCACCCCAACATGCAGGTCACTCAGCACCCCAACATGCAGGTGGCTCAGCACCCCAACACGCAGGTGGCTTGGCACCCTGACATGCAGGTGGCTCAGCACCCAGACACGCAGGTGGCTTGGCACGCCAACACACAGGTGCTCAGCACCCCGACATGCAGGTGGCTCAGCACCCAGACACGCAGGTGGCTTGGCACCCCTACATGGAGGTGCTCAGCACCCTAAAACGCAGATTGGAATGAGAAACCCTTTCCTGTTAGGGGAAACCTGGAGAAGCCAGTGAAGGACACTGACCAGCGAACAGCTTCTCACATGCTTTCTTCACCTGGTGGCTGGAAGTCCCTGGGAAGCTCAGACGGAGTAAGTGGATGGAGCTGAGCGGACCCAGGAGGCTGGAGGTGGGAGCAGATGCGGGAAGCACTACTTCTCCTCTCTCTGGGACTCTTAATTATCTGCACAGGGAGTTTCCATCTTGTTAAAAGTGCCACTGTCTGCCAGTCAGTGACTCCTCAAGAAATCTATGAAAGTGTCACTGCAAAGAGGCAACTTCCACAGGGACCAACGGATGTGACGGGGTAGATGTGGTCACAGAGCAAGTGTGGATAGAATCTCTATAATGGACTCACACAGACTTGGTCTTTCCAGAGGTGGCCTGATAGTCATTCCCGACCAATCTCTCAGCAGTGGCTCCTCTGAACTGTACATTTCTGTGCCTTATCCGTCTCTGCTGAGTGTGGTCAAGAAGGCACCACTTTATTTTTTAATTTTTCTTTTGTTTTTTTTTTGAGACAGTGTCCCACTCTGTCACCCAGGCTGGAGTGCAGTGGCATGATCTCAGCTCATGCAGCCTCTGCCTCCCAGGCTCAAGCAATCCTCCCACCTCAGCCTCTTGAGTTGCTGGGACTACAGGTGCACACCACTATGCTTGGCTGATTTTTGTATTTGTTTATTTTATTTTTTTTAGATGGGGTTTTGCCGTGTTACCCAGGCTAGTCACGAACTCCTGTGCTCAAGCGATCTGTCTGCCTCGGCCTCCAAAGTGCTGGGATTGCAGGCATGAGCCACCGCGCCCAGCCAGAAAGCCACTGCTTTATAGACCACCACTTAAATGCACCTGGCAGCTTCATGTACGCAAGAACTTTCCTGCAGCTCCTTTAAATTTAAGAATCTTTTGGCAAAATGAAGAATACAAGCGTGTTTCTTCTTCATATGCTTTGTTTTAGGAACATTAAAAAAATATAGTTACTACAATCAGAAAGCAGTTATATTTGTATGTTTTGTAACAAATACTGTGGCCTGATAGAATGAGCTTCTGACAAAGGCATGTGCTTTCCAAGTGGGCCAAGTTCAAAAGTTGTCCGCTGAGTTGTCTCACTGGCTCATCCAGCCAATCATTCAAATATTTAAAGGCCCCACTAAGGGCCATGTTACTCATTGTACATCTTTAAGGATGGGTGTAACTTACTTATCTGTTTATTTTCAATTTCAGAATACTTTATATTGACTCCTAAAAGTATGGTGTAGTGTATGTTTGTTTTGGGAGTTTCAATACAATCCCTAAATTTATGTATCTCAAATGTACAGGGACTGATCAAATTAGTGCTAATTTTCCTAAAACAGTGTCAAAAACAAGGGAATCAATCATGAACACACTAAGCATGAGCATCGACTGTCACAAGACATGGCTCAGTTTATTTTTTCTTCCTTCTTACTACACCGTAGAACAGAGCTCTTTTGTTTGCTTATGACCTGGGCAAATATGCTGTATGATAAAAAAAAATCATGTATGCATTTGATTCTCATCCAGATGCCCTTAGGATAAGAGGTTCATTTTCATCTTCTGTTTTCCAAATGAAGCTTTAAATCTAATTAGATCTTGAAAGAAAATAACTGCAATAGGGTTTCTGTAAGTAAAGGGCCCTCATTTAAATAATGCTGTTATTTGTTTATGTGATTTACAGTAAGTGATGAAACTCTTCGTGGCCAGCACGCCGCTCACTTCGGGGATCCTTTGCACAGAGCACTTTGAGTTAGTTATAAACCATTCTACACACAGAAGCATTTAATTGTTAGAACATTTCATAGTGTAACAGCATTTCTCATTGCCTAGCATGGGCCTTCTCCATATCGAAGGCCCAATAAATATTTGTAGAATAAAGGAATTCACACCCATCCATTGCCCAGATCATAATTGAGCGGCTCTTCTATTAAAGTTTAGCCTTTTCATGTTAATTTAAAGTGGGGAATTTGAAGGGAGAAATGCGAATTTCAGACTCTAAAAAAGACAAGTCCCGTATAGAACGAGGTCCCAGAGACTCTAAGACGTCTGTGTTGATAGACGTAGGGCTGCAGGAATTGAGAAGTGGTTGACGAGGGAGAGTCTGTTTCAGACCTGCTGTTTGCAGGTTGTATTTGTTCCACAGCTGTTTTTGAAGGATGTTTCTACTCTTAATGGAATCAGGTACTTCACTAAGAGGCCCAAAGGTAAACCTTAGGCTGGATTTATGGCTCAATCCAGCATCCTAAAAGAAAATGTCTGCCTAGGCATTTTTTTTTCCATAAAAATATATACCCTCATCATCATAAATTCAGATTTCCATGGTATTTGCCTTGTGGTAGAACCCAAATGTTAGGGCAGTCTTACCAGGGACAGGACTAATGCAGAAGCAGCTGGCTCTGCTGGCCCTGGCTGAACCGCGATGTGGATGGGGCACCCTGTGAAGTGCTCTGAGTTCCTGGTTCAAGGTTAGGGAGATGGTGAAAAAGGCTGAGCACCTGTCAGTGCATTAAAACCATCGACCATCCCCGAACGGCTTTGGAATGAAGGCTTCCTACTCCTTAGGAATTCTGCCCTTGCTTCATTTCATTTTAATTTTTTCTCCCACTTGGTGAACCCAATGACACTCGCCCAGTGGACTCACGCTCTGAGGGGATTTGTAAATATTTGACAGAGTTGAATTGAAGATCAAAAATAAAACCTAGCACTGCTCTCCGATTTTCTCTGTGCTCCTTGCCTTCGGGGGATAGCATGATAATTAGGACAAAGGGATATTTGAGATTATGCCTTAAATAAACTGGGGCAGAACTTCTTTAAGCTTCACCAACTATTTTTATCTCTGAGGCAGAAAACACCAATTTCAGTGCTCAGCTTAACTTGACTTTGACACCATGTAAGAAAAATAAAGATGGGAGATGTTCGGCTCTGGGGGCCTCCAGGCCCAGTCAGAGGAAAGGACTTAAGTGTTGCCCCCAGCTCTGGGACACAAAACAGGAGCTGGGAGAACGAGGCGGGCTACGTTCTGATCTTGGCTTGGGCCACCCAAACTCAAGAGATTCTTACCCTATCTGCTCAAAATTGAATGATTGGGACGAATGCAGTGGAAAGAACTGGCTGGGAATTAAAAAGCCCCGGCTTACGGCTTCAGATCTGCTAGAATTTGCCGGCAACCTGAAGGAAAGCTCTCTCTCTTTCAGGCCTCAGTCTCGACAATTCCTTCTGCCTGTGAGAGCTGGTGGTGGTGACATCTGACTCACTGCAGGGTCTATGGGAGAAGAACTGTGATTTTACTGTGTGTAGGTTCTGAGGGTCTTGCTTGCAAAACCAAACTTTCCTGGTGTGAAGGGGACAATGGTCTAGACAGGCAGGGTTTTCTGGGGATTCCCCCTCCATGGGTTATTGATCAGTTAACTAATAATAACCTGGTGATTTGAGCCCTTTTGTAGGGGTAGGTGAGGGGGATGGGTCTGGATTAAAGGACAATTTGGGATCAGCCCACAGGACAGAACTCTGAAGAACCCAGGGACAAGCTGGCATGCTGGCCACATTATCAATTAATTAATTATTAATAACAATATAATTATATTATTAATACATAAATTTATGTATTTCTTAACATACAATTTAATGATTAATAATAAATCAAATTAATGTATAAATAATATAAGTATAAAACAATTATTAGTTAATATAATACATAACATACATTCATAGTTACATATTATATTAACTAATAATTAATTAATTGTATTATATTATTTATTAATATACCGTCAATTCTCACTTTCAGATTCCTGACAAAGAATGGGTCTAGTCCAATAACTTCCTTTGGGCGCCTTGCTCTGCTGTGCTCAAATGACTGACCCCACGTTTCTTTAGGTGCACACGAGCTGTCTGTCACCTGTCTGCCATGTTGTGAGCTGCGTGAGTGAGTTAAAGGGACTGCTGCTCCTTAGTGGGGAGAATGGGCGGCTGTGAGGCTGTGGGGCGGGGGCTGGGCCGCTGGGAGCAAAGGCGCGGAAATCACACCAGCCAATCTCGATCGAGGCTTTCTTGAGTCATGGTGATGTGTGAGGTGCTGTGTGGGTATTTTGGGACACACAAAATGTTGAGATTCAATTGGTAAGGACCTGGTCTCACTCTCAAGACAGTGGGGAGAAAAAGTAAAACATGATGTAAAGGAGGGCTTGGGGAAGTACTATCCAGAAAGTCACAAGGTGGGGGCTGCACTTGATTTCTGTCAGTGTGACACAGAAACATGACACTGCCTCTTCTGTTTCCTTCATGGATGCCTCACCTTCTACACCAGTCTCGAACATTTCACCTGCCTGCCTCCTCCATGCAGCCTCTCCTCCATGCAGCTTCATAAGATGACCTTGCCTCCCTCCAGAGTGAACAGACATCAGGCAATGCCACCTGACCCCTCCCTGGCGTCCTCCCAACCTGTCCTCCTTCCCTCCTACTAGGGGCAACTTGGCCACCTGCCTTTGCAGTGACCTTCCCTTATGGATGTCTCTGCAAAATTCTCTCTTTTTTGACACTTTTATCTAGACC
This sequence comes from Homo sapiens, assembly GCF_000001405.40. Classification (NCBI taxonomy): domain Eukaryota; kingdom Metazoa; phylum Chordata; class Mammalia; order Primates; family Hominidae; genus Homo; species Homo sapiens. The sequence continues at coordinate 156,435,128 of NC_000007.14, read as the reverse complement.
GGAAGAGTTCAATCTCAAAATACCTCTCCCTGCACCCTGGTTTTCCATCACCCCAAACTCCATTTCTTTCCTCCCAGTCACACCAAATTTCTGAAGTAGCCCACCCGTGCTAGCCGTCCCTTGCTCCTACACACTCCTTAGTGCCCCCTCATGGGGCTTCTGCCCCTAAGTCCCTGGACTGACCACCCAGTCCGAAGGGGTTTCTGGTCCTCACCAATCTGGTGGCTCCTGGCTCTTTCTGAGACACTGAGATCCCCCTGCCCCCACCTCATTCTTGCTGCTTCCTAGACGCAGGTGGTCCTCAGGCTTCTCCAGGCTCTAACCTTCTCTTGGCATTGGCTTTTCCAGGCTGTACATTCTGTACTGGTGCCTTCTGCATCCTCATCTCATGCTCGGTCTCTCTCTTCAGCCTCAGGCCCACCTGTCTTCTCGAGAGACATTGCATTTTGCGTGTCCCACAAATATCTCAAACATGTCCCCAAACGAACTCATCCATTCTGAAGCTGCCTGGCTTAACGAATGGTGCCATTGTCTCCCCAGAAGCCTAGAAAGAAATGTGGGAGCCTCAGTCCATGACCATGCCCAATGCTCCCCACCGACCCTCGTCTGAGCTCTGGATGTTTCTGTCCGAGGTTGCCACCCCAGCAGCCTAGAAAGAAACATGGGATCCTCTCTCCATGACTATGACCATGCCCAAGGCTCCCTGCTGTCCCTGGCCCAAGCTCTGGATGTCTCTGTCTGAGACTGCTTACTCCCAGCTGGTCTCCCTGTGTTCACCATGTCCACCTTTAACCCATTGTCCACACCGAAGATCCAACCGTAAACCTGATCCAATCCTGTTTAAACTCTTGCGTGTTTCCCATTGTCCTTGCTGGAATCCCGAGTCCTAAAGGCAGGGCTCAGGCCCCTCTTGGTCTGGTTCCTGTTTGTGTTTCTATCCTTCTGGTCCTTCCTCTCCTCCCAGACCTCAGTTGCCTCCTCCACACTCTTCATATTCTAATCGTACAAATACTTTGTTTTTGGCTTTCTGATTCCTCAAGGTGTTCTGTGTGTTTTTCCTTCTTCCTCCTCACTTTCTCTGGCTATTTTCTGCCCAGCCCTTTGGCTCTTGGCTGGTACAGCTCTCCCTCAGTAACCTTCTTTCCCATCCTAGCCAAGGCAGGGCTCCAGGTTCACACTTCTGTAGCACCCTCACTTTCTATAGCATAGACCCCGTGACACTGTGTTGAAGCTGATTTTACATTATATATAGCCCTGCTGGTCTATAGCTTTGAGAAGATTTGGATCCTCAGGGCTTGGTCAGAGTATGAGCCATAGTAAACTCTCAATGAATGCTAGTTGAATGAGCAAATAAGTGTATTCAGAGGTACTGGAGTGCCAAGCTTTGTATATATGCACGCACTCAGATATACATATGGATGCTCCTGGACTCTACTTACACATATATGTATATGTGTATATACATGTATATAAATATATATGTTAAATATGTATATATGGTCCATGTATATGTGTGTACATATATATGTATATACATATTTAAACCACATTATTGAGGTATGATTGATATGTCAAAAGCTGCACATATTTAATGTATACAACTTGATGAGTTTGGGGCTATGTATACACCTGTGAAACCATCACTGCCATCAAGGTCATAAACATTCAATGCTTTTAAGAGCAGGGCTTCCCAGAATTAGGAATTTCATAGACCATTAAAATTGCAGGAAAAATGTAAACTACATTCAGGTCGCCATCTTTACATTTTCTAAGTGAAGATGTTGATTAAAATAATGTTTGTTTTTTTCTCACCACAATCCCACAAAAGACATAGCATTTAAAACCAAAATGGGGCTAGGTGTGGTGGCTCACGCCTGTAATCCCAGCACTTTGGGAGGCCAAGGTGGGTGGATCACGAGGTCAGGGAGATCGAGACCATCCTGGCTAACATGGTGAAACCCCGTCTCTACTAAAAATACAAAAAAAAATTAGCTGAGCATGATGGTGGGTGCCTGTAGTTTCAGCTACTCAGGAGGCTGAGGCAGAAGAATGGCATGAACCCAGTACGCAGAGCTGGCAGTGAGCCAAGATAGCACCACTGCACTGCAGCCTGGGCAACAGAGTGAGACTCCATCAAAACAAAACAAAACAGCAAAATGGTACGAGGACATTATATTAGAATAAAAAAATTAGCTTAAGTAAAAACTCCCAGATTGTCATTAATCATAATATTTTTCCTCTTTTCCAAGCCTACTGAAAATCTCCTTGCAGTACCGGCCTACAAATGTACCGTTAGGAAGCTGTTCTCTTCAAGAGCAGGCTTGGAAGCTAGAGAGGACTGAGATTGCAGCTGTGGTCTGAAGGGCTGTGTGTGAACGGGGGAGCCAGAGAGACTTGGATCTATCAGTCAGGGTTTTCTAGAGAAGCAGAACCAATAAGAAGGAAAGAACAAGAGTTATGATGAGGAATTGGCTCACATGATTATGGAGGCTGATGAGTCCCAAGATCCGTGGGATGAGTTGGGGAGCTGGGGGCCCGTGAGAGCCAATGGTGCAGTGCAGCAAGGTGCTACGGACCCCGGCAGACAGGTGTGGATGATATTCTTTGCCAACTGCCTTTGGACAACCTCAGATTTCACCACGGTCAACAAATAGAGTTACCTCTGACTTCAGTTTGGAAATTTTTTTTTTTTTGCAGGGAATTCTTTGTAGATTTTCAAACTGCTGTTGATTAGTTTGTCAATAAAATTTATTGAGTGCCTTCCCATGTGCCAAGAACTACTACTTTCCTTGACTGTCTCATGCAGTTGCCCCACAGCTGGGCGAGGTGATCCCAGGACCCCCGTGAGGCCATGCAGCGAGCGCTGGCTGGAGTCAGGGTTGGAACCCAGAGTCTATCTGCACCATTAGCTACTGCGCTCCCTTTGAGGGACCTGAACGTGCTCCTCCCGTTCCACGTGACCTGCAGGTGCTTCGAAACAGCCATCATGTCCTCTCCAAACCCTCTCTTCTCTGTCCTCATTTTTGATAGTTCCTTAAGTGGCAGTTTCTATCACTGCATCCTCGTCATCACCCTCTTCTGGATGAATTGTAGTGTATTAATCCGTTCTTACATTGCTATAAAGAAATACCTGAGACTGGGTAATTTACAAAAAAAAATAGGTTTAATTGGCTTATGGTTCTACAGGCTGTACAGGAAGCATTGTGGCTTCTGCTCAGCTTCTGGGGAGGTCTCAGGAAACTTACGATCATGGTGGAAGGCAAAGGGGAGGCAGGCACCTCTTCCATGGCCAGAGCAGGAGGAAGAGAGACAGGGGAGGTGCCGCACACTTTTAAACAGTCATGAGAACTCTATCACAAGAACAGTACTAGGGGGATAGTGCTAAATCATTAGAACCCGCCCCCATGATCCAGTCGTCTTCCACCAGGTTCCACCTCCAGCATTTGGGATTGCAATTCTACATGAGATTTTGGTGGGGACACAGATCCAAACCATATCACCTAGCTTGCCAACACTTTTAATATATGACATCCATAGTTGGATAGAATATTCCAAAATAGTCTGAGTAGTGTGAGGTTACCAAAATGGTTCTTTAGGATTTACACGTGTGGAGAAGATATCAGAGGGATGAAATAGAGAGAGTTATTCATCTAATGACACAGGGAAACATATGGGCAAAGAAAGTTGATTGTGTTCAATAATTGCCTTCTCTCCCTGTGAATGGTCTCTGATAACGAATGAAGATATTCAAATATAAAGCAACTGCAGATAGAATTTTAAGAACAAATAAAGGGCAGTTAGTGACAGTGCTTTTATCCTTTGATTTACACATTAGCTATAATTAATGCTTAGAAAATATTCTCTGTGGTTGCTGTCCTGAAATATTGATTTGGGTAACTATGGCATTGTATATGCAGGAGTTGATCACAAGTGCTTTAGAAATGGCCTGCAGCCTTGTGATTTCTCCCTGGTGGTGCAATATTGCTATCACAGTCCTCTCCTTTATCCTCTTATTTCCAGAATCTTTGTTGTCTACACAACACTACTATATAAGAGATATGTCTGAGGCTTAAAAGTACTATCTAATATGAACTGCAAAATTGTTTAGGATTAACAAAGCAAAATTTTATTAAAGTGGTGAGGAACAACTTGTGTGCGTCAGGGTGAGCAGGCGTTCCCAAAGGCGGTGGAATATGGAGGTTACCAAGGGCTCTGCTCAGTGAATGTGATTTTTAAGCATCCAGCTTCCTATGATGTCTAAAATTGTCCACAATTAAGGGTCAAAGCCATTTAGGTTTAGCCTTTGCTTCCAGAAGAGTTCTATAACATCCAAGAATGCTGCCTGGTCTATTACCCCATCGACTCAGCTGGTGTCACATTAGTTTATCAATCTGACTGGCTGCTCCTTAGTTAGGTCCTGAATAAATGGTGCCTAGGTTAGTACGTTTTTGGTCTAGGAAATAGATACTGAATGTAAGGGGTCAGGATAATGGAGAGGAGAGATGACAAATTAATAGCTTATTAAGCTCTAGCCTTAACCGAGGATGCAGATTTTATACAAATGTGCACATATGCGAAAGTGCACACACACACAACTTCCGAGCTCATTATATGGGAGACCTTAAGCATGAGAAGACTGTTACGCATAGCTACAATGAGATATGCAAATGAGGAAAGCCAGGCTTTGGGAAAAGTAGGAGGCTCCATTGTGACCATGTTGAGTTTCTGTTGCTGTGGGAACTGCAAACAGAGGTTTCCAGAAGCTGAAATGTGCATCTGGCACCACTGGGGAGAGACACCTGGGCTGGACGTATACAACCTGGCGCCACTGGGGAGAGGGACCTGGGCTGGATGTATACATTGTGGAAGCATCAGTCTGCTGATGGCATTCGAGGCCACAAGTGTGGGTGAGAAGTGAGTCCCCAGGGGGAGGCCATTGGTCCACAGCCTCAAATGTTGCTTCTGGGTCGAGTAGGACAAGGACTGTGGGTCCAGCGAAAAGAGTCATGGCGGTCTTGGCTGCAGCAGTGAAAGTAGAGGCTGGTCGCTTGGGCTTTGGCTAAGTGACAAATGGCAGATTGCAGAATTACAAGTGTCCTCTGAGATCATCTAGTTACATAATTTGCAGTATTCTGGGACAGGGGAATCCTACTTTAAAATGAAATCTCAGAGCCTCAGGGAGGAAACAGATACTACCTGGCTGATCCAGTTGAGTCAGGGGTGAGGCCTGGAGCCCCATCCCTTTGGTCTCCCTCTCATGTCCTGGGCCCTGAGCATCTCCTGAGGAAACAGTTTGAAAACCATCTGACCTCTGAGGGAGCTATAGCTCAGAGGCCTAACTGGGAGCTGCACAGCTGAGAGGCCAAGGCAACCAGGTGCTCCTCATGCGAGATTGACCTCCCATGGCACGGCAGGGACTCCTTGTGGGCTAACTTGAATGACTAAAGTTTAGTTCAGGTTTATGGGCAAGATCTGCAAACTTTATCAGTGGGTAGGAGAATTGTTGTAGTCGCCATGGTTTCATTTTCGGTTGCTTTCTAGCGGATATATTTGGGACATGGTAGTGATGAAAATATATCCAGTGAACAGCTGTGCCTGGTAACTGGCTGTCAGGTAATTGATCACCTTTAAACATAGCCCTGAGTTTTTCCCTCATCTGAGTTACTAGTGAGTAGCTAACTTCATTTCTACCTCTCTGTAGCCCTGTACTTCTGGGCAAGTGCTAAAATACAGCAAAACTTCCAGAAGGTGAGTCAAAGACGAACATGAAGCACTCCTGAAGTCATATTAGCTGCTGGGTTCTAGGACCCCCTTCCTGGTGCTCCTGCCTTTGCTCTGCACAATGAACAGCTGGGTTCTAGGGGCCCCTTCCTGGTGTTCCTGCTTTTGCTCTGCATAATGAACAGCTGGGTTCTAGGAGCCCCTTCCTGGTGTTCCTGCCTTTGCTCTGCATAATGAACAGCTGGGTTCTAGGGGCCCCTTCCTGGTGTTCCTGCCTTTGCTCTGCACAATGAACAGCTGGGTTCTAGGAGCCCCTTCCTGGTGCTCCTGCCTTTGCTCTGCATAATGAGCTGCTGGGTTCTAGAAGCCCCTTCCTGGTGCTCCTACCTTTGCTCTGCATAATGAACAGCTGGGTTCTAGGAGCCCCTTCCTGGTGTTCCTGCCTTTGCTCTGCATAATGAACAGCTGGGTTCTAGAAGCCCCTTCCTGGTGCTCCTACCTTTGCTCTGCACAATGAACAGCTGGGTTCTAGGAGCCCCTTCCTGGTGTTCCTGCTTTTGCTCTGCATAATGAACAGCTGGGTTCTAGGAGCCCCTTCCTGGTGTTCCTGCCTTTGCTCTGCATAATGAACAGCTGGGTTCTAGGGGCCCCTTCCTGGTGTTCCTGTCTTTGCTCTGCATAATGAACGGCTGGGTTCTAGGGGCCCCTTCCTGGTGCTCCTGCCTTTGCTCTGCATAATGAGCTGCTGGGTTCTAGGAGCCCCTTCCTAGTGTTCCTACCTTTGCTCTGCAGAATGAGCGCTGGATTCTGGGAGCCCCTTCCTGGTGTTCCCGCCTTTGCTCTGCATGTCTATAGTCTACACAGAAGTCATATTGGTGACTTTAAAATGTGACTCAGATCTTGTCATTCTTTTGCTTAAAAGACTTTAGTTGCTTTCTATGGCATTTCCAATCTGAGCTCCCAGCCATTTTCTGTGTGGCTCTGAGCTCCCTTCTCCCACTTCTGCAAACTCAGTGGTGTGTCCCCTCATCTGTGGGCTTCTGGAGCCACTTTAGGGCTCACATGCTCCTGGCTCTGCCCTGGCACTTGTGGTTCCCTGGGCTGTGTCTTCCCTGTCTGTGTGCAGCTCCCTCCCTTCCCTCCCTGAGACCCTTTCTCAGGCTGAGCTTCTCTGAAGTCCATCTATAGTGGCTTCCAGCCATCTATGTTCCTTCCACTTCCTTTGTCAGAGCTGGGAAAGTCTGCTTACTTGAAAACCATCAGTGTCTTTTATATTTATGACAGTATCCACAGCAAGCATTTCTAGCCTGAATCTTAGAAGGGGCTCCACGGGTATCTGTTGGTTGAAATAGTCAACGGGATAGGTTACCTCTCTCAGTTGACCTAGGTTATGCTGTGGGCCTGTTGTCAGGTGCTGAGAGCCTGGACTGGCCAGCTACCCCGGGGCCATCTGATGACCTTTACAATTCTTCACTGGAAACCCATTGTTATTATTAAATCTTTATTTCCAGAGATTGTAGGCAGGGGAATAACCATCACGAAGAGGTGGCACCTTAAGTAGTCATCGCTTTAGCAGAAATCTGTCTTTGCGATGGACAGGCTTAACACTGTAGGCGGCCATTTATATTAATGGAATTCAGAGATCAGTATATTAAATAAACTGGCATTCAGCTCCCTGGGATGACACCACTGGGGCTCCTAGATCAATGGAGAGACAGAAATACAAACTCCTACACCGGATTTGGATCGCTTAGCCAGGGCTTGAATATTGATAAAGACATGGCAGCATTTCTTGTGCTGCTATCGCTCTTTAACTGACGGGACTGCCTGAGTTCTCCTTCTGAAACTGGGAACTGAGCATTTTGGATGAAATCCAAATGTCTGGACTTCGACTTAAGTAAGTCCAAGGGGATTCTGTTAGGCAGAAGAAGAACTTTAAGAAAAGATTATCTTTAGCTACGAGTACATCATAGACATCTATCTTAGCTTCAGCGGCATTCATAGCCAACCAATTTTTTCCCTTAGGGTCTGTGTTTCTTTCTTAATGTTTAAGTCCTGACTGACTGAAACCACATAGTTAAATCATCAATGTTTGGCCAAACCAGCTTAGGTTTTGGATAAATTGAAGTGAATTTTTATTGTGCTGGTGCTAGTGACCTGGACTGATGAAGAGAATCTGAACAGTAGAGCTAGACAGGGTCAATTTGCGGAGAAGATTCATGGGGGCAGCAAATGTGTTATGGTTCTGTAAAGTTCAGACACTTTTCCAATCAAGATGTCTTTGGTATTTACCTTATAGTTAATAAGGGGAATAAAAAAATAAAGAATTTGCCAATCCAAAAAAAAAAATAAGGGGAACGGAGGTGGCATAATAAAATGAACACAGACTAATTGCTCAGAAATCTGGGTTCCAAGTCTAGGTCTATCCAAGCTTTGTTACCTTGGACCCAGCACTTATAATGTCTATGATTAATTTCTCTACTTATAAACTTAGGATGCATATAAATGTAAGTATACTCCATCTCATTCTACTCACTCCAAAAAGGATTTGAGGCAGGTTAAGACAAGCAGAAAAATATCATACTATTAAAACGTAACAGCCTGAAACAGGCAGAAAAAACACCATTACTAAGAATTAGTAGTGTGAAAATGGAAGTAGGAAAGTGGTCCTACTTAGTAGAAAAGGCCCATCTTTTGTGGACCAAAAGCCCTACAAAAACATAATATGTCACCTTCAAATTTGACTCAGAGTTTCTTGGAATGCATAAAAAAGTAGAGACATGGTGAGAAGCAACATTTTCATTAGACATGAATAAAACATTTTAGTTCTTTGGAAGAAGGAAATCTTTTCTGAAAACCAAATGCGAAAGGCATTACCTTGGATTTTTCTATCAGGTTTGAGGGTTAGTGTGCAGTGTCACAACAGTAACAAGTGCAACAAGAAATTACTTATTTATATTCTCATTTTTTCCATGAAAGATTTGGAGTGACCGTTTTCATAAAGAGATTTCTTGCAGTGACCCTCAGTAAGACACATTGCTCCAGGAAGCCAACTCTGCAAGAGACCAAGTGACAAGGGTAGGTGCCCCATCTCCTGGTGGGCTGCCTTGTTCTGAGGCTAGAAGTTAGTGTGCTTACAGTGGGGTTATCTCCCACCCCACCTGACCCCATAGGACTATATGTGGCTAATGACAAAGTGGTTCTAGAGAGCAATTTAGAAATTTTAAAGTGCTAAAAGCTGCCAGTGGTTATTTATCCACTATATTATGAAACCTGTCTTATTAGAACTGTTCTTAAAAATACCTACTTCCTGAGTCTTATGAAAATAAATAACTAAAATGGCATACTCTCGCCACAGCACCTGAAGCCCCTGAGACAATCCATACAGGGACATTTATTTCTTACCATTGCCTGTTGGTCATGGAAATCCCTAGCAAGTACATATTTCAGAGTTCAGAATTCCAGGTAATGGCTTTTCCAAAATGAGATTCATAATAGATTTCACAGATAGTCCATTTATTTTTATTTTCTGCTGTTGGAACAGAGGAAGTTTGGTTTACAAAACAAAATTTAGGAAAATGTTAAAAATTCTCTCTAGAACATAAACTTCTTGAGGACAGAGTTATGTGTTTGTTCAGTTCTATCCCTGGTGCAGAGAACAGTGCCTGGCAAAGAATGGAATTCCATAAAGCTTGAACAAATGAGTGATGAAATCTGTAACAGAGAGTTAATACCAGTGAGTATTTGAGATAAAAGTTGTCAACGATATATGATTATCATTATATGAAGACAGAATTATCAAGGGTAAAAACAAAAGTAAATGGTGAAGTGTGATAAACAATCACTTACTCAAACCTACCTGGGTTTCCCCAAAGTTATTAACATGATTGCTTCTAAATATCTATAATTAATATGACTTCCTAATTTTGCATGAATGTCACAAAAAATTGTAATGTCTCTGTAAATATCTGAGGAAGACTCTCCAAGTATGGAAATTTTAAATCCCTACTTGTAAAAATTCTATTAAAATCCTTCAAGTGAATCTTTAGATGACAGATGATTGGCTGTTTGCCTAATTTTTTGTATCTATTTAACTTGATGCCAATGGACACAGGTGTGCAGCTCTCTTCTTCACTTCGAAGCACTAGTGTTTGGCAAAGACAAGAAATTGTTGCATAAGATTTCCCCTCCCCTGCCCTTTTCAGGTTTAGCCTAAAGTGTTTTCAGTGGTTGCATTTGAAACCTTTGTAGGGAGCCAGAATGCTTTTTTTTTTTACATTTTAATCAGACTGTGCTTACAGAAACACCAGTGAATCGGGAACTTGTCTGCAAGTGTGTGTGTGCATATGTATATATGCACACAGACGCATACACAAACACACAACACACAACACAAACAACAAGAATGGGCTTAAAAGAAATGAACAAAACTTGCTCGTTTTAAGAATAACTGAATTTAGAGCAGAACTGGACAAACTTGAGACCCAAAGTCCATAAAAAAAATCAAAGAAACCAAAAATTTGTTCTTTGAAAGGATAAACAAGATTGATACACTGCTAGCTAGATTGACAAGAAAGAGAGAAAATCCAAACCATAAATGACAAAAGTGACATTAAAAGCAATCCCACAGAAATACAAAAAATCCTCAGAGACCATTATAAACATCTTCTATGCACACAAATTTAAAAATCTAGAGGAAATGGATAAATTCCTGGCAACACACAATTTCCCAAGATTGAATCAGGAAGAAATTGAAACCCTGAACAGAACAATATCAAGTTCCAATATTGAACCAATAATAAAAAACCTACCAATCAAAAAACGCTCCAGACCAAATGGATCCATGGCTGAATTCTACCAGACATAAAAAGAGAGCTATTACCAATTTTATGAGTGGTTAGCAATTCTACTGAAATTATTCCAAAGAATTGAAGAGGAAGGACTCCTCTCTAACATTGCTACACAGCTAGCATCACCTTGATGCCAATACCTGGAAAAGACACAATGAGAAAAGAAAAGTACAGGTCAATATCCCTGATGAACATAGGTTCAAAAATTCTTCACAAAATACTAGCAAATCAAATCCAACAACACATCAAAAAGTTAATTCACCACGATCAAGTAGGCTTCATTCCTGGGATGCAAGGTTGGTTCAAATACATAAATCAATAAATGTGTGATTCACCACATAAGCAGAATTAAAAACAAAAACCATACAATCATCTCAATAGACAGGGAAAAAACTTTGGATAAAATTCAACATCTCTTCATGATAAAAACCTTCAAGAAACTTGGCATCAAAGGAACTGACCTCAAAATAATGAGTCATCTATGACAAACCTACAGCCAACATTATACTGAATGGGCAACAACTGGAAACATTCCCCTTGAGAAGTGGAAAAAGACAAGAAGTGGTGAGAATAGGCATGGTACTGGTACAAAAACAGACACATAGAACAATAGAACAGAACAAAGAACCCAGAAATAAAGCTGTACACCTACAGCCATCTGATCTTTGACAAAGTCAACAAAAATAGACAGTGGGGAAAGGACTCCCTATTCAATAAATGGTGCTGGGATAGCTGGCAAGCCATATGCCAAAGAATTAAACTGGACCCCTACCTTTCACCATATACAAAATTTAACTCAAGATGGGCTAATGATTTCAATGTAAGATCTCAAACTATAAGAATCCTTGAGGAAAACCTAGGAAACATCATCTGGACATTGGCCTTGGAAAATAATTTGTGACTATGTCCTCAAAAGCAATTACAATGAAAACAAAAATTGACAAGTGGGACCTAATTAAAGAGCTTCTGTCCAACAAAAGAGACTACCAATTAAGTAAACAGATAACCTACAGAATGGGGAAAATATTAACAAACTATGCATCTAACAATAATATTCAGAATCTATAAGGAACTTAATTCAACAAGCAAAAAACAAATACCCCTATTAAAAAATGAGCAGAAGACAGTAACAGACACTTATCAAAAGAAGACATACAAGCAGCCAATGAACATATGAGAAAAGCCTCCAAATCACTAGTCATCAGAGAAATGCAAATCAAAACCACAATGAGATACCATCTCACACCAGTCAGAACGACTATTATTAAAAAGTCAAAAAACAACAAATGCTGGTGAGGCTGTGGAGAACAGCGAATGCTTACACACTCTTGGTGGGAATGTAAATTAGTTCAGCCACTGTGGAAAGCAGTCTGGAGATTTCTCAAAGAACTTAGAACTAGCATGTGACCCAGCAATCCCATTACTGGGTATATATCCAAAAGAACACAAATCTTTCTACCAAAAAGACACATGTACCTGCCTGTTCATCACAGCACTTTTCATAATAGCAAAGACATGGAGTCAACCTAAATGGTGGATTGGATAAAGATATGTGGTCCATACACAGCACAGAATATTATGCAGCCATAAAAAATATCATGTCCTTTGCAGCAACGTGGCATTATCCTAAGTGAATTAACACAGAAACAGAAAACTAAATACTGCATGTTCTCATGTAAGTGGGAGCTAAACATCAGGTACTTATAGACATAAAGACAGCAACAATAGAAGCTGGGCGCACTACTAGATGGAGGAGGGAAGGAAGGAAGAAAGGGTTGAAAAACGAATTATTGGGTCCTATGCTCAGTCCCTGGGCGGCAGGATCATTCATACCCCAAACTTCAGCATCCTGCAATGTATCCTGGTTGCAAACCTGCCACATGTACCCCCTGAATCTAAAATAAAAGTTGAAAAAAAAGTAAAAAAATATAAAAACAAATAAACAACAAAACATCTTTAATAAATGTAGTTATCTCTCATATTGTTTTTCTGTACCCTTCAAAAGTTTACAAAACGTTTTAGCTATATGTTGAGGCAACTTTAGTTCACAGAACTGACGAGCATATTGGGTTGGTATGGAAGATTCAGAGTTGGCCTAGAGATCAACAGCTGTGTTTCCATTCTACCCATCACATTGTGTGGTCTTGGCCTGTGTGTTCTTATCTCTGGTCCTCAGTTTCCTCGACTGTAGACTGAAGATACTAAAAGGGACAGTCACCCCAACATTCTATGTGTCTGAGTCAAAATCTCAGAGTCTTTCCAAGGTATTAATTGCTATGTGGTGGGAAAATAGTCTTGAGATCACACATGTTTGGAAAATGTTTGGTTAAACAGATAAATTGCAGAACCTCTCAGACATTTTAATAAATTAATACATATTTTGACTCCAAAAGGAAGGTTTGTTGTTTTTTCTCAACTTGTTTGTCCATGGGAGCTCTTATTTCCCCTAATACCTGTTAACAGCTCACTAGACAGCAACATTCTGCAGAATCACTTTGGAAAATGCTAATCTAAGTCAATTCTTTTCTTTTGCTGTTCTCACATATGAAATGAAGCTGTGTACTAGCTCAATGATGAACAAGTTTTTCACAACCAAACCATATTTTATGATTTTCCACACACTTTGAACAATATATTTGGAAAGAATTGTCTGCACAGCACAATGTGTTTGTGAAATAACTGCTGGGCAGCTTCCTTTTGAGTAGATGCATTGTTGGCATTAGGCTTTTGTAATATTAAGAAAGGTTCATTTTGCCCAATTTTCTCCCTTCAGGATTTTCCTGTTGGAAGTCACTTGGTCCAAAGATCTTGACTATTGTTTTCTGGAGGTCTATGTTAGTCCATTTTGTGTTGCTATAACAGAATACCTGAGCCTGGGTATTCTGTATAAAGAAAAGAGGCGTATTTGGCTCATGATTCTGGTGATTGGAAAGTCCAAGATTGGGCAGCTGTGTCTGGTGAGGGTCTCATGTTGCTTCCACTCATAGTGAAAAGAGGAGGGGGAGTAGGCGTGTACAGAGGAATCTCATGGCCAGAGAGGAAGCAAGAGAGAGAAACGGAGGAAGTGAAACTCTTTAACAACCAGCTTTTATGGAAATTAATCAATTCCTGTGAAAGCCAGAACTTACTCCTGAGGGAAGACATTAATCTGTTCATGAGGGATCCACCCCCATGACCAAAACACTGCCCACTCGGCCCCACCTCCAACAATGCCACACTGGGGATCAAATTTCAACATGCGTTCTGGCAGGGACAAACCACATCCAAACTATAGCAAGGTGGGATTGCTTTTTAAACTTTTTAAAACAATGTGGTATATATTCAGGAGTAACTCTACATAACAAACAGAAAAACGTTTAGATTCACATGTTTACCAATGCTTGCAGCATTGGCTTGTCCCAGGCAATCCTGGGAGTTCTAACCTCTGGAGGCTCTTGGAAGCTTTACTGGATGATTTTAAATTAGTGGAAATGATGGACTCCATTAGTCATGCCCCTTGTAAGGATTAATGACCCTCTTCCATGGATAAGTGTGTTCCATGCTGTGGTGGTGTGACTACAGATGGCTTATTAGCAGAAACTCCTTAATAGATCTATTGCTGGGTGAATCTGGAAGCTCTTCTATTTAGAGTTGAGGTTATGGTCAGGGGATCTGCCTGGAAGATCCAGTCAGGGCCTGGAGTTGTATCTTAAATCTGTTTTCTTTGGAGATTCTGAAATACTCAATGATGTTCACTTGATACCAGGGTATTTGAAACATCAGACTTATGAAAGACCCCAGGGAAGAGGTGTCTGGCATGACATTCTCCACACATCTGGCTCCTGTCACCTTCCATACCACCTCCTGCCCCACCTCCCCCTTCAAACCTCAACACAGGTGAGTTCTCTGCATGAGGTACGTCTCTCCCAACACTGAGGACATCCACATGTGGCAACATTTCCTGGCAAAGTCTTTCTCTGCCTCATCCTCATGGTACACCAGACACACAGTAGGTGCTCATTGTAGGCTTTGTTGTAAGAGCAGATAGATTCCTCTTTTAGCAGTTCTTGTAGGAGGTCATTGGATCATTCTTTGATAGGTCCATGATGGAGAGATGATCGCTGTCCAGAGGAATCATCGCTGTCCAAGGCTGGTTGTTTTATGGCCTGGCAATTCTGTGTCTGGATAAAATTCTTTCTTGCTCTAACAAAAATATGTCTCCCTGGAGGTCAATCCCTTGGTCCTTGTTCTGAACTCAGGTTCTACAAAAAGTAAACCCACTTCCATATGACAGTCCTTCAGTCAGTGAAAGCGGTCATCATGCTTACCTTGGTTTTTGCTTGTTTTTTTTTTTTTTTCCGCAATATGAATACTTACAGTGTCTTCACCAGGTTCATCTTACAACACAGTTTCAACATTGCCTCAATATCTCATTTTTCTACTTTTGGGCTTGCAACACAGTGTCTGTACCAAACTGGAATTACCAATGGATGCTGGCCAGTGTTAGCCCCATGGGGCCATTCTGTTCTTGCCTGGACAGAGAAGTGTCATGGGAACAGGCCATACCGGGGCTTCTTTCATGCCCACTTTACATGGTTTCACAATTAACTCACCCAGCATATGTTTACTAAGTGCTTAATATGTGCTTGTTACTGGGTGTGATGCCGAGCAAACAAGGCACAGCCCCGGATGGGGGAATTTAATCACCTGTCCTCTGATGGACTGGATTTAAATGCTGTCATTAAAAAAAACTCTGAATTTTTTTTTTCTGAACATAAATGGCTATCATCAGTTTCCCCTAGATTCTGAACAATGCCACTGAAATTTTGAATCGCAGGACTTTTTATAGACAGTTAGTTTCAGCTGTTTAGAGATTTTTTTTTTAGCCTGTCAATTATTTGTAATGCCACATATTATTTCTCCTCAGCCTTGTCACAGATGCACTTGATGAATGTACTTTGCAGTAGTTTACCCAAATTGTTGATAAGAATATCCGTCAGAACAGGGTCACACATGGAGCCTTCTGGCAGAGCCCTGGAGGCTTCCCTCCGGGAGGGCCTTCATCAATACATGGACCTTCCACACCATTCAGTCCATGATTTATGTTTCCCAGGAGCTTGGTTGAAATTAAGAATTTGATTGGTGGTTTACTCTAATTAGAAACCCAGTTGTTTGTGCAGATTGCTTTTTTGGTTAGTACACTGTGACAAGATGTTGGATCAATCAATGATATACTTTTGCATCTTCTAATAAGTACCTTGTATCTTTGCTCAAATAGAAGTAGAAGCATGACAATTACTCTGGTTAAAAAGAGGAAGCCTTCAGCACTCTCCGTCCAACCCCAGAAGCTTTCAGAGACTCCAAAATTTGTAGAAAACCAGAAATTTTTCCATGGCATGTTGAGAAACTAGAATTAGGTGTCTGAAGAAGAGCTTTTTTACAAGAGATTAATTCTGAAGATCCAGTTATTAATAGATAAACCAAACCACCAAGGTGAAGTTTAGATACTTTCAAATTATAATCGAGCTGGAGAAATGAAAAGCTTTGTGATCATGAAGAAACATAATGTATGCATTTTCCAGCCTAAGAGCTGGATTTGGGAATACACTCAGTCAAATTAGTAAGGAATTCAAAATCCACCCCAGGTAATTTCAGCGGCCTGACTGGGCCCAGTGAGAACTTGTGGTGTCATCACTTTCATCAGACCCTGTTCCTAGCATCAGACGATGAACATCTCAGACAATGAGGAGAGGCATTTGGAGGCTCATGGATTTCTTAATGAAGAGTGTTCAGCTAAACAGAAGTGCAGATTCAAAATGTTCTCACCTCGCCTGACTTCTGTGTTTATGTAATCTTAAATTGCATGGCCTCATTTTCTCTGCTGATCTTCGAGATTGTCTGCCTGTAAGGAACAGGGAGTGCAGGGGGCGAAAAAACATTCACAAGCCTGGAGAGGCCCTTAGTAGAATAAGTCTCACATTTTCTTACATTTTACCAAGGTAAAGAGATTCTTATGCTTTTTTCCTGGCTTTAATGGAGAATTATGGCTGTGCAGTTTGTCAAAAGTAGTATTACCCTCCATTAAGATTAAACTATAGCTCTCAGAGATGACCTTTGAGCTTTGTAATAAATATTTCTGTTGGAAAGTTCCTTCCTCCAGACTGACTATGCTTTTCCACTGTTCATTTCCTTTGCTGACATTTACAATATTTACAATCACATATTTACTTATTTGTTTACATGGGATCGTCTCTCTTCCTCATCGACTCTGAATCTTTTGAGGTCAGGGATTGTGTCTTGTTTTAGATGTCAGTGTGTACTTGGGCCCCTGTAGGTGCCTGACCCAGGGTAGGCACTTAACTTAAAACCAAAATTGGAATTAAAGTTTGTTGTGAAGATCTAAAATCTAAACTTCTTGTATGGCCTCCAAAATTATGTTACTATATCATCTTCAAACATCATGTGGGTGGCTGGATTGGGGAATCTTTTTTTTTTTTTTGAGACAGTTTTGCTCTTGTTGCCCAGGCTGGAGTGCAATGGTATATGATCTCAGCTCACTGCAACCTCTGCCTCCTGGGTTCAAGCGATTCTCCTGCCTCAGCCTCCCGAGTAGCTGGGATTACAGTCATGTTCCACCACACCCAGCTAATTTTGTATTTTTGGTAGAGATGGGGTTTCACCATGTTGGCCAGGCTGGTCTCGAACTCCTGACCTCAGGTGATCCACCTGCCTCGGCCTCCCAAAGTGCTTGGATTACAGGCGTGAGCCACTGCATCTGGCCGGATTGGGGAATCTTTAGGGTCCCTCCATGGGAGATTTTAGAACCAACATGGCTGAGTAAGCATGGCCTCATGTGGCTGACCCCATTCCTTGGTGTTGTGGAGGCTACAAAAGAGGCAAGAGGGTGGCCAATCAGAAGTCCATGATCCAGCTAGGAGGTCTAGATGGACTCACAGCAGACAATTAGTGACCATGATGGGACCATATAGAACCATGGGTTATTTCAAACAGCAGGGACAATCGGATTTTAGGAGAAAGGAGACCACTGAGGCCTGGAGTCTCAGCTGCAGGCTTTGGAGAATGGTTGGTCATGAACTGGTCTCAAACAAGCTTGATTGTGTGCGCCCCAAACCAACTCTCTTGTCAGTTCTGAGTTGAGTGGTTTGTGTCAAAGGGACACAGTGAAGAGCAGGTGGATTGGGCTTCAGATGAGCTTGCCATGGAGAAGGTGATGGCCTGCAGAACCTTGCCTAGTGTGGATCAGACCCCCGCCTGGGTGTGTGTTTGCACTGATGCTGCACCTGCTTGCTGTACATGCACCAGTGCATCTCTCCTGTTCTCTGCTTTCAAAGGACAATAATAAAAAATCTCAGAAGTGGCCAAGCTCTTGACCATTACCTCCACGTTTGGCTCTTCCCCTGAAAGATGAGGACCGTTATGACTTTTGGGGGAGCTCCTGGCTGAGCTGGGAGTAAGAGTACTTGGAGCTGTTGTATGTGCATCAGCCTGGAGCTGTGATGGCTCATGATCGAGAGCCCTGGGGGGGCCCGGCTGGCATGCTCATCCTGGGCCTATTAGCGATGGTCTTCTGCCTGCACAGAGCATGATGCCTGCAGACGCTGCATCTCAGGGTGGCATCCCTGGCCCGTCACATGTGAGCACAGCGATTGGAAATCAGCGGCTCTGATACCCGTCACCTGTGGCTGCAGCAAAACTGTGGGGTTGGTGAAGTTGGCTTTTGGTCTCCAGCTTCCACCTTTTCCTTCCTCTGTACAGGGTACTGATTCACACGGGGTTTTGTACAGAACATGCACACGTGTGTGCACGCACCCACCTACGCAAAGTCCTGAAACTCTGTCTCTATCAGGATCTTTGCTTTGATTGAAATATTTATGCCGTATTTTCTTGCCGTGGCTGCATCGTCTGATTAGCTACAGCTGGACAGAGAGGCTGGGGGCAAGTGAAATCTGGAAAAGCCAAAATTGGAGGAGCTTGTTGACAGCCAGCTTTGGAGAGGCCAGTCCCAGGCAGAAGGGGCAGTCCCTGGGTTAGTGCCAGAGAGGAAAACTTGCAAGCATACAATCAGATTCCGGGCATCAAAGAGCAGAGCAGCAGGTGGGTCACAGGACAGAGAACAAGGCGAGAGCCCCATCTGAGAGCTGGGCTCCGGGTGGGTGCTAAACTTCAAGAGCAAGCAGAGGCAAGGCAGGACCAGGCCAGGTCATGGGCACTTTGTGCTGGCGAATCCCAGACAGTCGGGGCTGAGCGGCCCACAGTCAAGTGATCCTCTCTCCTCCAGGGCCTCAGGTGGGGACCAGGGTGGCAGCTCTTGGAGGGAAATGCCATACAAACAGGGGACCTAATGTTAGTGACAAGAATCAATTTGTGTTACCCCTTTTGGACATAGTTGCAATTCAGACGGGGAGCAGGCTTTGAATTAAAAGGATAAGTCCAGGGACAGAGGAGCAATTTTGGACAGAGGCCACGCCCCATCCTCCGTGGGCCTGAGACTAGGCCAGGCTCTCCCTGCTGGCAGTGCTGCCTAGGCATCTGGTGTTTGTGGTCAGCAGGAAGCTGCTGTGCAAATTCCCTTAAAACACCCATTGAAGCTAACAGTCACATCCAAGGAAAAACACTGTTCTGCTGTAGTTTTGGTAAAAATGGTGAAACCGTCATGTGTTCCCAGGGCCACGGTGTCGAGGACCTGCTGATCAGGGCGGTAATGACGACTGAACAGCGGGACAAGCACTTTGCTAGTTCTGAGTCCTGCAAATAATACAGAATTTCAAAAGCGCGTGTCCTTTTATGGCAAAGTTGTCCCATCGTGAACATATACAACTTCCACTTAAGGGCGTAACTGTCTTTGGAGGAGCCCTGGGCATTTAGGAGGATGCAGACATTCCTAAGGTGGCGTTTTATGTGGACTGGGATGTGGCATGCAGTAGGAGGTGGGTCAGGAGGTGGTTAGGAAATTGACTAAGGAAAGGAGCAGACACAGGGGATCTTGCCTGCTGGGACTTTTGCTGTGTTGGTCAGCTGTGGCATGGGGTGCCATGAGGAGGTGGGAAGTGAGCCTGAAAAGGCAGTTAAGCCACACGGTGAGAGAGGCTGAATGACAGGCAGCGTGTCTTGTCTTTGTTAGGTAGTGGTGCTGTTTCCAATAGCGAGTCGTGTAGAATGGAAAGTGGAAAGTCTAACGTATGGGTCTTGTTCTTGTCCCTGGCACCGGCATTCCTATGGGATTCCATGGGAAGACATCACAGCACAGTGGGAAGGCGTCTGCTATCGACTGGACCTGAGTCAGAACCCTGCCAGCCCAGCTCTGGGGTGCCGGAGGAGCCATTTCCCTTCGCTCCTAACTTCAGCCTCCTCATCTGTGTACAAGTTCTGCCTTTGCAGGGTTATTGTGATTTCTCCTGTGTGTTGTACGTTTATGTAGCTAGGATTCAGTGAAGCAGCTTCTGTGATTGTTACTTTAGTGTACAGTCAGTGGTGACTGAGTGAAAAAGCAAGTGAAAAACACATCCCTTTCCTTTCCAATTCTGAACGTCCTAGCGGGTGGCCTCGGTGCTCTTTCCAGTGCTTAGCTCTGACATTACTGAAACACAAAGCTTCGGGGTGAAGTCAGATGGAGGAAACTCACAGCGTAGGAACACAGAGTGTGAATTCCTTCTCAACTTTTGAGCCCTGTCTGCAGGCAGCCTCCCTGGGACAGTGGCAGTGGAAAGGTGGAAGACATGTCCCTCCCTTCTGGCCCTCAAGTCCCCTCCCTCGGTCTCACTGTCTCTGCTCAGCTCAGCCAATTCTGCGCTGTTCACAACGTTTCATTCCCAGGTCCCCCAGCACAGAGGCCCCCCTCTCTCACTTTCCCAGTGTGTGTCCTGCCTGCTCTGTCCATGGACAAATTGCACTGTGCTTAAATCATCACTTTCCTCTGAGCTTGAGCGCCTCCATAGTTCTAGGTCAGTTTCGTCTGCATGAGTCGAGGTGGAGGACAGAGATGTGCCCTGTGCTTTCTCCCACCCCAGAGGCCCAGCACTCCACAGGCCAATAACAAGCCCTCGGGAAATGTCAACATTTAACAGTGCTTTTGGTAAACACTCACAAGAGCATTAAAGATGCTAACTCTCTTGGAAGGTGTGGGTTTTTATTTTTTTTCAGGCGAATTAGTGGAAATGGTATTATTCTGGGCACAAAAAGATGATTTTTGGCCCCGATGGGTTTGCTGTGTCCTGGTCTTGCTCGATACCACAGTCATGGCCAATTGGCAGCTCAGGAAGCAGATGGAGCCTCTGATGAGCCGGGGTCAGGATAGCGCTGTAGGATGCAGGGGTCAGGGTAGTGCTGTAGGATGCAGGGGTCAGGATAGTGCTGAGTGTGCCCAGTGTTCTTGGCTGAACTCATGGGTATTAGGGAATCAGGGACAATGGAACAATTTGTGGCCTCAGTGGACCCTTGGATGGGAGTCTGAGGAGGAGGCTGCTTCTCATTCATTTCCTCGCGCATTTCCTCATGTGTCCATCATGGATGCATTGCTGCACACTTCCTCATGCCTCCACCATGGATTCATCGCTGTGCATTTCCTCATGCCTCCACCATGGATTCATGGCTCTGCTCATTTCCTCATGCCTCCACCATGCATTGCCGCATGCATTTCCTCATGCCTCTACCATGGTTGCATGGCTGTGCACACTTCCTCATTCAGCCACCATGCATTGCTGCATGGATTTCCTCAGGCCTCCACCACAGATGCATAGCTCTGCCCATTTTCTCATTCATCCAACATGCATGTCTGTGCTCCTTTCCTCATTCATCCACCATGCATTGCTGCATGCATTTCCTCATGCCTCTACCATGGACGTATCGCTGCACTCATTTCTTTATTCATTCAACAAACATTATTGAGACCCTGCTATGTACAAGGCCCTATTCTATGTACTGGGAACACAGCAGTGAGCAAAGTGGAGAAACTTTGATTCATGGAGCACTTAGCGTAACAAGGACAATCAACAAAATAAATGAGTAAAAAGCACCTTGTTAGCATAAGCGTGGGGAGTGTCTGGGGGATGGGGCTGCGATTTTAAGTGGTGCCATTGTATTTGAGTAAAGGAGGAGGTGAGGAGAGAGATGCCCAGACATCTGAGGGGAGTCAGAGAGAAGGGTGCATGTGAGGGCCCTGGTGAGCCCAGGATAGTCAGAGAGGCCAGTGTGAGTGGGGGCAGAGGAAGCCCGGAAGCCCTGAAAGTCCAGTGTATTGCAAAACTTTCTCAAGGCACTAAAAATACCAAAGTACCAAATATTCAGAGGGCTTCATGGTCCTTAATATTTCCCTATTTTTATTATATTTTTAAAGATGTCATTGTGAAATATACGTATGGCAAAGTGCATTAAGCATAAATGCATACTTTAATAAATAATTATAAACAAAATGTGAACCCACCTCTCTTACCATACCTCCTCCCCTCCCCTATTTATGTCCCATTTATGGTCATTGTTCTTTGCTTTGCCTTGTAGTTTTACCACCTATCTATGCATCGCTAAATCATAGAATTAAAAAGGTTTGTTGTGAACTTTATATGAGTGGAGTCATGTAGTCTGTATTCTTTGGCATCTTGTTTCTATTGGCTAATATTAGGTTTGTGCAAAATTAATTGCAGTTTTTGCCATTAATATGTTAGTAAAGCTCACCCATGATGTCACATGTTGTTATAGTTTATTTTCATTTTCATTTAGTTTTAATTGTATTTCTGTATAGTGTTCCATCATGTAAATATACTCAAATACTTTTATTCATTCTCCTACTGGTCACTATTTGGATTGTTTCTAAGTTTTGGCTATCATACAAAAATGCTATGAAGAACATTCTTTTACGTGTTCTTGGGCCTTGGTACACATATGCATGAGATTATTTAGGGAATAAATGAAGAGAGCAATTTCTGGGTTGAAGGGTATATGTATGTTCAACATTACAGGATAATGCCAAAATATTTTCCAAAATGGCTGTGCCAATGCTCACATCCACCAGCAGTGATGAACATTTCAATTACTCCACATCTCTGCAACACTTAGCACTGTCACTCTGGTGGGGCATGTGTTTCTTTTCCTTCTATGTTTTCCTTAAATATTAATATATTATTTTCCTCAAAATACACAGCGATGATCGCTGGCTTCCTTTAAAATGGCAGAATTAATTATTGAGCACCTTTCTCTTAAGTTTATGTTGCCCTACAGAGGAAAAAGAAAAGGACAGATGATTGCAGTGATGGAAAGCCTGGGTGCACGTCCAGGATCAGCTTGGCTGTCGTCAACGGTCGCAGATTGCAGGGATGGCAAGCCTGGGTGCACGTCCAGGATCAGCTTGGCTATTGTCAATGGTCACAGCCCGTTCCCTCTGCTTTTTCAGGTCTAGGATCTAATAAAATGACATCAGGTCACAATTTTAAAAAACACAGTAATGTGATAAAATGTTGGCCAGCTGTAAGATAGGTAGGAAAAGGGAACAAGGTGGAGCATTTATTCCCAGAAACAGAATTTCTGAAGATTCCCAGCTCATCTGTTTTTTTTTTCTACCAAATTAGTTTTAAAAAGGGATACAGTCTCAACCTGAGCTTCAAAATACTGTCTATGAGAAGTGATTGTGGTTGCTTTTCTGAGGAGGAGCATGACAAATTTAGATTAATTTTCTGATAGTGCTTCTCAACTTTCTGTTCTACTTGTCTTCAGAGTTTGAGAGAAACGTTGAGAGGCAATCCTGACCTGCTCTGATACTCTAAGTAGTATAAGAACTTCTGCTGGGAAAGATACAGGAAGAAAACTAGCCAATGCTAGTTCAGGTTACAACTCGATATGGGGAATCACTGGGTTTAACGGAAGGCAAGAATCAAAACCCAGAACATGGGAGTTCAAGTCTGTGGCAGCAGAATAGGTGGGTCATCTTAACACTCCCACAGATAACCATTATAAAATCTGAATGAAATGCACAAATCAATATTCTGATAGTACTGGAGAGTGATAATAGGTAGAAACTGGAGGAGAATCTACCTTTGGAATACAGGGTCTACACTTGTAAAAACCTTTTGCCTGAGGCTACTCTCCAGTCCATGGCTTTGGACAGCGGAAACCTGCAGTGTTACAGGATTGAGGTGTCAGAAGAGAGAATTTTGGGCTGGAAGACAATCTAGAAAGTTAGAGGGAAAACCCAGAGACTGCTCCAAATCTGTATCCAAAATCTACCCAAATCAGAGGTGACTGCTAAGCTATGCTAGTAGCGGGGAGATCACAGATGAGCTGGCGAAAAAGCAGCATCTGGAAGCCAATATGATTAAACAGACATTTTGTCTGTTGCCCCCTGTAGATTATGGAGTTTGAGTCTAGCCAAATTAACTGCTTGGTAAGATAAAAGTTATTCCCCAGAGGAGCATAAAAAAAATCCAGAGACTCTACAATGTTTCATACAGAATGACTTGCATTTACTAATAACAGAAAACCCTAGACATGTGAAGAAACTAGAAAATGTGACCCATACTCAAGAAAAAAGAAGAAACAAGTAACACCTAACCTTGAGTGAGCCAGATGTTGCAATGAACAGACAGAGACTTTAGAGCAGCAAATAAAGTGTGTGAAAGAACTTGCAGGAAAACAAATGCATAATCAATGAATAGATGGGAAACTCTGACATAGAACCATAAATGTTTTTTTTGTTTTTTTTTTTTTTTGAGACAGAATCTTGCTGTGTCACCCAGGCTGGAGTGCAGTGGCACGATCTCGGCTCACTGCAACCTCTGTCTCCTGGGTTCAAGTGGTTCTCCTGCCTCAGCCTCCCAAGTAGCTGGGATTACAGGTGCGCACCACCATGCCTAGCTAAGATTTGTATTTTCAGTAGAGACGGGGTTTTGCCATGTTGGCCAGGCTGGTCTTGAACTCCTGACCTCAGATGATCCTCCTGCCTTGGTGTCCCAAAGTGCTGGGATTACAGGCATGAGCCACGATACCTGGCCTATAAATAAAATTTTAAAAACTTAGATGTTCAATAATAATAAACAAAATTGTATAAAATTGACTTAACAGAAGAATGAAGATGGTAGCATAAAGAATCAGTGAACTTGAAGATAGATCAATGGAAATTATGATTTTCAAAGAACGGAAGAAGCCTTGGAAATGGACAGAGCCTCAGAGGCCTGTGGGGCAGTATCAAGTAGTCTAATATAACCATAATTAGAATTCCAAAAAAGAGATAAGAAATATAATGCAGCATAAACATTGTGTTGAAGAAACAATGGCTAAAAACTTCCTAAATTTGATTAAAGACATCAAGTAACAAATCCAAGAAGCTCAAAGAACACCAAGCAGGATAAATACAAAGAAAACCACACCTGAGCATATAATAATCAAGTTGATTAAATCCAAATATAAATATACAATATTAAAAAGCAGTCAGAGGAAAAATGCATGTTACATACAGAAAATGGTTATACAAACGACTGAATAATTCTTAGCAGAAATGAGGCAGGTGAGAGAACAATGGAATGACAAAGTGATGCAATGAAAAAAGGTCTGTTAACTTAGAATTCTATTTTCATGTGACTAGTCTTTAAAATGAAAGGGAAAGAGACATTCCAGGGATGTGTTGTCCATTTCAGTAGCCGCTTATGAAAACTATTGGGCACTAAATGTGGCTAGTCTGAATGGAGATGTACATGTAAAACACATATCAAATTTCAAAGAAGTGAATAAAATAAGGTAAACTACATTAGTAATAATTTTATTATACTTATAGCATGTTGAAATGATAATATTTTGAGTATATTGGGTTAAATAAAACATATTAATAGCATTATAAAAATGAAGGTGAAAGATGTTTCAGATAAGCAGGTACTAAGATAGTTTATAACAGACCCACACTATAAGAAATGCTAAAGGAAGTTCTTCTGGTTAAAGACAAATAATAAATGGTAATTGGATCTAGAATATTTAGTGATGATCCCTGGAAATGGTAAATATGTGGGTAAACACAAAAGACTATATTGATTTTTTTTCTTGTCTAAATTTTTAAAGAAGGCCAAGCATAGTGACTCACACCTATAATCCTAGCACTTTGAGAGGCCAAGGTGAGTGAATTGCTTGAGCCCAAGAGTTTGAGACTAGCCTGGACAACATGGTAAAAACCTGTCTTCATAAAACCTTTAAAAATTAGCCCAGTGTGGTGGCGGACACCTGAAGTCCTAGTACTTGGGAGGCCGAGGTGACAGGATCGCTTAAGCCCAGGAGGTAGAGGTTGCAGTGAGCTGAGATGGCACTACTGCATTTCTGCCTGGGTGGCAGAGTGAAACCCTGTCTCAAAAAACTTTTTTTTTTAAAGGAAACAAAAGATTTTTTAAAATGCAAGTTATAAAACTGTGTTCTAGGATTTATCATGCATGTAGACACAATATATATGAAAGCAATAGCACATGTGAAGATTGAACTATAGTGTTGCATTATTACCGTATTTTACATTAAGTGATACAATATTACCTGTACGTAGATATAAGAAATTATAGATGTATATTGTAATTTCTAAGGCAACCACTAAATTAAAAAAATGTATATATAGCTAAAAAGTCAATATAAGAATTAAACAGGAATGTCAAATAAAGTCTTTGATGAACTCAAAAAAAGTCAAGAAAGGAGAAACAAAAAGCATATGAGACAAATAGAAGACAAATGATAATATTGTAGAGCCTAAATTCAATGATATTAATAACTAGAAACATATAAATAGACTAATACACCATTTAAAAGGCAGATTATCGATTGAATTAAAGAGCAAGATGAAGTATATGTTGTCTTAAGAGATGTACTTTGAATTCAAAGACATAATAGGTGGAAAGTCTCTGTATATATATATGCAACTATTAGAAAACTGAAATAGCTACAGTAACACTAGACAAAGCTACCTCGAGACAAAGCATATTACCAAAGATAAAGAAGAACATTTCATGATGTATTAGTGTGTTTTCATACTGCTGTGAAGAAATACCTGAGACTGGGTAATTTATAAAGGAAACAGGTTTAATTGACTCACAGTTCTGCATAGCTGTGGAGGCCTCAGCAAATCTACAATCATGGTGGAAGGCAGCTCTTCACAGGGCAGCAGGAGAGAGAATGGGTGCCGAGTGAAGGGGGAAGTCCCTTATAAAACCATCAGATCTCATGAGAACTTACTCACTATCAGGAGAAAAGCATGGTGGAAACTGCCCCTATGATTCAATTACCTCCCACTGGGTCCCTCCCATGACATGGGGGGATTAGGGGAACTACAATTCAAGATGAGATTTGGGTGGGACACAGCCAAACCATATCACATAATAATAAAAGGCTTCATCAGCAAAACATAATTAAAGATATTTACAAGCTTAGTAACAGAACTTCCAAATATATGGGCTAATAAATGAGAGAAGTGAGAGGGAGAGAAAGTGAGAAATGCATTATATTTATTTGTAAATATATACATTTAAATCATAAATCTAAATTATAGAATTTAAATGACATAATTGACATTTATGGGAACTCCACCCAACACTGCAGAATCCATATCATTTTCAAGTGTGCATGAAATGATACTCCACATGTTGAGCCACAAAACAATTCTTAATAAATTTCAAAAGACTGAAATATGTTTAGAGTTGTGTTCTGGCTTCAGTGGAATTGCATTTGAAATCAATAAGAGTAACAGCTTTAGGAAAGCAACAAATATTTTTGTTTTATGATCTTTAATAAATCTCATATCAAATAAGAAATCACAATGGAAACAATAAATATTTCACACTTAATGAAAATGATGGTGGCTTATGCTTTTAATCCCAGTGCTTTGGCAGACCGAGGCAGGAAGATCACTTGAGCCCAGGGGATCAAGACCAGCCTGGGCAACATAGCGAGACTCCATCTCTACAAAAGAAATGAAAAAACTAGCCAGACATGGTGGCACGTGCCTGTAGTCCCAGCTACTCAGGAGGCTGAGATGGGAGAATTGCTTGAGCCCAGGAAGTTGGGGCTGCAGTGAGCCATTGTTGAGCCACTGAACTCCAGTATAGGCAACAGAAAAAAAAAGAAAATGAAAATAGTGCATATAAAATTTTATGAAATATAGTTAAAGTTAAAGCAATGCTTAGAAAAGAATTTATAAGTCAAAATTCTTATTTTAGAAAGGAAGTGATTTAACTCAATGATCTAATTTTCCAGTTTAAAAAGCTAGAAGCAAATGAGCACATTAAATGCAAAGTAACTAGAAGGAAGGACATGATAGAGACAAGAGCAGAAATAAATAAAATGGGAACAGACAAAACAGTTGAGAATTTAACAATGCTCAATTTGGTCTTTTGAAAATATTAATACAATTCATAAAACCTTGGCAAGAATAATTCAGAAAAAATATGGAAAACATAAATTAATAATATTAGTAATAAAAGAAGGGAGATAATTATGGATGCTACAGACCTAAAAATATGTCTTATAAACAATTTTATGCCAATAAACTTGGCAAACATTGAAAATTTGTCAATAAATGACAAGTTGAAATGGACAGATTCCTCAAAAAAACTAGCTTATTAAAAATGATGCAAAATGAAAGAAAAAATCTGAATAGCTTCATACCCATCAAAGATCTTAAGCTTTCTATCAAAATAATTTTCCACAAACATAACTCTAGACTCAGATGGTTTCACCGGTAAATGCTTTCAAACACCTAAGGAAGAAATATTACCAATTTTACAATATTCTTTTAGAAATGAGAAAAGACAGTATTCTCAACTCATTTTATCAGGGCAGCATAATTGTGACATCAAAACCTGACAAAAGAATCACAGGAAAAGAAAATTATAGACCAATATCTCTTATGAACATAGATGCTGAAATCTTTAACAAAATATCAGCACATTAAGTCCAGCATTACATAAAAAGGATAATACATCATAACCAACTGGGCTTTCTCCTATAAATGTAAAGTTGGTTTAATGTTTGAAAATCAATATAATCCACCATAGTAATTTAATACACAAGAAAGTGATATATTCATCTCAATAGATGCAGAAAAGCATTTGACAAAAATTCAAACCCATTCAAGATAAAACCTCTCAGGAATCTAAGAATAAAAGGGAGCTTCTTCAATGTGATCAAAGACGTCTACAAACACCTTCATGTAACATAATACTTAATGTTGAAAGACTGAATGCTTTCCTCCTAAGATTGAGAGCAAGGCAAGGATACCTGCTATCATCACTTCCATTTGTCATTGTACTGGAGATCCTAACTAGTGTAGAAAGACAAGAGAAAAAAAATAAAAAGCTTACATACTATAAATGAAGAAGTAAAACTGCCTTATTCACAGACAATATAATTGTTTACACAGAAAATCCAAAATTATTGATGACAACAATGAAACAAAACAACAAAAAAAGCTTATTAGAACAAATACGTGGATTTACCAAGGTCTCAGGATAAAGATCAATATTCAAAAATACAGTTGAATTTGTATTAGCAGCAAAAAATTAAAAAATAAAATACAAATTAATGTAGTATCAAAAAAGCATAAATGAACAGAAATAAAGTTAACAAAACATATGCAACAGATCTACACTAAAAACTATGGAATATTGAACAGATAAAATAAGGAATACCTAAATAAACAGAGATATACCATGTTCATGAATGGTGGGAAGGCTCCATATTGTTAAAATGTTGTTACTCATTGCTAATTTGATCTATATTTTCAACACAATCTCAATCGTAAGTCCATAGAAACTTAAATAGTTGATTATAACATTGATATGAAAAAGAATATAGCCAGAAAATTATGAGTTTGTGATATTTGACTTTATGACTTGTTAGTAAGTACAGTAATCAAACAGTGTGGTTTTGGTGTAAGAATAAATAAGTAGAACAATGAAAGAGAATAGAGATTCTAGAGCCCACACGAGTATGGCCAATTGATTTCTGACCAAGGAATCTAAGAAATTCAATGAGAAAAGTAAGTCTTTTCAGCAAACGTTACTAGAATGACTTGATACTCATGTAGAAAAATAAGAAACTTGGTCTACTTAACACTGTAAGCAAAAATTAATTGGAGATGGATC
Organism: Homo sapiens; assembly: GCF_000001405.40. NCBI lineage: Eukaryota > Metazoa > Chordata > Mammalia > Primates > Hominidae > Homo > Homo sapiens. Next base: position 156,405,469 of record NC_000007.14, on the reverse strand, counting down.
ATGGACATAAAACCTAAAATAATAATGTTTTTAAAAGAAAACATTGAAGAATATCTTCATTACTTGGAGGTAAGCAAAGGTTTCTTAGGACACAGAAAACTGTATTCATAAGAGAAAAAAATCAAATTGGAGCAAAATTCCTTTTTTATTATTAAAAAGACAGTTTTTAAGAAGAGAATGAGCAAGCCCAGACTGGGAGAAAATATACTCAATATATGTAGGTGACAAAGGACTTGTAGTAAGATTATAATTCCTATATTCGATAATAATAAAATAGGCAAGAGACTTGAAGAGCTGCTTCTCAAAGGAAGATATGTATTCCTTTGTAAAGGGCCAAATGAGCACACAAAGAAGTGCTCAATATCACAGTCATCAGAGGCAAATCAGAACCATTACAGTAGAACACTACACATCTATTAGAATGACTAGAATTTTAAAAAAGGAGCAATTAGAGTTCTAACATATTTCTGGTAGATATGTAAAGTGGTATAATGACTTCAGAAAATGTTTGACAGTTTCTTATTAAACACACACTGAACCTTTGATGTAGTAATTGTACTCCGATGTATTTATTAAAAAAAAGAAAAATATGTCCAAAATATTTGTATCCTAATGGTCATAACACCCTTATTCACAATGATAAAAAACTGGAAACAACTCCAATGGCCATCGATGGGTGAAAAGATAAATTGTGGTGTATTTATTCATACAATGAAGGCCACTAACCGATAAAAAGAAACATGCTATGGACAGAGCCAACAATGTGGATCATTGGCATAGACATTAAGCTGAGAAAAGAAGCCAGACCCCCTGAAGCACATTTTGTATTACACCATTAAGTGATGTTCAAGTACAGGCTAAACTAATCAATGGTGAAATATACACCAGCATTGATTGTCTCTAGGAGGTGGGGCATTGGCTGGGGAAGGACAGGATATGATGTCCTCATGAGGTGGGAATGTTCTAGATCATGAGAGTGTGTGGATTGCACAGGTGTCACTATTTGTCAAAATTATTCAGTTATGAGGCATGCATTTCAATGTGCTTAGATTTATTCTCCAAAAAGGACTGCAAAAAATTATAATGATAATAATTGAGTGGACAGTAGAAAGTGGAAAGTGGTTGGAGGTCAATGAAATAAAAATGGTAGAAGGCATATAATTGTTGAAACTGGTGCTGGATCTTGAGACTTCCACGTATAACCCATAGTGCATGTCTGCAATGACCAAGTCAGGAGGCTGTGGTGCCTCTGCCTTTCCTCACTAGTTGTTTGGTTTCGATCGCCACTCAATCTTGTTGGTGGTGTTAAGGCAGGTGTTGATAACTGTACTGTGAAGTAACTGGAACACGGATCACAGGAACGTGTACCTGCACTAGATGGAGAGCTAAGAAAGAGATCCTAATGCACAGGCCATGCAGACACTGAATGCCCTGTTGGAGAATTCGAGGCATGTTTATTTTCTACTCCTCCACAACAGGTCCAGTTCACTGAGAGTATCTACAGGGAGGACGCGGACTCAAGGAAATGTAGGATTTGGCATTTGTACCATATGAGGAGGAGAATAAGGCCTAGGCCTCTAGGCTTCCTGGAACTGATGAGATTTTAGGAATTCCCTTCCCACTACCCCCACCTCCACCCATGCAAAATAAAACGAAACAAGCCACAAGGTGGTAGATTGTTGAGTAGCAGGATGTGGTGCCTAAGCCCAGAGGTCCAGATTATGACCCATGGACGTTGCACCTGGGAAAGTGGGAAGCAATTTGATTGGCTGGAGGAGAGTGGGTATGCAGTGTCCAAGCCAATCCCGACTGCTAAGTAGGAGGCCGCTCTCTCCATTGTCTTGCAATTTATAAAATTCTACTGATGCTGACAGTTAGAGAGGCAATGTTGTATAACGGAAAGAATCCAGAGTTCAAAGTTTGGAGAATTATGTTGGAGTTCTGCTCTGCTGTTTATTAGGTAATTTGTGGTTCTTTTTTACTGTATTTACTGATACCATCATAACCTCAGCTACTAACATTAGGTAGTTTGTTTAGTTGAATCTTTCTATTTATTGGAGTCATTGTTGAATATTTGTTTGACAACTGAAGATCTTGAAAAGCCTCATGGTAACCATTTTCAAAACCAGTTTTTTTACTGGCTAGAAAGTTAAGGTGATAGGTCTATCCCAGATAGACGCTGGGAAATTCTATGTTTGCATCAATGTTCATTTTCAGAAATGTTTAGATAGTTTACGCTTTTCATTATAGCTTTATTTCTGTTCCTCTGCTCAAGTCTGTCTCCATTTTGCTCTCCAGTCCAGCACATTCAACTACATTCTACTACATTCTATTCATCCATAAACGCCAAGTTCAAATCCGACTCTGTCCACGAAGGCTTCCCTGGTGATCTGGGGTAATATAGCAAATATAAGTAAAATAACCATAATAAAACTTGGATATTAAACATGTATATAAATGTGCTATTGTCGTTCGCTTTACTTTCTGTGACCTTTCTTCTTCCTTTTTTTTTTTTTTTTTTTGAGATGGAGTCTCGCTCTGTCGCCCAGGCTGGAGTGCGGTGGCGCGATCTCAGCTCACTGCCTTTCCTCTTCTTTGAGACACCCGTGGCTCAGGAGGACTAGAATTGGTGCACAGGAGTGGGAAGGGTCAAAGCACGCTGATGTTCAGTGTTTGATGTCCCAAATAGGATCTTTACAATGACAAGACGATCATGAATTCCAGGCTTAGTCAAGAAAGAAAATCTCTAAATTCCTTTATTCCCATTAACCCACTGAGGACAAGGGCTGTGGTTAAGACTTTAGGTCTGAGGTGGAGAAGACCCAGGACAGGAGGACCATGAAGTGACACTCCCTCCTTCTGCCACCGGTTGGGGGAGGAAGGGAGGGGAAGGGCAACAGCGAGGGAAGACGTAAGACGCCTCTTCCTGACTGGCCCTCACAGAGTCAAAGTTTCAGAGGGTGGCGTGTAGTAGTCAACAGCCGGGACATTCACCCACCTCTCCCATGATGCTCTAGCAGGAGTTGCAGCCACACCCAAGATGGCGCCACAGCTGCTGTGGGACTGGCCGGTGGATGAAACTGCGGACATATTCCTGGCTTCCCCGTGGTCTCCTTGGGGTAGGAAGGGAGTCCAGGTGTCCGCTGGGGTCTTGCTGAAGGGATGCAGTGGGGGTAAGTGGCCCAGGGTGTGGGGAGAGACCTGGAGTTAGGGCAAAGAGGAGCTGTTTGTGTGAGGATTTCATAACTAGGGTGTAATGGCCAGAACCCTGTGGCCCCCACAGGCCTGATGGGACTGAGTGTAACTCAGCAGTGACCCGCTCAGGGGTCGCTGAGGTCTCAGTGTAACTCAGCAGTGACCTGCTCAGAGGTCACAGGGTCTCAGCCTGCAGAGCTGAGACCAGCAGGTCCAGAGAGCCCTGAATGTTACCAGGTGCCTCTCCTTCTTGTTGCCATTCGGTCACAGAAACCTCAGACATCTTAGGAATACTGCACATTTACCTGCAAGAGACTATGACTATGGAGAAGACTGGGACGACGTCTTGCACTGTTGTAATTTGTGGTCCTCCTTCCACCCACTCCAAAAGTACACACTTTTTTTTCCCCATGTGCTGTGACTGTCACCATGAGGAGGGACCAGGCAGTGTGGCGCAGCAGAGCGGCTGGCGGGACACGGGGAGCTGCTGGCCTTGTCTCTGGTCCAACTTCCTGGGGATTTAGTGAATTATTAGATGTTCCTGGCCAACTCATCTTTGCTATACACTTTGATACTATGTGATCATTGGTTTTTACTGTGGAACCCGCAGCGCACACCAGAACATTGTCTCATTTACTGACTTAATATGATTTCTCCTCTCCCTCTTCCCAAAAGGATATCCAGGGTTCGGAGAAAGGGCATTTGTTATTTTGCACTCCCTAGCAATTAGCATAGTGCTAGAAAAGTACATGCCCAGTAAATATTAGCTGATTAAAGAGATATGCAAGACCTTGGTCCTTTCTGTGTCATCGATGTTTTCTTGCCCTGAAATCCATTCTAACTGGCACCCGGTGTCTTCTTGGAATGCCCCGTGAAACAAGTCCTTGTTTGCTTTTCCTTCTTGCGTTTAATGAAATAGCAATGTTTATCTTTAATGATGCTGCTGTGAAATGTGCCTCTTCTCAGTTTCACTAGAAATCTAATTTATTTAAGTATTTTAAAGTTCTTTGTCTTCAGAATGTATCTCTGACACAGACTTCAGTTTCTGTATTAGATAACATTGTTTAAACTAGGAAAAACTGTTTTAGTGAAATATTTTTTGTTTAAGTCTGCTGCACCCTGGAACTTTTAATGATTTTACCCTTCTCATTGGAAGGTAGACCATAGTATGCAATGAATGACAGCATCTTTATTTTGAAAGTGGAAGCCATTTCAGAGAGGTGCTTCTGTAATTAAGAAATCAAATAGGCCGGGCGCGGTGGCTCACGCCTGTAATCCCAGCACTTTGGGAGGCTGAGGCAGGTGGATCACCTGAGGTCAAGAGTTTGAGACCATCCTGGCTAACATGGTGAAACCCTGTCTCTACTAAAAATACAAAAATTAGCTGGGCATGGTGATACATGCCTGTAATCCCAGCTACTAGGGAGGCTGAGGCAGGAGAATTGCTTGAACCCAGGGGGCGGAGGTTGCAGTGAGCTAAGACTGCGCCACTGCACTCCAGCCAGAGTGACAGAGCGAGACTCCATCTCAAAAAAAAAAAAAAAAAAAAAAAAGAGAGAGAGAAATCAAATAAACTTGAGTAGGACTCTTTGAAAGGTTCTAGGTACAATTAGAAGGAACCTAATTCCCTCATTCCTGAGTCAAGCTCCTTGTCTTTTTGCCCTTCCCCACAGGCGATGAATAAGTGGTGTGCTGTGTGTTTAGCCTCAGCCCAGTGAGGCAGGTGTGAGGCCCTGTGACCCTGCAGGCTCCACCACTGCTAAGACTTTAGGTCTGAGGTGGAGAAGACCCAGGACAGGAGGACTGTGATGTGACACTCCCTCCTTCTGCCACTGGCTGGGGGAGGAAGGGAGGGGAAGGTCGACAGGGAGGGCAGGTGTAAGACACCTCTTCCTGACTGGCCTTCACAGAATCAGTCTCAGAGGGTGGCATGTGGAGGAGAAGTCAACAGCCAGGGCATTCACCCACCTCTCCCATGATGCTCTAACAGGCGTAAAGAGTGACAGCCCTTGCTCACCACCAACCAGCCAGCAAATGGAATCACAATGCCTGCATCTGCAGAGAAGACGTCCCAATGTAGAGTGTCCGTTAGAATGCACATCCTCACTTGTACCAAGCAGCTGGAAACTGATCGAGCTGCCTGATTTAAGTCACAAGGCTTCAGAAAAGGAGATTCAAAATTTAAAATTTGTTCTACAGAACAAAAATCATCCCTTTAAAAATGCATTTGCAGCTGTGCCCAGTGATGATGGATTTATCGCCTAAACCAGGGATCAGTAAACAATGTGTGCCCTATAAAGAGTGAAACAAGTCCTTGCTCATCCGAGCACTTAATTGCAGTGGTTATATCAAAGCGATATAAAATAATCACCAACCACAAGGAAGGCTGCGTTTTACATAGGTGCCTCTGTCACTGTTTTTCCACCTGTTAAAATGAAAGATTCTTGGAATATCATAATATGTAAAACTTGTTTATGATGCAAATATAAAGATGTCCTTTCATCTTTCTGCAGCTTTGATGTCGTGATATGAAGCTTTGGTGCCCCTCCTTCCAGGCATGCACCCAAGATGTTATCTCATTCGTAAACGTGTGTTCCCTGTGTAAATACATGGGAACCAATTGCGAGATATTCCTGTTTTCAGTACTTTTTATGAGGAATTGGTCCGCTTCTAAATTAATAGAAAGATGAGAAGAGTTTGTTGATATGTTTTTCTTTAATGCTTAGGATAACAGCTTGAGCATCAAGGTAAAGAAAGCCTGTTAAAATGGGGAAATAAAAGTCAGAACCTAAGTAAAGAGTTAATATACTACTTCTAGGCACAAAGGTAAGTCCTCAACACAGCAGAAACACCTACTTGAGTATTCCTCCACTGATAAAAATGTGAATTTCCTTCTCCTGTTTAGGTAAGACAGATACTTCTCATTGTAATACACTTTAACTAGAAAGCTCAGACAGATACTCCTCATTGTAATACACTTTAACTAGAAAGCTCAGACAGATACTCCTCATTGTAATACACTTTAACTAGAAAGCTCAGACAGATACTTCTTATTGTAATACATGTTTAACTAGAAAGCTCAGACAGATACTCCTCATTGTAATACACTTTAACTAGAAAGCTCAGACAGATACTCCTCATTGTAATACACGTTTAGCTAGAAAGCTCAGACAGATACTTCTCATTGTAATACACGTTTAGCTAGAAAGCTCAGACAGATACTCCTCATTGTAATACAAGTTTAACTAGAAAGCTCAGACAGATACTTCTCATTGTAATACACTTTAACTAGAAAGCTCAGTTTTTCTCTCTGTCACATTCTTGGGTCTTACTTTTGGTTAGGATCTCCCAACTTTTAAAAAACATGAATGGTTGGACCCTGCCTTAGACCATTTAAGTAATAATAATTTTTAAAAACCTCTAGGTATGGGCCTGGGCAGAGTTTGTCTTAAAGGCTTCTGGGTCATTCTAATGTAAAACTGGGTTAGAACCGCAGATCTACTGAGTCACATTATCTTTTCATGTTATTTTATTCATATAAAAATATACTTGACCAGGTGCGGTGGCTGAGACCTGTAATCCCAGCACTTTGGGAGGCCAAGGTGGGTGGATCACGAGGTCAGGAGTTCCAGACCAGCCTGGCCAACATGGTGAAAACCCATCTCTACTAAAAATACAAAAAATTAGCTGGGCGTGGTGGCCGGCACCTGTAATCCCAGCTACTTGGGAGGCTGAGGCAGGAGAATGACTTGAGCCCGGGAGGCGGAGATTGCAGTGAGCCGAGATCACGTCACTGCACTCCAGCCTAGGCAACAGTGAGAGACTCTGTCTCAAAAAACAAAACAAAACACAACAAAACAAAACAAAACTCATCATTCAAAGACTCATGAGCACATATGCATAAAGAAACCTATGTTTCCCAGAGAAAAACAGATTGGAAATGATAGTGGGTATGTTATTTTTGTTTATTAGAAAACCTTTGAATGAATACATAAAAACTTTCATGAAAGCTATATCAACATACTAAAAATTTAGTTTTGTCCACTTTAATTTCTGTTGAGGGGGCTGGTCAACTGTGTGACCTGGAGCAGGATTTCAGAGAGAGAATACTGTAAAACAGAAAAACTTCTGTTAGTGGAAAATGCTTAACATTCAAGCCCCCTAAAAATTTGCTCTCAAAATATCCTCTCATTCATTTTAACATCTAGAAATGATCTTCTTTAATATATTTTTTATCCAGAATTATAACATCCAGGAAGTTCATGTAATTAATTATAGTCTCTGTTATTAAAATCATGATGATACTATAACATTTTAAAGGGGGAATGTCATGGATATTTGGGGGGCCAGAAGAGATTTAAGCCTGTGCTGTAACTTGCTGTGCCTATAGGACTATGGATTTTTCTCTCCAAATTGATTCCCTGCACACTCCCCACAGGGTCTGACATGAGTCCTTTAGGTCATTTTCGAATGATGCACTTACATCATGTTTGGTATAATTTTATCGTAATTTGTGAAAGCGGGTCTTCTGCATATATAGGTTCTTTTTCACTGACCAGAATGTTTAATTAATTAGAAGATCCCATCTCACCATCATTCTGCATAATGAGAGTTTACTGTACAGCTATTTTTGGTCGCTTGAAATAGTGGAAAGCTATTCACAGTGATGAGTACCTGAATCTGCTGATTGTAGACATGAGTAATTCACAATATCCCATCAGTCATGAGGGGCGCAGACAAGCTAATTGACCCACTTAACGGATAGCACTCCCCAAAGAGGGCTGTCTTTCATGGCTGAAGCCCCATTAATCAAAAATACTCGTCGGGCTCCTGCTGTGCGCCTTGCATGTTGCTAGGGATGCGGGTACAAAGCGCAAATCAGGACCCTGGGCCCGGAGCATGTTTTGATTTGGCTGGAGAACGCGATGCGCACAGGCAGTGCCGGGAAAACACGCTGCATTCGTGAAAATGATCACGTCGCATGCCCTGGAAAGAAGGTGCCGACTTGCACAGGATGCGAGAAAAGAATCAAAGAATGTGGAAGAGGAAGCCTCTTGCACACACTGAATTCTCAGGGAGGGAGAAAGCACAGAGCCCACATGCAGCAGATGTTAACACGGAAGGAGCAGCATCACGCGTGGCCACCTGAAATACTGTGTGTCTAGGATAAGAAGTAGACACCAAGGGCTGTTGTCGGAGTCTGGGGGAGAAAAAAAAAATCGTCCTCAGTTGCTGGGGATTTTTGCTTTGTTCTGTTTCTGCTTGTGTTTTCTGGTTACACTGGGAGTTTGCTCCAGGAGCACAGCATGGATGCAGTTGGGAAAAGATACCTTTCCATGGGGGAGATTCACAGCCCAAAGTCAAAACAGCCACTTCTGGATTCAAAGTCCAATTAGAAGGTACATATCGCTTCCATTTTATTATTATTAATTAATGAATTTATTTCTTTTTGAGATGGAGTCTTACTCTGTAGCCCAGGCTGGAGGCATGATCTTGGCTCACTGCAACCTCTGCCTCCCGGGTTCAAGTGATTCTCCTGCCTCATCCTCTTGAGTAGCTGGGACTACAGGAACCCCTCACCATGTCCTGCTAATTTTTGTATTTTTAGTAGAGATGGAGTTTCACCATGTGGGCCAGGCTGGTCTTGAACTCCTAGCCTCAAGTGATCCACCCACCTTGGCCTCCCAAAGTGCTCGGATTGCAGGCATGAGCCCTGCGCCCAGCCCATTGCTTCCATTTGACAAGGTAAACGCTCCTTGGGTGTGTAACCGTGGGACGTGGTCACACTTGCAAGTGTATTTATAGCTTTTTTCACTTATAGGTTGCAGGCTAAACTCAATGCCTTTTATTCAGTCAACACTGTCAGTGCCTGAAGTGTACCTCTGTTCACTCTGAGATTGTGTGTTTGTGTGTGCGCACCAGTGCACATACATGGAGAAGGTGTGAGCGGTGGTGGAATGAGAAGAGCTGCCTTGTGCTCTCACGGTCACCCTGCCTACTTGCTCACACCCAACCACCTTCCTAATCCAGGAGCTTCATGAAACCCCGAGGCCTGTCCACAACTCAGAGATGGGGAGATTGGAGGAGCCTGGGGTGGGGGGATGCAGCATTGGGGCCCCGTCTGAGTAACTTTTTGTCCTTTGATTTTGTTTGTGAAAAAATTCAGATTAGATGTGTACATATAACACACACATTCATTCATATATACCATCACAAGCAATACATTTTTTTGCGGTGGTATGTGTGGCTTTGGTAGAGACACTTCAAGTTTTTTGGCGGTGGGAGGGACTGGGGGAGGCTGGGGAGTGTGGGTGGCTCTGGATCTGACAATATATTCTGTCCGCATGACCCCATTAGCTCTGACTTTGTGCTGAAGAAGTGACAATTGAATGAAACCTAACAGCAGGTTTAAAAAAGACCAGAAAATAGGTAATATGAGGCAGAAACTATTTCTAATAACACTCGATAGTCCACACAGGAACCTTCACTGGAAGGAAAGTGGTCAGCCAAAAAGTGATTAGTTCATGCCAAGATGGCCTCTCATTTTTAAATTCAGCAACCAAATGCAATATGTTCCCCCTTCTTCTGTTTCAGCTCCACTTAGCTCTCCCACTTGGGCTCATTTCACCTACTTTTGATTTGATTTACAAATTTGCTATTGGATTTTCGAGGCATCATGGAGCCTCTGCTGGTGCCCGAATACCCATCAGAAGCGCCTCTGTTAAGCTTTTTTGGTGTCACTTCAACTTTCAGTTGTCATCTTATATTCCTGTTGGGATGTAGGCTGAGCACTCACTAATAATATCATTGCAGAGGCTTAAATTGCAGCAGGTGAGATTTGAGTTAGAACTAAGTAGTACAGTCAGCCACTTTAGATATACCGTGTCCCTAAGAATGGGTCAGCATGCAGGGTGGCCCCGAGGGAAATATACCGGCTCTCCCAGATAGTTTAGAAATGTTATGTGTCATCTTGTCTGTCTTATTTTGTCTATTCAGTCCTACTCTGTGTCCTATGTAGAAGCCGTCAAATGGTAGTGAGAAGAGACCTTCAGGGCAGTACAGTGCAGAAACTGTGGCAAAAAGCAGGTGCCATTTGTAACTTGAGAGTAAACAGCATTCAATATTAGAGATCAATTCCTGCTCTTGAATATAGCTGGGAGGGCGAGCTGACTTCCATAGTGCAGAACATTTGAAGACTTTTAAATTACTAGATTGTTATATCTATAAATATCTGGACTAGAGGGTTAGAGGAGGGGAGGGAGCTGGCAGAGGACAGGTTGCATTTGATGCCTTGTAGCTTTGTGGGATGTATGCACTCTGCCTCACACAACTGGATTCTAGCTAATTTGATAAATGCTAAGTTTCTAGAACAATCATTTTCACCTCTCCATGCACTTTGCCTCATAGGTTCTTTGGTTTCTACCTCTGGCATTTTCCCTCAGCCTCCTCTGCCTCTCTGGATTTGATGTAAAAGCAATCCTGCCTGGCAGACCCTGCCCCCTGGACCAGCCCTGCCTCTGTACACACCTGGCCTGATCACTGAGCCACATATCCCAAGACCCCAGCCTCGAGCTGGATGCCCCCTGCCCTCTGTGTCTGCACGTTCTCCCTCCCTATCTTCTTCCCTTCCCCACAACTCTGGATCATGCACGGCTCACTCGATGGACACGGGTCTTGCTTTCTCTATTGCTATCCTGGATGTTGTTTAGGAACATCCCAATAGGGTTTGACATTTTGTATTATATCTTATTTATTTATTTATTTATTTATTTATATTATTATTATACTTTAAGTTTTAGGGTACATGTGCACAATGTGCAGGTTAGTTACATATGTATACATGTGCCATGCTGGTGTGCTGCACCTATTAACTCGTCATTTAGCATTAGGTATATCTCCTAATGCTATCCCTCCCCCCTGCCCCCACCCCACAACAGTCCCCGCTGTGCGATGTTCCCCTTCCTGTGTCCACGTGTTCTCATGGTTCAATTCCCACCTATGAATGAGAACATGCGGTGTTTGGTTTTTTGTCCTTGTGATAGTTTGCTGAGAATGATGGTTTCCAGCTTCATCCATGTCCCTACAAAGGACATGAACTCATCATTTTTTATGGCTGCATAGTATTCCATGGTGTATATGTGCCACATTTTCTTAATTCAGTCTATCGTTGTTGGACATTTGGGTTGGTTCCAAGTCTTTGCTATTGTGAATAGTGCTGCAATAAACATACGTGTGTATGTGTCTTTACAGCAGCATGATTTATAATACTTTGGGTATATACCCAGTAATGGGATGGCTGGGTCAAATGGTATGTCTAGTTGTAGATCCCTGAGGAATCGCCACACCAACTTCCACAGTGGTTGAACTAGTTTACAGTCCCACCAACAGTGTAAAAGTGTTCCTATTTCTCCACTTCCTCTCCAGCACCTGTTGTTTCCTGACTTTTTAACGATTGCCATTCTAACTGGTGTGAGATGGTATCTCATTGTGGTTTTGATTTGCATTTCTCTGATGGCCAGTGATGATGAGCATTTTTCATGTGTTTTTTGGCTGCATAAATGTCTTCTTTTGAGAAGTGTCCATATCCTTCGCCCACTTTTTGATGGGGTTGTTTGTTTTTTTCTTGTAAATTTGTTTGAGTTCATTGTAGATTCTGGATATTAGCCCTTTGTCAGATGAGTAGGTTGCAAAAATTTTCTCCCATTCTGTAGGTTGCCTGTTCACACTGATGGTGGTTTCTTTTGCTGTGCAGAAGCTCTTTAGTTTAATTAGATCCCATTTGTCAATTTTGGCTTTTGTTGCCATTGCTTTTGGTGTTTTAGACATGAAGTCCTTGCCCATGCCTATGTCCTGAATGGTATTGCCTAGGTTTTCTTCTAGGGTTTTTGTGGTTTTAGGTGTAACATGTAAGTCTTTAATCCATCTTGAATTAATTTTTGTATAAGGTGTAAGGAAGGGATCCAGTTTCAGCTTTCTACATATGGCTAGCCAGTTTTCCGAGTACCATTTATTAAATAGGGAATCCTTTCCCCATTTCTTGTTTTTGTCAGGTTTGTCAAAGATCAGATAGTTGTAGATACGCGGCATTATTTCTGAGGGCTCTGTTCTATTCCATTGGTCTATATCTCTGTTTTGGTACCAGTACCATGCTGTTTTGGTTACTGTAGCATTGTAGTATAGTTTGAAGTCAGGTAGCATGATGCCTCCAGCTTTGTTCTTTTGGCTTAGGATTGACTTGGCAATGTGGGCTCTTTTTTGGTTCCATATGAACTTTAAAGTAGTTTTTTCCAATTCTGTAAAGAAAGTCATTGGTAGCTTGATGGGGATGGCATTGAATCCATAAATTACCTTGGGCAGTATGGCCATGTTCACCATATTGATTCTTCCTACCCATGAGTGTGGAATGTTTTATTTACTTATATATTTTTTTGAGAGGGAGTCTTGCTCTGTCACCCAGGCTGGAGTGCAGTGGTGCGATCTTGGCTCACTGCAACCTCTGCCTCCTGGGTTCGATTCTCCTGTTTCAGCCTCCTGAGTAGCTGAGATTACAGGTGTCCACCACCAAGCCCAGCTAAGTTTTGTGTTTTAGTAGGGATAGGGTTTCACCATGTTGGTTAGGCTGGTCTCAAACTCCTGACCTCAAGTGATCTGCCCACCTCGGCCTCCCAAAGTGCTGGGATTACAGGTGTGAGCCACTGAGCCCGGCCACATTTTATATTTTAATATGGTGGGAAGAATCATCTCCACCTTTCCTTTTGTAAGCTGCACCAGGTGCCATGCGTGCTCTGCCGGCATCCTGAGCAGCCACTGCTTTCTTCCATGCCTGTGGCTCCCGGGAAGCAGCTCCAACTCCCTGCCTGAGATTTCTCTGGAGGTCAAGCCCTTGGAGTGTTCCGTTTCCAGGGTCCTCAAGTCACACCCAGCTTCCTCCTCCCTGGAATGAGGCGACATTGAAGGACACAATACACCTCTCTCCCAGCAGCTGCTGGAGAATTTGGGCCCCAAGAGTCACGATCGTCTCATGCCCCACAAGCACCGTTGCAACCATCCATGCACAAACCCTCACCTCAGGGTGTCTTCTGGGAGAGCCCCACCAAAAGCACTCCAGATATCAATTTGAATTGTATTCGACAATTTCTGGTTAAACCTTCTGGCCTTTTCCTTCTGCCTCTCTCCATCTCTTCCCGTCTCCCCCTCTATTCCTGACATCACGAATCCATTTTCAGTTTCACAGATGGCTTCTTGTCCCCAACAATGTATGTGGGAAGATCAACATAATTAATGACTTTTATGATACTGCTCTTTTAAAATTTATTTTGGTATTTTCCTCAAGTATTCCAATTATTTTTACGTTGGATCTTTATTTTCTATCTTTTATAATTACCGTCTTCTCCCATTTTACTTTTATCACTGTTCATTGTGTTGGCATTTGAAAGCTTTACAGGTTGGACTCCAGGTGGATGAATAATTTTCTGTGGGGATCGTCATCTCCCGCCCTCTCCATGTGCTGATTCTAATGGGGATCTCACCACGTGATCACGGTCTCTGCCATCCTTCTTCATCCCAGCCAACTTACTTTCCATTTCAGCTCATTGTCTTGCCATTTCGTCTTTGACTTTTCATGAGAGAATCCATAGTTTTCCTGATTTTCATTGGGAACGCAAATAGGGTAGAGTTCCTTACGACCTGCTGGCAGCATTTAGTGACTTCATTCCAATGGGATGTTCTTCTTCTCTATTAAAGGCTCATACTTCTTAATTTTTTTGGTCACAAAATCTTTTCACTGTTTCTAAGTTACTTTCTGTCCATTTTCTCACTCCTGCAATGGTAAATTAGAATTTAATCTAGGATGATACATCCTTGTAATTCTGGTGTTTTCCCATGAACAAGGTTTAATATTTCGTTTCATTCCACTCATGTTCAACTTGGCTGCTCGAAGAATTTTCCTTCGTGTAGTGAGGGCTGGTCGGGGTGTGTCCCTTGGTTGGCCTAAAAGGTTTCCCAGTCTTGCATTTAGAATCCATCTCGTGGCTCGAGGAAGTGTCTGCTCATCCCATGGGAGCAGAATTTATTTTTGGAGTGAAAGATTCCATAATTCTTTCTTAACCAGAAACAGAGAAAAGGCACTGCCTGGTGAAGCACAGAGCACACCCCTTTAATAACCATTCTCTACTCTCATCCTGCGGCTGTGGTACGCACTCCTCTCTTGTATTGGTGAAGGCTGTTCCAGGTACATCTGACTCTCGGTGCTTCTTGGCTGCCGCGTACGTGGGCTGAGTTCCATCACACAAGAGCAAGGAGGGGAGAGGCGCTGGCATGAAGGGAAGAGGCTGTCAGCGTGCCCGGGACCTCACCATCACTGCTGCACATGGACACCCAGGTGGACCCAGGAGGGGAGCCCTGGGCTCAGCATGTGGCTCCCTTCCTGTCTATGGCCACTTTGCTTTCCCACCTGGATGTGCCGATTCACACCTCCCCTGGCAGTGCACGGGACTCCCTGTCGCTCGACATCCTTGCCGATACTTGGTGTTTGCAGAGTATAGTAATACCTCATTGTGATGTGTGTTTGAATTTGCTTGGCTACTGAAGTGGTTGAGTGTCTTTCCATCTATTTATGAGTCATGTGGGTATCCTCTTTGGTAATCACTTGTGCAGGACATAGTGGTTTTAAAACATGTTTACAAATTCTTTGACATTCCAAGGGGCGATACCAATTCCTCTCCCTTTGAATGTGGGGTAGACTTGTGACTCCCTCAACAAATGGAATTCATCAGAGGTGGTGCTGTGTGATGGTCAAGGCAGGCCTCAGATGGCTTCATAGCTTCCACCTGTTTCTCTCTTTTCCCTGGGGGTGTGTTTCTGCATCTCTCAGTTACTGTCTAAGAGGGCCTGCTTTCCTGAAGCTCGAAGAGAGCATGGGAGAAATTGCAGAGAGACAGAGAGAGACACACAGAGAGAGACAAGAGACAGAGACAGACAGAGACACACAGAGAGAGACAGAGAGACACAGAGAGGGAGAAACAGAAAGACACACACAGAGAGGGAGAAACAGAGAGAGACACACAGAGAAACAGAGACACAGAGAGAGAAACAGAGAGAGAGACAGAGAGAGGGAGAGAGAGAAAGGGAAACAGAGACAGAAACAGAGAGAGAAACAGAGACAGAGACAGAAACAGAGAGAGAGACAGGGAGACAGAGTGAGAGACAGAGAGACAGAGACACACAGAGAGAGAAACAGAGAGACAGAGACAGAAAGACAGGGAGAGAGGGAGAGAGAGGGAGAGAAGGGGGAGGAAGGAAAATGGGGGAGGGGAGAGAAAAGAGGGAGGGAAAAAGGGAGAAAGGGAGGAAGAGAGAGATAAGGAGAGAAAGGAGGGGAGGAGGTTAGCAGAAAGGGAAGAAGCTCTGAGGAGGGGAAAGAGAGAGAGGAAGAAGGCTGAGGGGGAGGGAGAGCAAAGTGCTGGGGTAGCCATAGCTGCTCCCGCTCCCCTCCAGACTCATCCCAGTCCCGGTGCCAGAGGTCTAAATGGAGTCTTAGGGAGGACCCAGATGCAAGCCACTGGCCGCATCATGAAAAGAGCCAGCGTGGCCCACAGCAGCCCCTCCTGAATTTCTGATCCACCGACCTGGGAAGAGAAGGAATGATGAGCTTCCGTGTTACGCACTGCGCGTGTGGCGATTCAGCATCACGCAGTAAGGCTGGCACAGATTTCACCACTGCTGGCTAGGGCGGTGCTCCATCAAAACCTGTGGCCCTCACGGGCGGCTTTGGAGTTGGTCGGCGAGGGAACAGGGTGGACCTGGCGGGGGGTGCCCCATGAGGTGTGTGTTGGTGAGGAATGAAGAAGGAGTGAGGAAATGTTTTGAAAATGGCCACCTGTGTTGACGTGGAGAGCAGAAGCTGTGCCTCAGGAACCGCACGGTGGGTGCAGGTGGCTTCTAGCCAGAGCACCGGGGCTGCTGCCCACTGTCCTCACCGCCCTCACCGCCCACAGGACCACAGGAGGGCAGGGACACCAGCTGGAGGAAGGACTGCCGGGCACGAAGGAGCCAGGACGTACCGGTGTGAAAATGAACCTTTCTCATTCCAGGCTTTTCTGGATGGCAGAGAAGACTACCATGAAGTGAGTGTGTCAGAGAAACCTGGTCTGAAGAAGGAGGCCAGGGAGCCGGCCAGGCCTTGGTGGGGACAGCAGATGGACGGGCGATGCCTCAGACAGGCAGGCGTCTCTCTCAGGGTCTTCAGGGCATTTTCTCACGCAGCCTCATAGGAGGCTCAAGGCAGAGGAGGCGCTGCCTCAGTGGAGCGCTCAAGGCGGGCTCTTCTGTCCGATGGAGTGGATTACGAGCCAATGTATATACCAAAAAAAAAAAAAAAAAAAAAAACCCAAAAAATGTTGAAAAGAATTGTATTGGCCAGGTGCAGTGTCTCACGCCTATAATCCCAGCACTTTGGGAGGCCGAGGCAGGTGGATCACGAGATCAAGAGATCAAGACCATCCTGGCCAACATGGTGAAACCCCATCTCTACTAAAAATACAAAAATTTGCTGGGTGTGGTGGTGTGAACCTATAGTCCCAGCTATTTGGGAGGCTGAGGCAGGAGAATCATTTGAACCTGGGAGGCGGAGGTTGCAGTGAGCTGAGATTGTGCCACTGCACTCCAGCCTGGGCAGTAGAGCGAGACTCCATCTAAAAAAAAAATTATATCAATGTGGACTAAAAGGAACAGAAACAGTAAAAAATCAAAAGAGGACTTTGTACCTTGAAACCCCTGAGTGAAAGAAGCCTGCTGAAGAGACAGGTGTAGCCACTGAAGAGACGGATGCAACCACTGGCTGTTTCTTGCGGAAAAGGCTCAGAGGACAGAGCCCGGAGTCCAGGGGGCAGAGCCTGGGGCCGTGAGGGGCTTTCTTGGGCAGGAGGAATGAAGCTTTGTCAATGTGTTGACTGCAATTGCCCACATGGATTCCTGAGTTTCTGTGGCCTGGTGGCTGCGATGTCTCCAATTCTCCTCCATTTAGAAAGAGGGCGCCCACCACACTGACCTGTGTCTGCCCAGGTCTTCATGGGGGTGTGTGATGATACCTTGTCTCTTCAGTTCTCCGGTCTTCAGACAGAGAGAAACTCTCCTCGAGGTGCCGCCCTCCAGGAACTGCACCCCATGAGGTCATCACGCACGCACACAGTGGGTTCCGGTATCTCACCCCTGAGCTCAATGCCAGGAGAGCAGTGGCCTGCGTGGCGTTGGAGGCAAGTGTGCTTTGTATGAAGAATGTAAATGACCTGTGGCAGAAAGTCTTCTGCAATGGTTTTAAAGCATCTTCTCTCACAAGGGTGGGGTGCAGCTGCCCCCCGAATCTGGGTTAGACTTTGTGGCAGCCTCCGTGAGTAGCTGGGAAGTGTGGTGTGGCTTCCGTGCAGCACTCTCTGTGTTGGGTCTGGATGTGTGCCTTTTGGGGATAAAGAGAGATGCCAGGGTGTCCCAGCTGTTTCATAGCAAGCACTAGAATAGTGAGGAAAATCCCTCTGAGAGGGCCCAGCGCCGGCTGCCATCTGAAGGTGGCCTCTGGGCAGACCCCATGTCGGAGCTGCCCGGCAGGGCCACTGCTGATTTTGTGACCTACAGAAGTAGTGAGAGGTGACAAAGACTGTGGCTGTTTTGGCTCCGGTGTTTAGATGTGATGGGAACAAGTCTCTTGCCCAGTTTTCTCTTGGGTTGTCTTTCTTAGTCTTACAGATTTATTTACCCTGGATACAAGTACTTTGTATTGTAAGCAAATTCTTCCCATCTGTGGCTCTCATTCTCACTTGATTAATGGACTTTTTGACAAACAGAAATTATTCATTTTAATAAAGACAACCTTATCAAATCTTTTACAGTTTTTTTTGTGGGGGGTGGAGATGGTCCCAGTGAAGAAGTCTTTTCCTGTCCCAAACTCATGAAGATATTTTCCTATATTATATTCAACATGTTGTCTAGTTTTATTTTTTGCAGTTCTACAATTTATGTGTAATTGATTTATATGCACAGTATGAGGTACTAATCAAGCCTTCTTTAAAAAAAAGTCATATCTAATTGTCCCAGAATCTTTTATTAAAAAGAATAGCTTGTCCTCACTCTTTATCACCATCTTCTTCATTTATTAATTCTTCATAAATAAATTAACTGTAAATTTAGAGGTCTATTTCTGGCTGTCAATTCTTTTCTATTGGTCTCTTTGTTTATAGTTTCACCAGTACCACATTATATTAATGCCTATAAATTGAAAAGATCCTAATATTTACTAGCACACATTTCCTGCCTTGTGTTTCTTCTTCAAGAGTGTCTTAGCTCTTCTTTACTCTTTGAATTTTTATAAAATTTTAGAATCAGCTTGCCAAGTTTCCTTAAAACAAGTTTCTTGGGTTTTGATTGAAATTGCATTTAATATATAGATCCATTTTGAGTGAATTGATATCTTTACCCTATGTAGTCTTCTAATTTATGAGTACTTTATATACTTCCATTCATTTATTTTTTAACTTCTCATGATAATATTTTACTATGTGCAGAGAGGCCTGGCAAACCTCCTGGAAGATTCACTCACAGTTGTTGGTATCGGCCGATGCTGGATCGGCCTTCGTTTACACACCTCTGAAGGACAAACGTGGCAGCAGGGAGTTTATTTAGAGGACTGCCCAAGATCCAGAGAGGCAGGGTGGGACAGGGAAGAGAGGGAAGCCGAAAAAGAGTGTTATTGAACTAGAATCACTGTGGACACTCACAGCTTGGTCTCACAGAAATGAATGGGCCTCAGGGTTTCCCCCTAAAAGGGCAGGTTGGCACATTTGCCAGTGGTCCCACCCTCCAGTGGCTGAGGGCTGCCTCAGGGATATGGATGCTCCTGGCCTTCTGCGTGCCTCTGAGCCCCCTGTGCAGGGACTTCTGTGGCTTGGGTGAATGCCCAGAGGCGGAAACCCAGAGACCCCAAGATGCTCCCTTGATGCGGTCCCTGGAATGCGTGTGGAACTGTCCACCACGGCTGTGCTGAAATCAGGTTGGCCAATGGGATGTAGCTCAGGCACTGCAAGCATCTGCCACGTTTTCTTTCTTTCTTTTTAAAATTTTGTTTGCTGTTAGTAGAAAGATATCCAATTGATTTTTATATATTGACCACAACCCAGGAACTTTTCAAAATGTCCTCATTAATTCTAGTAATTTACCTATGGATTATTTTGGATTTTCTACCTACACGGCTATATCATCTGTGAAAAGTGACAGTTTTACTTCTTCTATAGAAGTCCCCTGCCTTTTACTCCTTTTCTTGCCTTATTGAAGTACTTAGATCTTCCAGTGCAATGTCAAACAGAAGTGGTAAGGACGGGCAATGCTCCCTTTCTCTAAAGAGACATTTCACAGTTAGAGCAGGATGTTTGCTGTAGGTTTTTTGGTGACATTCTTTATTGGGTTGAGAGCATTCTGTTCTCACAGTTTTCCAGGAGTTTTTAAATCAAAAGTGGATGTTGAAGTTTACTAATTTTTTTTTATTCTATAGAAATGCTGTTTCTTCCTTTTTCTTTTTTTTTTTCATGATAAACTACACTGGAACTCACTGCTATTCAGTTATTATCAAAAGGTCATTTGCAAGAAAAAACATTGAGGGAGGAGCCCCTGGAAGATATTTAGCTCACACATTGCACCACTGAGAATGTTAAAAAGAATTGTTTTTCATTGTTTTTGTTTGCTTGTTTGCTTAACAGATTGATGGGCCACATACCTCCAGTGAAGCCTCTGGGCTCCTTCTCAGAATAAAATTTCCCAGAGCATAAAATCAAATAAAATATAGAGAATTTTAAATGAAACAAATTTTGTTGAAAGATGTCATTGCAAAGGAAGAAAATTAAAAATTTAAAACAAATTGGTAACTCTAAAAGTACAATGTTACTTTTAGAGTAACATTTGCTAACAAGGTCTAGCAGCAGGCAGTATAATTTTACAGTAGTACTGAGCCTATGTGGCATTTGGAGACAGCTTCAGCAGTGTCCGCACAGACAAACAGCATAACCGAGGCAAGCAAAATGTAGTGCACCCCAGCTCTTCTGGTCCTGAGATGGAGAATTTCCCAGGCAGGTCCCCACGTCGGCCACTGAGATGCAATGACAGCAGCTCTCCTAGCCCGACAGGACGTGGAACAGTGAGGTTACCTGGCTTGTTCCTACAGGGGCCTCCACTGCTAAAATGCAATTCACAAAAGGGCAACTTTTCTTCTTTCGACAAACATTACTGACCGCTGCCTGTGTGCCCAGGACCTTGCTAGCAGTGGAGACGAATGAGTACACAACACGGCTGGCACGTCCCTTCAAAACGTGAACCGCCCGGCAGGGGAGACGCAGGTGCAGCCACACGGCCGCAGTCAGCCCAGGCGTGGGGCTTCCAGTGCGTGTTCAATATGCACACGTGGCCCCTGTTTCATCTGATTTTTCCCATCCTTATTTTTTCTTTGTTCTGGTGGTAGTGCCTCTTTTTAAATTTTATTTTTATTGTGTGTACTTGCTTCTGGAAGCACCATTTCATTGTTTTGTTTTTAATAAGGTGTTTTTTCTGTGCCTGGGTTGGGATGGAGAGGGAATTAAGTAGGTGGACGAGTCCTTCTATTCCTGCCCGGCAGGACCTCAGGGTCTACTGAGCACTTCTACTTTCTGCTGTGGTGTCAGGCAAATGTGGACATGAGGACACCCCATCCAGGGTGGATGGAATCCTGGCAGCCCCAGGCCAGGGTGGGGAGGAGGTGGCACTCATGTGCTGAGCCGTCCCAGGGGACAGCTTCCTCGGTCTGGCAGAGTGGAGCCCAGAGCTTCAACTTTTGAGGGCACTGAGGGCAACCCAAGAAGGATGGGCTGGTGATGCCTCCTGCAGCCCCATAAACACACCCCAGGTTATAAGGGATGGTTCCCTGGGGGAAATACATTCAGCCACTTGTGGGCCACATGGCACACTTACATCTGCATCTGATCCTGGGGCATGCCCCATTCATAAGCTCAGCTCTTGGCAAACTGCACCCCATTCACAAATTCTGCTGCATGGCAGCTTTTGCAAAAACTTATTTTTGGTAAAAGTTTTGTGTGTGCGTAAAAGTTCTCAGCGTCTCTGACTTCCCCACTTCACTCTCCCAGGTTGCAAACCAAGCTCCTCCCAGATTCGCTTTCAGTGACTTCTTGGCCCAGACCACTGGGGTTGTGGGAAGGGGACAGGGAAGCTCTGTTCTTGGTGCTCAGGGTGGAGGTAAACTGTATCCTGTGTCTCTTAAGAATTTGTTTCTCTTTTGTATAGAAGACAGAGAACAGAATAAAGAGTGTGTGATTTTTTTTGGTAAACTGTTTGTGCTTTCTCTGTAATAAAGTATGTTACTTTTCTAGCACAGGGTAGCTTTGGCATAGTAAACAACATAGGTAATGATGTTATCTTTTCCAAGGAAGCCGCCATAAGCATGCTTCACATTTTCTCCCACATGATGGAAAAAGAAAGAAAGATTTTCGCTCCTCATTTTAGCATTTCATTCCATTGCAAAGGGCTTTGGGCTTGGAATGACACACATTCCATAATCTCTATAGTCATTCTGAATTCCAAACATGCTTCTGCATCTCCATGTCTTCTGAGCTTCGTGGCTCTTATCTCTGAAGTGCACTGCTGGTCTATCGGCAAGAATTCAAGAAAAGCAGACCTCAGCCTTCTATGCATCTTTTAATTTGGCCAAAATTAAGTGAGAATAGCAAATCGTGCACTTTTTAGTCCAAATGGAGACTTCATTGTGAGCTACAAAGCCAGTTTGATTTTGCAGAATCCCATTAAATGCCGGTACCTGATAAACATTTCTTGACGTTGTTATAGTTGGCACCTGCTGATTGGGAATCAGTTTGCTGAGAAAGGACATGTTTGTCCAAATGCATGGGAGGGAAATGAAGGGTGGCTGCTCGGAGCGCTGGGCCCTGTAACTGAAGGTGTGTTTTCTGGGCACGCTCCTCCTCGGCCACACTAGGGCGTGGTCTGAAGCAAGGCGGGTCTCTCTGTGCCTTAGGCCCCTCATGAGGACAGGCCAGTGCATTAGAAAGCTTGTTGATATCTACACCTGTGGATGTGTCATATACAGCGAGCAACATTCCAGGGCAGTAAAAAGTAATCTGTTACTGAGGAATCGGGGTTTGCCGAGGCTGAGAACTTGGTCTCTGCGTGGCTTTCGACATCATGCACACATCTGCTGGAGCATCCCGGGAGCAGCAGGCCCTGCCAGCCTCCAGGGTCAGACTTCAGGTCAGGAGGCCACAGTCACAGCATCGAGTCTCCCATGGGGCAGGGTCTCAGCCTGGCCTCCTTTCAGGAACCTCAGCTTTTGTGCACACTGATGAGAACTGCACAGGGTCCTAGCTTCTGACAAAAACACTTCGTAGTGCATGGCCCAAGGAAGGCAAGGCAGGATAGCAACCACCTTTAAATAGAAAAGAAGAAAGGCCAGGGATGAGAGAGCGATTAGAGATTGTCTGATTCAACTTTCCCCAAGACCTACAGGGGCCACAGATGGACAGGCGTACATCACCCCCAGCAGGGGAGGAGGAAGCCCCAGCTCCTTCCAGCAAGGTGCGTTTGAAGCTGTGCTGGCCTGCAGGTCCAGGCTGCTGCCAGGAGTGAGAACTGAGGGAACCCCACACAAACCCCCGAGGGCCCCGTGTTGCCCATGGATTGGAGCCAGAAATGCCAACAGAACTGCCCTCCACCCGCCAGGCTGAGGGCCTCAGAGGGACAGCTGGTAGATGGACTTTTCAGGAGCAGCAAAGGGCATCCCGTGGTCGACGATGTGGAATGCGATGCCCACGGGTAGCAAACCGTGACACACGCTACCACCTGTGGCCAGAACAGGGGACCCCAGCACCAACTCGGGAGCCCCCAGCAATATCCCCCATTGGCTGGGAGCTCAGGCTCTGAGGCAGAGGGCCTGGATTTGAGTCACTTTGGATATGTTATTGAGCCTCTCGACACTTGAGTTTTTCCTTACCTAAAAAGTCGGGGCTGGGGGTGGTGGCTCAAGCCTGTAATCCCAGCACTTTGGGAGGTTGAGGCGGGTGGATCACCTGCGGTCAGGAGTTCAAGACCCAGCCTGGCCAACATGGTGAAACCCCGTCTCTACTAAAAATACAAAACATTAGCCAGACACGGTGGCACATGCCTGTAGTCCCAGCTACTCGGGAGGCTGAGGCTGGAGAATCACTTGAACCTGAGAGGCAGAGGCTGCAGTGAGCCAAGATCATGCCATTGCACTCTAGCCTGGGTGACAGAGTGAGACTTCGTCTCATAATAATAATAATAATAATAAATAAATAAAACATGGGGACGATAATGTCATCTTTTATAAAGCGATATGAGGTCATCCTTGTGCAGTGCTTAGCATAATACCTGGCACTTGGTACTTAGCAAATGTTAACTATTATTAAGTGTCTGTAATGTATAAATAACTACACGAAGTAAACACATTCTCCATGAACAGGGGCCATGATTCAGCGTGCACTCGTGCCATTCTAGTCACCGTTCCGGGCACAGCCACCTCTTTCAGCTCCCCTCATCTTATTCCGTGTCCTATGCTTTTGCTACTGGAGTGTCAGGAATTTTCACACCATCTGAAGCTGCATGCCAGACAAAATATCAACACGGGGCCCAGCTGGGAGGAGCACTCAGGTGCAGGGGTGATGGGCTGCAGGGTGCATGTGGCTGGCTTTCCCTCCTTGCCTGTGACGGGCTCTTCAGGAATGAGATCCTGGGAGGAGTGGGAAGGAGCCGTGAGGGGTGAAGCATTGGAAACAGTTCCCACTTTCAAAAGGGAGCCTTACCCACAGGATGTTTGCTTGCCTCTGACTTCTCGGGGGCCACAGGGCCACTGGCCCAGAGGGTCTCCAGGCAGCTGTTGGAGCTCAGGCCCTGTCAGCTAAGCGGTTTCTCTCCACCGCAGGCGTTGCTGCTCTCACGTTGCCAGATGAGGGTAACTTGCAGTTTCTGCAGAGCCAATGTTCAGAATTAAAACACATTTACTATGACACGCAACGCCCTGTGTGGTGGCTGGATCGCAGCACCAATGG
The DNA here is from genome assembly GCF_000001405.40 of Homo sapiens. NCBI lineage: Eukaryota > Metazoa > Chordata > Mammalia > Primates > Hominidae > Homo > Homo sapiens. Next base: position 156,381,170 of record NC_000007.14, on the reverse strand, counting down.
GTGAAAACATCTTTAAACTACCAGTCTATATTTCAGCTGTATTTACCCACTGGGGACTGGTGGATTCAGAGCTGTCACTCAGAGCTGGAAACACACCTGTGGTTCTGGTAGCTTGGGCTCCAGAGCTTCTGATGTTCTGGGCTGAGAGTGGCTTGCACAGGACCTGGGGTGGTCCTGCCTTGAGTCCGCCCACCCCCTTCACATAGAAGGGTGGCCCTCGGTTAGAGACTGCCGCTGCGAAGCAGATCACAAACACACTTGATTTCAGGACGAATGGCTTTCTGATAGGTGGTCTTTGATTAATAGATGGCCTCTCAGAGAATAGCCCACAAGCCAGGCTTGTCTCCACCATGGACAGTTTAGGAGAACAACTTGGTTGATCCTTAGCCTTCTGCTGCACGGCTTAGGTCAACCGATGCCTCCTTCCAGAGAACAAGAAATTCATCTTCGTTTTTTCCCCTCCTGAAACGTGCAGCAAGGTGCCTCCCAGATTGCTTTCCTGTGTTCCTGAATGTGTTTTGTAACTTTGGTATGTACCTATCAGGTGGAGACCATTTTTTAAAATAGAGCCATATAATTGCTTGGTGAAGATTTATTTCATGAAAACACTCAACTTCCTTTGTTGTACTATGAACCCAAGATTACGAAATTCAGAAACCCAGGACTGCACAGTGTAAGAAATGACCTGTGCCAGGGCTTGATCGAATTTGATGAACAGCCAGGAAGCAGGTCTCAGGTAGCCTTAGCCAAGAGGCCATTCTACTTTCATTCAAGCACCCGAGTGACTCAGCAGGAAGTCCTTTACATGGTTTAGACCATCAAATATTTTCCAGGGAGTTTTATAATCTTCCACCATCGTCCTTCTGAAGGCTGTTGATGGGTTAAATAGTGACTGTTTGGGGACATGTCTTCTAAAAGTAGGAGCAAATTGCATGAGTCTTATTGCTACGATTTTTCTTCTAGAGTTGAGCATTGTTCCTGAAATGCAAGACAGAAAGTCGCAGTGCTTTTTCTGTGGTTATGATTAAACAAAAATGAGAGAAACATGGGGAAAAAAAAGCCATGGGGACTCTGCCTCTTCCTCCGTCCTACTTAGAAACTAATGCTTTCTCCTCCTTTGAAGAATGATGGGATCACCTTAACTTTTTCAAATGTCTGAGAGTTAAAAGCTGCCTCTTGAACCTGCAGTCCTTTAAAATTTACGGAGGAACATGCTACATCAGGCTCAACGAGGCCGGCCTTGCATAAAGTCAATACTTGTCTAAAAGCAAATACAATCTTCGAATACAAGGTCAAAGTGAAAGAATGGCATCTCCCTCTGGCTTCCCCCAACCACTCGTCTCCCTTCAAAGGCTGGAACGGTGCGCTGGCTCCTTGTGTGGGTCAAATGCGTGTCACAGCAGACACTGGAGTTAATGTTAAACTCAAAATTAATAGATTAGATAACCGTTACATGCTTTTAGTGCCAATTAATTTAATAGCTGTTTTTTAATTCTTCCTTTTACAAGGCAGGAAAATATAGTGCATAGTTTCCTGTGGTGAGTCCTCAGGTAGATCTTTTGTGTGGCAATTGCCACCAATTGATGGGGCTGACACGTGTAATCCCCTCCGATGCGGCTCTGGTATGATGTCAGGCAGGAGCTCTTCAAGCAGGGCTATTAAAAAGCACATTAACCATGCTCCTTGCTGTAAGATTTATGCTAGCTTATGCTAGAATAACAATGATGCAGTGGTATTTGTTTGAAAATGAAAGGATTATATGGTCTTTGTAAAATGAGGAATTTCGTTCTGGGGAGGGGCAGTGAAATGGTGATTTATTTTTTGTTTATGTTCCACGAATCCTTTGATATGTCAGCTTCTGTCACTAAGTATTAGGACACTTGTAATTTCTTGAATCAACTGAGATGAAATACAAATGGCTTCAAATAATTTGTGTCAAAAACTCAACTGTGCAACCTCAATGCCAGTGCTTATTGTAAGATTACAATGTACACGGGCTACCTGGTCTTAAAAAATCTGCAGGCAATTAAATTTTGTGTTTTAGGTGAAAAAAGCCACAATTCTCCCTATAGTAGCTAATGGTAAGAGGAGTGTTTCTCTTCCTTCCAGTTTTGTTCCAGGAAGAAACTATAAAAGCAGCGACTCCTGGGGCGTTTTGGTCACTTTCCCAGACAAAGCTGGTGCCGCTTTCAGGACAGCCGCCATTCCTCTGATCAGCTCTCAGGAGTCTAGAATGTTCACGTAGGGTCTTTTCTAAGGAAAGAAATTGCTTGAATTTTGGGGTGTGATAAAGCAACGGCCTTCGGGGAGTGTGCCTTCCTTCCCGTCCCATACATGGGAGCCTCTCAGGACCCCACGGGTGTGAAATGCTTGCTTTCTCTCACCCTCCCGCCTCCTCCCCTACACCCCCAGACACACGGGGGCAGCGGCCACGGGGCCTGTCTCACTCTCAGCACATCCCGGACAATTAGTTTTCATTTGTGGATGATTGGATGGGTGAATAGGATCCACTAGTCTTCAGATGAAGAAAGCCAGGACCAACAAGGCGGACTCCCTCGCAGAGGCCACCCAGCCCCTCCATAGCAGCCTGGGTCTCAAGCTCAGGTTTCTGGACTCCGGGTTCAGAATCTTTAAGGAACATGGGTGTGGACACTTCCTGATGGCTTGGGGCTGCCACTTCCCCCACAATAAGTAAACCAGCCAGAAAAAAACCACCTCAAACAAAGCCAACCTGACTGTCATTCCCACCGGCAACAGCTCGGTCTCCCTGACACACTTATTGTACATAATGTTTTATGAGTGATAGTGTCTGCTAGCATTTTCCTCTATTGTTGAATAACTAGAGTGTAAAGAAAGTAACAGACACCTCTTATTTCCTCTTTCTTTTTTTTTCCTTGTTTGTGCTGCCATTCTTTAACAAATTGACTCCAAAGAATACATTCTATGAAAAATTAGAAATGATGCAAATTATATCACCAGCTAAAAGAATAAAAAAATAGTGTGAAATCTGGAGAAGATCTTGGCACTTCTTAATAGAAAACTCGAGGCACCCAGAGTGATATGAATTGCTGTGAGGTTACTGAAGACAAGGGACTGGGGATGCAGATGGGTCATTTTTTTTTTTTTTTTGAGATGGAGTCTCGCTCTGTTGCCCAGGCTGGAGTGCACTGGCGCGATCTCGGTTCACTGCAAGCTCCACGTCCCGGGTTCACGCCATTCTCCTGCCTCAGCCTCCTGAGTGTCTGAGACTACAAGTGCTCACCACCATGCCTGGCTAATTTTTTTGTATTGTTCAGTAGAGACGAGGTTTCACCATGTTAGCCAGGATGGTCTCGATCTCCTGACCTCGTGATCTGCTCGCCTCGGCCTCCCAAAGTGCTGGGATTACAAATGTGAGTCACTGCGGCCAGCCCAGAATGGGTCATTTTGTGATGAGACCCTTGCAAGATGCCTGGTCTTCGTGTGACGTTCAGAGGAATCACACTCGATCAGAGAATAGTCGGCTCTTAGAAGGCACATTGTTTCCCATTGTTTCCTTACACGGGAAGGTCTTCCTCTGCAGTGCTGAAGTCCCAGCCTCGGTTTTACCTGAAGGTAAGTCTAGAAGGGACGGCTAGATGTTCTGGCTAATACCCATCTCCTAGGTGGATATGTCCTTTGGAAAAAAATCATTATTGAGCCATCTGGGAATCAGAAATAACAGAAATGGAGTTATTCATTTCCCATGATTAATTATGCATCAGGAGCGTATGGCTTGGTGGGGTTGGGACGAGCTTGATGAGTGTGAAGCATAGATCTCATTTCTCAGCCCTGGGAAGGTCACCTGCATGACCTTGGGGACTCCTGGCCTCAGTTTTCTCATCTCTACAATGGAGAGTGCAGGTGTCATACAGAAAGAATTAGACAAGTAGTAAGAAAAATGGCATCTACTCTTCCACATCTGTGAGATACGAGCCATGCTGGATGCTTTCTCTTTAACTTGCAATTCAGGACTCTTCACTTTCTAGCCCCAACCCCTTTGCTCCACTGTCTGGGGAGCTGTGTCCCTCGTCACCACCCCCCGGAGTGCCTGGCTCCCTCATGGAATGGTGCTTTCATCACAGATGTCCTCTGGAGCACATGGGGGCAGGAAGGACACGATCTGGTCAGAGAGGGCCACTACGTAGACAGAAACAAGCTGGTGTCCCTTGTCTGTCGTGCACACTGACACAGACATGTGTGTGCACACATATGTGCAGGCAGACAGACATGCACACACATGCTTACACAGGCACACACACACCCTTGATGTCTTGTGTGTTTATTTCTGAATCCATTTATTTTTAACTTTTCATCCTTTTCTAGCTGGACAAAACAAAGCAGAAAATATTTTTTGTTTTACTCCAAGAAAGCGGAGAAGGGTTGTAATTTATTTCTAAAAGAAACTTTATAAAAAAGGAAAGAAAATAAAACTGCTGAAGGTGGACATCTTAGATCATTGCCAGTTTGGAGAGACCTCGACAAGTTCACATTGATATTTGGCCCCTTGTTCTTGTGAGAATACAGTTTTTAGTCTCTTTGGAGTGAGATCATCACAGCACATTTTTAAACCTCTGAGCGGCTGCACTTGATCTCTGCAGAGCTGCTGGGGCTGCAGTTGCTCCCTAAGCACTGGTCCCAGGGGAGAGAAGCCTTCTCTGAAACTTACCCACGAGGCGTCTGCTCTGCCACCCGCACAGCTCAGCCTGGGCCTGCTTGTCCCCGCGAAGGTGATCAGACTTCTGCTCATCTCCTTTTTGCCCTTTTGCCCATGTGCATTTAAAAAATGTATTCAGAATTTATTGAGAGATTCCAGTTTAGAACTAGCTATGTAAAGACAGCATTTTCCATCTTATCCTGTTGAAAATCACCCAAAAGCAGTGAGAAGAATGAGAATAAAAAATGCAAATGCCATCTTCACAACAAAATCAGGAGACATCTGTAAGCCTGAAACACAATATACAGGGAAGGCTGCCAAGGAGAGAGAAGGTCAGAGAGAGGCTCAGGAAGACTTTAGGGAGAACACCCACAGCTGCAGATCTCAGGAAATGCAGACAGAACCACCCCTTCCAGAGAAAGTGACCTATCCCATGGGGATGACCAACAACTGTTTGTTTGGAATGAGGGAAGAAAATGATGGGACTAAGAGCAGGTGTTTCCTGGGTGTAGTTTGCCATGAAGTCTCAAGAAGCAGAGAAGGCATGGAGACATTGAGAAATTATGCAGGGGGCTATATTTGTGAAAAACAAAAACAAAATAAAAATAAAAAACCCCAGCATATTGGTGAGGCAGGGTGGAGAGAAACTCCACATTAGGCACAGCCGTGCAGTCCTGTCTTGATTGGCTGGAGCTGAGTTAATCTAAATGAATTTACTCACACAGAGAACCTAAGATGTAAGGAGCACTCCTCCTTGCTTAGGATAAGGCCTGCAATTTTCTACCATGTGTAGCTTCATTCATTGGCACCTAGGAATTAATCCTCTTGCTCAATAATAAATTATAATCTTAAAGGTCTAAAACACCAGAGGGAAGTGTATTAAGTTAACAGGATGAACAGACAGCAAGTGAAAGCCCTTATTTGTAAAATATTTCTAAACGGCAAACAACAATTGTGAGCAAACAAATCACTATGAAATTTTAACACTAAGAAAGGAATTTACTTCTGTAAAAGAAGAATATGAATACAAGGTATAAGAGCTCATGAAATATTGTCTAGCTGTAGAGAATAATCAACTATAGGCTGCCAGACTTCAGGAAAGAGTTGAGTAAAACCATAAAACTGTTATAGGCAGGAAAGTTGAATTGGGAGCCTCAGAAAGAAGAAATAGTTGTAAAAAACACTCTAAGGAACATGGAGGATAGGACTGAGACAAAGTGAGCAAAATGAAATGCAAATGAAAAGATGAGAGAAGACAGAAAAAAAGATCCATGATGCACATCACTGTCTCACTGAAGAAAAAACCAAAATTATTATTAGGTAAATTAAAAATACGTATACTTTAAAAAGTGTTTCAGAACTAGAAGAATCAAGGCTTCTAGTTCTAGCATGGTGGCTCATGCCTGTTATCCCAGCACTTTGGGAGGCTGAGGCAGGTGAATCACTTGAGGTCAGGAGTTTGAGACCAGCCTGACCCTGCCTCTACTAAAAATACAATAATTAGCTGGGCATGGTGGCAGGTGCCTGTAATCCCAGCTACTCGGGAGGCTGAGGCAGGAGAATCGCTTGAACCTGGGAGGCAGAAGTTGCAGTGAGCTGAGATTGTGCCATTGCACTCCAGCCTGGGGGACAGAGCGAGACTCCATCTCAAAAAAAAAAAAAAAAAAAAGAAAGAAAGAAATAGAAGAATTAAATAATTTAGAAAGCACACTGTGATGCTAAAAAAAGACAAATGGTGAGCAATCTGCCAGATAGCCTGAAAGTATTACTGCACTTCAATATAAAGAAAGAGTACTTTGGGATCTAGAAAGAAGATGGAGACACCAATAGAAGGTATAAAATCTGACCAGCCATAGACTTTCTTAGCATAGCTTTCTATGTTAGGAGTGAGGTGACGCCCACAAGTTACTCAGGAAATGAAAACACAACAAAAGAAAAATGTATTTCAAGTCTGTGTCAGTTTTAAGACATATGCAAATTCTTTGACATGCCCCTGTTTGAGAGATTGGGTCTATTTCTCCACTCCTTGCATGCAGGCGGTTGTGGTTCCTTGTACAATGAAGTCTGGTGGAAGTGTCCCTTGAGCTGGGTCATGAAGCTGTGCCTGGCAACACTCATGGATGGAGCCACAGCCCCCGCGTAAACAGGCTCACTACCCAAAGGCCACTGTTCTGGAGAAGCCACAGCTGTGTGCTCTGGGAGGCAGCCCCAGCGTGGCCCAGCAGTCAGCCAGCCCAGCCCAGAGGCCAGACGTGCCAGCATTCTGGGAATGGACTCACAGCCGGGGTGCTCCAGCTCAGCCCTTTGAATTATCTCAGTGGTTGTCCAGGACATTGTAGACCAAAGAAGAGTCATCCCCATTGGGCTTTTTCTGAATTCCTGACACACAGATTTTTTTTTTTTAAAGATAGGGTCTCGCTCTGTTGCCCAGGCTGAGTGCAGTGTCAAAGTCACCACTCACTGCAGCTTCGACTTCCTGGGCTCAGGCGATCCTCCTGCCTCAGCCTTCCAAGTAGCTGGGACTCCAGGCATGTGCCATCACTCCTGGCTAATTTTTTGTATTTTTGTAGAGACGAGGTTTCACTGTGTTGCACAGGCTGGTCTTGAACTCCTGGGTTCAAGTGATCTGCCCACCTCAGCCTCTCAAAGTGCTAGGATTGCAGGCATGGGCCACTGTGCCCAGCCAGAATTTTTAAACATGATAAAATGAGGGTGGTTCTAAATTTAGGGTAGTTTTTCACACAGCAACAGATAAGCAGAACACAGCTGAACTAATGTTTAGGTATGAAAGGTGACAGGCAATTGCTTTTCTGACATACAAGAACTCAGATAATATAATTCCCATGGGTCATACCAAAGATTATTCTTAAAGATACTAGCAGATGACAAACTTCAGTCAAAGAGATGAATGACAAAACTGTAGTCCTCGTTACTCAGGAGGCTGAGGTGGGAAGATCACTTGAGCCTGAGAGATGGAGGCTGCAGTGAGCTGTGATTGCAGCACTGTACTCCATCCTGGGCAAGAGAGTGAGACCTTGCCTCAAAAAAAAAAAAAGTTTAAATGATAAAGATTATAAGAAATTATGTGATGTATGAGAATACTTGGGTAGAGGGTAAGAAGAAAATGAGAATGAGGATAGCGATAATATCATTAGCTTATATAATAGTATTTATTATATGCCAGTGTCAGTTTTACTTTATTGTGGATACTAATTTATTTACTTTCAAAAACAATAGTAGGTACATTTTGTAGATGAGGAAACTGAGCACAAGGAAGTTAAGTAAGCCTCCCAGAGACTCAGCTAGGGAGGAAGAGGAAGATGGTTTGGACACACACAATCACACTCCAGACTGCACTCCATTCACCACTCTGCTATCCTGGCTCTCATCAGGAAGATGTGGAAGCCTCATTGTGCTTGGCTGTTAGTAAGGTGTCCATGGATATTGTCTAAAACTGTGCTGTTCACAATAGAAGCCATGAGACACATGTGGCTATTTAAATTAAAACAAGTAAAGTTAGATAAAATCACTTTCTTAGTTGCACAAGCCACTATTCATGTGCTCAATAGTCACATCTGGCCAGGGCTATCATACTGGACTGCACAGTTATTGAACATCTCCATCTTAGCAGGAAGTGCTACTGGACAGCAGTGGTCCATGGAATAGTGTTTTCAGAATATTGTATAAAGTTATAATCTTAAAGCCACCTTTAGAACAAAATTAAAGACATTTAAAATTATTAGAAGAAACACACTGCTATGGTTTGAATGTGTCCCACAAACTTCACGTGCTGGAAACTGAACCCCTCAATTCAGATGTTGATTGGAGGTGGGGCCTTTGGGAGGTAATTAGGATTAGATAAAGGCTTCAAGGTGGAACCCCATGATGGGACTGGTGGTTTTAAGAGAAGAGGAAGACACCTGAGCTGACATGCATGCTCTCACCCTCCCACCACGCGATGCCTTCCACTGTGTTATGACATAGCAAGAAGGTCTTCACCAGATGCCAGCACCATGCACCATGCTCTTGGACTTCCCAGCCTCCAGAACTGTAAGCTATATAAATTTATTTTCTTTATAAATTACCCAATCTATGGTATTCTGTTATGCAACAGAAAATGAACTAAGACACACACACTGATACAACAAAGGCAAAGACCATCCAGCAGATAATAAAAAAAAAGAATTAAAAACAGAGACTCTAACAAAAATATAAAAGAAAATAAACTGCAGTGTTCATAAGAGTTAGTGAGCTAAATCACCTGTTAATGAGATTTTTAGATTATGTCATAACACAAAAGTCAACTATAAACTGTGTGTAAGACATGCATCTAAAACAAAATGTCTCAAAATGAATTTTTAAATACAAAGACACAAAGATTAAAGTTGAATTCTGGGCCCAAAGCATTATCTGAAACAAAGAGGGACAGTTATGCACCAAATTACATTTGTACCTAATGTCATAATGTTAGCGTTCCTAAAACAAAATCTACAGGACAAATAGAAGCACATTAGGGAGAAATCCTGAACTTGGTCTATGGGAGAAAAAGTGGTTTGAAAAAATGAGGTAGATACGTAAATACATATTGAGTTCTATACTTTAAAAAGAGACAGTGCATCTTTCCCCCAAATGATAAAATACTAGGGTACAATAAAACCTTAAAAATTCTGCAAAAGCAGGAATAGCACAGATAAATTTTTCTGACTGCAGTGAAATGAAACTAGAACGTAATAGTAAAAGTAGAAAACAAAACAAACGAATGAAAAAAACCCTCTACCACTCAAAATTAAAGACATCTCTATTTAACAATTTTTACATCAAAGAGGAAGTCAAAACAAATCATTACATCAGTGCAATGGAATGCTCTTTGTTATTAAAAACAATGAGGTACCTTTACGTGCACTGCTAAGGATGAATCATGTTGACCCAAAAATTCATCTGTTGACCCTAACCACAGTATGGCTGTATTTGGAGATGGGGCCTCTAAGGAAGGAATTACAGTCAAATGAGGTCAGGAGGATGGGGCCCCGATCCAATAGAATTGATGGCCTTATAAGAAGAGAAACAGATGAGAGTGTCCTCTCTTTACTCCCCCCCACCATCTCTTTCTCTCTTTGTGTTTGTTTCTCTGTCTTTTACCCCCACCTCCCTGAGTTTGTACAAGGTGAGGTCAGGTGAACACACAATGAGATAGTGGCCACCTATTATACAAGCCACAAAAATAGACCTCAGGATAAAAACCTACCTTACTGACACCTTGATCTTGGATGCTCAGACTCCAGAATTGAGAGAAATAAATTTCTGTTGTTTATGCCACTCAGTCTATGGCATTTTGTTATTGCAGCCTGAACTAAGATGCACACAGCAGTCCCCCCTTAGCTGTGGTTTTGCTTTCCATGGTTTCAGTTACCTGAGCTCAGTCCCAGTCTGAAAATAGCCAAGTACAGTACAGTAATACATTTAGAGAGAGAGAGAGGTCACACTCACATAACTTTTATTACAATATTTTGTGATAATTGTTCTATTTTATTATTAGTTATCATTACTGATCTCTTACTGTGCCTAATTTATAAATTCAACCTTATCATAGGTATGTATGTATAGAAAAAAACATAGTGTGTATATATAGGGTTTGGTACTATCTGTGGTTTTCGGCATATACTAGGGGTCTTGCAACAGAACTCTGTTGAATAAGGGAGAGCCACTGTATTATGGTTCAGGGCTTGGACTCATCAAAAGTGCCAGAAGATCATTAATATCCAGCTTTAGTGAGCGGGCTTCACATCAGCCAGATTAAGAGAAGCCTACTAGACTCTCAAAAATTTGAAAAGGTATTTTTCAAACAGATAATATGTGGATATGTACAAACTCAAAATGTCCTGAAGGATAGAAGGGAAGAAGAAAAATCTCCCTTCCCAGAGGCATCTCATGGTAGCTGAGAGATAGATAACTAGAGAGAGGATAGGCAGGTGGATAAAGATAGACAAATCCCTTGAGAAATTGTATATGCATATATTCATATACAATTATATGCATATATACATTCTTTTTTATAAAAGTTGTAGCAAATTACACACACTATCCTGCATCTTCCTTCTCTACTTAAAGTCAGGGGGGATCGTTTCATATAAGTGCAGAAGTCCCTCTCTAGCTATGTGTTCTAAATTCCCAGGGGTTGCCTAAAACTGGATAGTACCAAACCCTATATACATATATTATGTGTCTTCCTATACATACTGTATTAGTCCATTTTCACACTGCTGATAAAGACATACCTGAGACTGGGCGATTAACAAAAGGAAGAGGTTTAATTGAACTTACAGTTCCACGTGGCTGGAGAGGCCTCACAATCATGGCGGAAGGCAAGGAGGAGCAAGTCACATCTTACATGGATGGCAGCAGGCAAAGAGAGAGAGCTTGTGCAGGGGAACTCCTCTTTATAAAACCACCAAATCTCGTGAGACTTATTCACTATCACGAGAACAGCACAGGAAAGACCTGCCCCCGTGATTCAATTACCTCCCACCAGGTCCCTGCCACAACACTTGGGAATTCAAGATGAGATTTGGGTGGGGACACAGCCAAATCATATCACATACCTACCTATGATAAAGTTTAATTCATCAGTTAGGCAGAGTAAGGGATTAACAACAATAACACACAATAAAATGGAACAATTGTAACAATATGTTGTAATAGAAGTTAAGTAAATGTGGCTTTTTCTCTCTCTCTCCAAATATCTTACTGTACTGTACTCACCTATTTTCAAACTGCAGCTGGTCATAGGTAACTGAAACCATGGAAAGTGAAATCACAGATAAGGGGCGCCTGCTGTTTCCGCTGTGGTGAAAGCTTATGGACCCTCACATAGCCCAGTTCTAGAACTTAATCCATTCACGTGTCGTTTTTCCCTGTCAAAACACAAACTGAGCACCCTGTGTACTTTGGGAACCTCAAGAGGGTTCCAGTCTCCAGTCTGGGGAGCTATTGGGCTCATAGTTCCATGTTTATAAGATGATAACAGATGTTGACTGGGTTGATAATTTAGCCTTTCCTGTGCTATGTGTCTGTTCTTCAGTTGCCAGATTTTAGATTCTCCCTGATGACTGACTGACTTCATCTCTTCTTTTTCCTTTTGTCTTGGAGGTGACATTTTAAAATTACAGTCTTATCACAAAAATATCATTGTTCATATCATAAGAAGGGGTGGTGAGGTTCTTACAAAGCCTTTAAAATGTTCTTTTCTTTTTGTAGAGACAGTGCCAGTCGTCCTGATTCATTGAGTGCTGGGATCATGTCTTAGGTCCTCTCTGTCCCCTCTGAACAGGTCGTGTACAGGATCTTAGATACCTGAAATCCTCACTGAACCCTGGGTCCTCTGCTCTGGATCATGGACTCTTGTTTCTGCTGGGTAAGACCCTGGCAGTCCCACCCTTTCCACTCTCTCTTCGCCTCGGTCTTTAAGAATCTCACCTTTCATTGTTGGGAATGTCCCTGTTTTCCCTCAGGGATCCACATTTTATGCCTCTTTCCAAGATCATGTAAATCTCATTGTTTCCCCCTCCAAACCTTTTCAACTACTTCAACCAATTCCAATCTCTAATTCCAATCTCTTCTTTCCCTGAATTCCCATTTAGGATATTGCTCTTTAAATTGTCTTGATTGGAAAGACTTGATGCCTTACGAAAATGACAAACCCTTGAGCATCATTTCTCATGTTCTAAACAACACCTGAAGTGAGCTGGGCACCCAGGAAGGGCTCAATGACTGTCTTTTCACTGCTTGATTGACATGCACGCTTGCAGGGTGTCGCCTGGGGACAAGCAGTGAGCGAGGCGGCCCAGCATGTCAGCAATCTTGCACCATGCAGGCCTGGCTTACTTGGGTTTAATTATTGTACAGATGTTTAATAGCCTGTATTGTGTGTGCGTTTCCTAAATTGTCCTAGTTTATCCATAACTGACTTAGGGGATATGCAGGTTAAAATATTGGTGGTTTAAGAAGGATGGAAACTTGAGTGGCAGAAGATTAATAATTGCTGTAAAAGTGAAAGCAGAGATGAGTTTTTAAGGCTTTGGCAAGGGAAGGATGATGACTCTGCAGGCAGCCCTGTGCTGAGAGGAATCCACTTCCCTGCAATGTCCTCCCCGTCGAATGCTCCATGAACCTTCTCTTTAGAACTCACCTCTTGCAATGCCTCTAATTCAGAGAGGGGGTTGTTTTTCCAAGAGCTGATCCAACCTTTGCGTAACTGATAAATTACAACAGAAAATTAGGCTGGAGTGGAAAAAAACAGTTTGGCAATTACAGTGATTGCCTAACACAGCTGGCCCTTCCAGTGTCCCACGTCCTCCGCCTGCCAGCTCTGCCTGGGCATCCCAAGTGACTGGCTGGCACGTCTAATGAAAGATTAAATGTTGAGGGAAAGGTTTTTTAAAGTGAAAGTAATAAAGATTTTAAAGAGATTTTTTGGTGTAGGTATTGTTCAGAGGTAAAGATAGGCTTGACATTGTCATCAATGGGTCCACAGCTTGGAGTTGCAGCAAAGATGGTGAGGTGCCTTTCATCTTACTGAGCTCCTAAGTCCCACCTCATCAAAGCAGTCTTCCCTGAGATCATACAGAACAGAGAATCTCAGAAGTGACATTATTAGGAAATTAAAATTCCCTAACTTTATCGATGAAGGAATTGAAACCTGGAAAAGAGCACTGAACTCCACCCAAGACGTTCAGCCAATGACCGTTTACTGTTTAACTGGCCAGCCATTCTCACACTTTCTAAATTTGTCTGAGCGTTTAACCACTGTGCCCTTGTTTTTTCTTTCTACCTCGTTGTTTCTACTGGAAGAATAGGCTACTTGATGGCAGGGAATGTTCTTTATGTATTTTTATCTCCACTGTGACTTTCACATTGTAATATGGTGCTAGATAGTAAATGGTGCTCAGTGCTGGTTGAATTTGCATAAATATAAGTAAATCACCAATTAGTTAAACTATTGTAGATAGCTAAGCTCTTTAGCTGGGGCTCAGTTAAAACCGTGTCTTTGAGATGCTGTGTTCACAAGTTGCATTTGTCTTTCTTTAATTTTTATGTATTAGTAGGCACATTCTTTGGCGTTACCAGTATCGTCCAATTTGGAAGGGCTTTATTAATTTATTTATATTATACTCATTAATTCATTTCTCCATTCATAAAAGGAGGCTATCCCTCACAGGGAGGTGTTAAACAAAGACATCACAGTAGGCCAGAGAGCACAGTCAAAAAATTAGGAAGCGTGGATCTTCTTCAAGCCTTGACTGACTGGCTTATGACCTTGCCTAAATTATCAAAACCCTCCTGGTCTCTTATTTTTCCATACAATGAAGAAGCGGAACCAGATGATCTAGGGTGCGGACACAGCCAACGCTCCGGCCCGTCTGCGTGTCCCGAGAGCAAACAGAAGGTCATCTAAGGCTGTGGCCTGGGGCCTGCGCTGCGAGCTTCCCTCTCCTCTTCTGAGGATGCTGCTGGGCCTCGTCTGTTCAAGGTCTGCTAGGAACGTTGCCGCAGTCACGGCCGTGGAGCAAATGTGGGAGGCTGTGGCATGCTCAGGGTGAGATTCTTTCGCAGTGCCGCTGAAGCCATCCTGTGCAGGGTGACTGGAGTCGCCTCACAAGTGGCTGCCACGTGGCAACATGTCACTCGGAATAAAGGCCCCAGGAATGCCGGACTGTGAAGCCTCCTCCCTCTCACTCTTCCCGACACTCCTCGTAGGGGCTCAGGGACCCATTGAAGGCAGGAGGATTCCCTCTGTGGAATTCCCTGGGTGAGAGGACTCAGGGTGACAGGGGCAGGCTGCAGCGGGGAGAGAAGGAGGGTGTGTGGACACCGGACCTCCAAGTGCGGCAGCCCCAGGGGGAAAGCATAGAGCCTGGCCCTGCCTTCTCACCCTGCCTGCGAGTCCTGGTCTGGACCTGGGCCTTGGTTCTCCTGTTTCCCGTGGCTGCTGTGAATGGCCATCAGTCTGCTTTTCAGGGAAAGCACTCCTTCTCTTCAACAAGTGCTCAGTTTATCATTTAAAGGTCAGCCTGTCAGCTCAGCACAAAGGAAAACACAGGTTCTTAACCACGAAAGGAAGGTGGACAGAGTGGTCCGCATGTCTCATTTCCTAGGATGGTGGAAATCATCTGGTCTTAGCCACTGCTCCTGTCCAGACTTCTCATTTTATGGATGAGGCATTGAGGCCCAGAGGGGTCAAACAGCCTAAGGTGACAAGTGACTGCTGGAGCCGAAACCTGCAGCTCCGCCACCTCCCGTTCCTGTAGACGGATTTTCCCACCTGCTCTGCCACCAACTGCTTTGCCCAGGATCAGCCAGAAAATGGAAGGCTTGAGTTTGGCCTTGTTCACCGTTGGTTCATTCCTGATAAGAAAGGCACCCACAGGCCAGCTGCTCTTCCGCGGGGGCCTCAGCCCTGCTTCTCAAACTCTCCGTGTTTCAGTTTCCTCATCTGCAAAGTGGGAAAAGACTCACCTTCCAGGTTACTTAAATCAGTTGTGAGATTTCAAACCAATTTAGGTTGAAATGTAAAACCCACAGTGAAACTGGCGGGGAAAGTCAGGAGAAAAATCTCAGCATTGACAAGGGGACAGCCAATTCAATGAAGTGTTGGTTTAATGAGCGCCAGCTGCATGCCCAGGACCCTGCAAAGGGCTGGGGCACGTGAGAAACCAACATGCCCCTCAGACCGAGGGGGTGGGCCTTCCCAGGGAGACGCAGAGCAGACACCCGGGACCAGCCTCAACCTCAGTGCAGCCGAAACGTGATGGTCAGAAGCCGGGCTGGTCCTGAGCTGCCGGCGGGCTGGGGCTGAACTCAGCATTTTGGTGCCAGCATGTGCCTATGCGAGCAGGAGGAGGCTGCGGTGGGTAGGTCCTGACCACACGTGGGCCCCACCTGGAAGCAGGGCTCACACACACAGTGCGTCTCCTCATTGAGAGTTCAAAATGTGAGGACAGGACGTCACCAACTGCCATGCAGCTGACTTCCAGGCAGGGACCATGACTTTCTCCTGTGAGCCCCGGTGGTGCCACGGAGAATCTGGTCTGCAGGGGGATGGGGCCACCTCTGCTTTCAGGGCCTCAGTTTCCTTGTACATCAAAGAGGGGTCAGGCAGGGGGCACCATCCAGTTTCTTCTGGTTCAGTTGTTTGTAAATTCCACGTCAGAGAACACGGAATAAAAAATGCAAACCATTGAGTCAGCGCAGGGGGCTGTAGTGACATATTCATGAGCAGCGCTGCTGTCTTGGAAGGCTCCTGATGGGGCATCCAAGGCAGCCGGTGAGAAGCCTGGGGACGCGGAGCTGGGTGTGATCTATTTCATTGGTTTGCATGCAGGAGAGGGGCCCGTTCGCGTGTGTAATTGTGAGATTCTGTGAGAGATCCTCTGCACGTGGTTTAGCAGGTGCACTTTTTCATCAGGATGCGTAGAGTTTGTGTCTGAACGTGGCCCCAGGGGACGGATGGGAGGCTCGAGAACCAGCCACGACTGGCAAGCACCACAGGAGCAAGATGCGCTTAGGAATATTGACCTTCCAATGGCGGCTTCCCAGTCTAACGGGCAGTCATGAGTTTTTCAATTGTTGATGAAGAGGTGAATATTCTTCACCTGCCCAGCAATGATTCCAACACATCTGCTCCCAAACCTCTGCCCTCTCCCGTCTCTCAGCAGCCTATCATCCTCAACTCTCTTGGCGCCAACACTACTGCTTCCATGTCTTGAATCCTGTTTAATACATGCACGACCTTTATGACCTTTCCCCAACCACCCATCTTCCTGGTGTCATTTCTGGAGCTCCTCCTCTTCTGCCGTCTCACCCCCTCGTCGGAGGGGAGCTAAAATGCATGGCTCCAGGCTGGGCCCAGGTCCAGATGTCTTCTTGCAAACCCCACCACCAAGCTTGCATTAGTAACCATACTCATAACTATATCCTTGAGTGGTGACGTTTGGTTCACAAAAGCACTTTCAGAGTTATTTTCTAATCTGAGTCTCATGACAATCCCAAGACAGGCATTTCTAACCTCATTTTCAGCACAGAAACTGTAAGAGAGAGGTAAACCGTTGCACAACAGCACCTGGGTAGCAAGTGTGGGGCAGGACCCAGTTTCTTGGTTTCAAGCTCAGTGCCTGTTTACCTGGAACCTGCGGGGAACCCTTGGGTAAAACCCTGACACGAACCCACCTTCCTGGAGGTGCCCACCCCCCAAGTGTGAACAGTAGGACACATCTCTCAGATTCCATGAGACCAGTGCCAGGAGAGCCTGGTCACACACAGACAATGATGACTAAGCTGTGCTGGGTGCAGAGTGCCCCCCAGTTCAGGCTCACCCTGGGGAGAGATTGGAGATGAATCCTTTTCACCCCCAGCTCTTAACTGCTGCTGCCTAATTCTGATCCTCCGGTCTACTGAGGACTTCTGAAACAAATGCTTCCCGACGTGATCACTTAAATAGTAACGCAACAGAAGATATTACTGTGCTTCCCCAAGGAGCTCACACGCTCCCAGCAATGACTTGCCATTAGAAATGATTACCCTGTTAGGGAATTTGTCTTTTTCTTTCAAGGCTTCTGGGATAAATTGCACAGAATAATGCCTGGCAACAGAGTAGGCACTTAATTAAAAGATTTGTGGAGTGCTTAATTAATTAATAATATAGTCATGCAAATTTAAGAAAAAATGACACTTCTTGTTTGGTGTCTGAAACAGAGGGATTTGGGCTCTACTTTCTTTTTCTGAGCTCTCTTTTGGGGTGGCATAGTGGAGCAGGAGAGGTAGGTCAGTGGGGCAATATTTTGGAACTGCCACTGGGAAAAATTTTGCTTGTTGCTTTTTCCTTGCTTTAGTGGTTAAAATACACTAGCATATTATTTTAAAACCTCTTAGTAATGCCTGAACCAATTCAAAGAAATGGAGAAAAACCATAAGTGCAAAAGTGATCCACAAAAAAAGTGTTTGAGAACTGAGGCTGTCCAGCTAGTTTAAGTGCCAGTCAGAGGGTAACTGGCCCTGGTCCCTGCTGTGTTGGTCAGTGGCTCTGACCAAAGCTGATGCGTCTCAGCAATGCTGGGCTCCTGGGTTATGCAGAAGCTGACGCCTCGGGACAAGGTCATCTCTGAACGAAGGAGGCCAGATCGGTCAGCAAGGTGTCCTGGTTACAGAGCAGGTGAGGAAGTGTAAGTTTTGGTCTGAGGTTTGGAAGCAGGGTCCAGAAATCTATACAAGGGAGGCCCTGGGCTCTGATATTCAGGAGAGGCCATGTGGCAGGAGTTCCTCAGTATCAGAATTCACTGGAAGAGGAGCCTGCTCCAGATGGAAAGGGTGCAGTTGAGAGACACGGAAATGCACTTTGGCAGCTGTGCCCTGGGGCCTGGGCTTTCCTTGGTCATTTTGTTGCCGTTCCATTCAGAGCAGCTTGCAATGCCACATCTCAGTCTGACCTCGTTTCCCTACGAAATAACTAGGAGTTCTAAAGAGAGCCTCACTCAAGAGACTAAAGTCTTCCAAGAAGTTTGTGCCGAAAGGCCTGTTGTGGATAGGAAATTAGCCAAGCCATTATGACATTTCGAATGTCCTTTTTGTATTTCTACATGTTTTAATGAAAACATTGAATTGCTTCTTGAAATGATAAAATTGCAACCACGACACGTGTCCCATGGGGTCCAACTTCATTTTTCCGCCAAAACCTAGTGCTGCCTTTGAGCCCGGACAAAACCAAACTAAACCAAAATAACAGCAGCAGCAACAAAGGCAGGTGGCGTTTCTGTGTATGCCTCCATGCTTCAAACAGACAAACAAACAAACAACAGTGTGAAGATTGAGGGTTAATGGTGAAAATGATGCATGTGATCTCAAACTGGAACTGAAGTCTGACCCTCTCCACCTCCTGTTCAGCGATCGGAACTGCTCCCACCCCAGCGGGCCGCGGCCTATTAGGATGACATAGAAAGTCCCCGTGGCTCTATTGTGTTTCCAGCAGTATCTGTGGCTCTTACTAGGCAATAAAAATTGTGTCCTAATAATAATTCCCAAGACGGATCCCTTTTCTGATGCCTTTTGACATCCCCGTGGCTGGTTTTGTCACTTCTCTTGCTGAAACCTCCTTAAGCAATATGATTAACCCAACCAAGCAATGAAGTACCTGCGTGACTGCCTGACCCCAGTGGCCTGCCGTTCCTATGTTATTTGGGGCTCAAGACACGCTAGACTGGTTTGTGGTGGTTTTGGCTGGAGGGAAGTCACGGCTGTGGAAAGCGTGTGCAGACAGGGCATCAGTGCGTGGTGACCGCGGTGACTTGGGGGGCTGCTTGTCCCCTTCACGGCAGTCAAAGGCTCTTCTTCCTCAGAAGCTGCCTGCTCTTGGGTCACATCTCTGTTCAGGAGCCCTTCTCCCATGGAGTGCGGCTGCAGGATTCACAGGAGAGGAAACTTTGCTCCAGGAAAGGAACTCTTTGAAGCTGGCACAGCTGCCATATCCGTAAAACACAGAGGGACATAGTTAGAGGCAGAAACAGGAGAGCAACAGATGCATGCAACTCCTTGCCGGGGTGAGCAGGGGCGAGCTGAGGCCGTGCCCACCCTGTGCTCTGCACCTGCCTTCTCTTCACTGGGAGCCGCTGTGTTTTGCGAAGTCTGCCCAGTCTCCAAGGCTGCACTCCTTCTGAGCCCACAGACACCTTGTCCAACGTCCTCAGCCCTTGCTGTTTCCTTCGAGACCCATGGTCTGATGATTTCTAGGAGGAGGCTAATTTATGCTGTGGATGACCTTTTGGGGTATATTTTGAAGGGGAATCTTTGATTTTGTCACTGTGCCTAGCATCACGCCTGCTCGTGGTGGACACTTCACAAACACAAGCTGGTGCCTGGCCTGGTTGGTTGCCAGATCTAGGGCTGATCCTGAGGCAGTAGGGGAAGTAGGGCTTTAGTGGGTTGCAGTTGGGCAGGAGGGAGAGAGCAAGCCCATCCCCACTGTTCACTCACGCGTTGCTGCTGAGTCAGGAGGGCAGCTGAGGCAGGGGCGCCACCCTGGGAAACTTCTTGGCCAGGCCCACTGCCCCTGCGGGATGATAGGGCATGGGTTGGCTCTACCTTGCAAGACCTGGCCTGGCTCTCCAGTATGTCCTACAGCTGTGTAAGGATTCTCTGTGAGAACGCTGCCTCCCGTGGGATGGAGGCCTCTGCTGACTGTGGCCCGTGGGCTGGGAAGGAGGATTAAAGGACTCATTAGCATGCAGAGCCTTTCCACTGCAGCAGAAGTGACTTAATGCTTCACTGCCCATTCAGGGGTCGTTTTGCTCACCTGAAATAGCCTCAATGCTGCTCCTGTTTTAGGAGACGCATGAAAGTCCTGACGGGACTGGATGGCTCGGTTAGGGATTTTCTATTTTTAGGTGCTGATTTATGACTCGAGTGTTGACTTCATGGAGATGATGTCATCGTAAAAGTTGTCTGAAAATGGAATCTTCCAAAATCTAAATGCATTTCTCTATTGACTTATGTAATCCTCTCAGAGATGGAAATCCTACCCTAATTTCTGATTGATTTTCAATCAACATCAGCTACTAAAACATTAAAAATCTCTCTGCCTGATTCCTTTGAGTAATTAAGAAGCTGTAAGCAAATGCTTATTGGTGCTTGGAAAGTTTTTTAAAGAAAACACCAAGAGAGGCATTTCGTAAAGCAAAATTCTGTACATATTGACCAAGGTCATTGTAGAAAGGGCCACACAAATGTAACTCTTCAAGTTAAACTATGTCAATTGATAATCACCCGGGTCTCCACTGTGTTCCTCGCCTTAGCCCTGGAGTTGTAGTCTTTTGTTTCATGGCGCAGGGGCCGTCTCAGTCAGTGCTGCTGTCACAGTCCTTTCAAAGGTAGAGTTATTAACTTCTGCAGTCTCAATCCCGTCGAGATCCCCCAGCTCCCATCCAGGGCAGGAGACAATCACGGGCCGCATAAGCCCTGACTGCCTGGCTTGGGCCCATCCCCACCACCCTCTCTACGGCTTGTTCCTTGAAGCCCAGCTCAGTTGTATGGGGGGCCCTCGTACTTCTTTGACTCTAGCTATTGGGATAGATTTTTTTCTCTGGCACATCATAGTAAAATTGCTGTCACTCAGCACCACATCACCAGCATCTTCTACTGTTTGGATGCTACTGTGGCATTTACTTCTTGATGGGATGCCCTCTCTTTCCTCCCACACCCTCATCATCCCTAAACCTCCCTGCTCTTCAGTAACATGCATGTCTTAGAAGAGTCTGGAATGCAGAGGCACCAAGGAGGTGAGGTAAATGAGAGGAGGACGGTGGAACGGGCCTCTGTGTCCCCAGGTGCAGGGTGAGATAAGGGGAGGTGGTTGGAGAGGAGGTCAGGCTGCCCAGAGGAGAGCGGCTCATGGGTCCCCACCGACATCCTCCCTTCCCGCCTTCCCCAGGACCCCACGCCAAGGACACACCAAGTGCCCCTGCACTCATGTGCTCCTCAGAATTCCGGTCTTTCTCCCACATGTCCCCCAATCAAATCTGTCTGCTCTGTGCACTGTTCCCACAGAAGCTGGATTTGTTCTTTCCAAAAACCCATTATTTAAGTTTTCCAAAAGAAAACTTAAAGTGATACCAACATATATTTTAATAAAAAGTAACAATGATTAACTCAAGGGGGGAGGGGCGGTCCCTAATAGAATTTGAGGCATGAGGACATGGTTAAAAGGAGAAACATGGCTTTTTGAGAGAAATGTTGCTATTATGATGGCTTTAAAAAATCTGCAAAATAACATTGTACAAAGATGTACTTTCTTTACCAATGTGTGAACAGTCTCCATGGATAAATCATAGTTCCAATTATTCAATTCATTCATTAATTGAAAAAAAAACTCTTACATACCCCTTAGGTTCTAGGGCATGTGCTGACCGTGGAGGATATGAAGGTTAAAAAGACATCATCCCTTAGAGTCTGCGAGATTCTGGATGGAACCAGGAGAGGTGGAAGGGTCTCAGAAGTCACACAGTCTATGTCACGGTCACACAGGGGGCACTGCCGGGATGACTTTGGCCAGTGGCCAGCTCTGATCCTGCCCCTCCTATGATGGGCACTGACCACCTGGTAACATCACCACTGAATTTTCGGCCAGCTTGGTTATGCTGTGCTTCCTTATATTGTGCCCAAATGTGTCTTCTTTTATTCCTACTTAATAGTTCTTCTAGTTCTTTGTCTTAGAGCAACACAAAAAGTACCGAATATTTGAAGAAAGTTAGCGAGACTCTCCATTCCACCCAAGTGTTGCCTTCCCAGTCTCCTACAGTCATTCTCAGCGTCTGTGAATATTTTTCACAATGGAAATGATTGGGATTTTGGAGTCTGAGTTGAAGCTGAGACACGTTCTAGCTGCATGAGACTGGGTGTGTTCATTGAACACTTTTGAGATTGATTACGAGCCTGTATTTGCTCACTTGTAAAATGAGAACAAAAATCGTGCCTTATAAGGTTGTTCTGAGTATAAATCAAGAATGCCTATGCGGGCCGAGCGTGGTGGCTCACGCTTGTAATCCCAGCACTTTGGGAGGCCAAGGTGGGGGGATCACTTGAGATCAGCAGTTTGAAACCAGCCTGACCAACATGGTGAAACCCAGTCTCTACTTAATATACAAAAATTAGCTGGGCATGGTGGTGTACACCTGTAATCTCAGCTACTCAGGAGCCTGAGGCAGGAGAATCACTTGAACTTCGGAGGCGGAGGTTGTAGTGAGCCGAGATAGCAGCACTGCACTCCAGGCTGGGAGACAGAGATTCTATCTCAAACAAAACCAAACCAAACTGAAACAAAAAGAACACCTGTGTGAACGTGCCACACACATTTGGCACATGTTTGGGCACAGCCAGTGTTTGCTATGACAGCAGGAGTGGGTCAGTAAACAGCTGCGGGCCCCCCTCTGTCTCGTTAGCTCCGCTTGGACGCATCCGGACTGTGCGCCACCTCGTTTCAAATAAAGCATTCGGACTTGAGCAGAGCTTTGAATGTCAATCTAAAATGAGCAGTGGCTTTAGTTCATGGTTTTGTCTGAACTTTTACGTAGGACGCCTGATTGTACCTGTTTTGTGCAGCCTTCCATGATGTGATACATATCTCCATGTAGGCTTCTTGAATTTGTCATTCAACCACAAACCCTAGAGTGTCGTTTGTTTGAGAGATTGAGGTAGACGAGGCTTCCTGACCCCAGTAGTTGGTAGCTGATTTAAAATTTCAAGGGCAGGGTTTTCACCTTCCTTCCAGTTGAACTGCAGGCACGCTCTCAAGGGCTCATCTCAGCTTCTCCAGGTAGAGTTGAATCTTGATTCATCATTGATTTTATTGCTGTCTCTCCTAGCTTTGCATGTCACCTGCAGTTCGGTTGAGCAGATTTTATTTTAAAATTCGAGGCTGGTCTGGCTGCTGCATCTTTTCTTCATTGATTTTCAGGGTTGTATCAGCATTTGAGGGCTGCACAGCCGGCACCCCACACCTCTAAATGAATGTGACCTTCCAGCTTACAGGCATTTTCTCCACTCAAGGACATGTCTTCTATGTCTTCTTCTAGTCAATTCACAAACATCAACATGGAACATGGACCAACGCAAAATCCTGCCATATACCACTTTCCTCCAGAACAATGAAGACCCTTGTTCCCTTTTTTTTTCCTTTTTTTCTTGAGATGGAGTCTTGCTCTGTCACCAGGCTGGAGTGCAGTGGTGCCATCTCAGCTCACGGCAACCTCCACCTCCCAGATTCAAGTGATTCTCCTGCCTCAGCCTCCTGAGTGGCTGGGATTACAGGTGCCCGCCACCACACCCAGCTAATTTTTGTATTTTTAGTAGAGACAGGGTTTCACCATGTTGGTCAGGGTTGTCTGGAACTCCTGACCTCGTTATCTGCCCGCCTTGGCCTCCCAAAGTGCTGGGATTACAGGCGTGAGCCACGACACCGGGCCCATACCCTTTATTCATTGTTCAGCCAACCAGGCATTTGTGTAACAATGCTCTTGACCATCCACATCCTGGATCATCACTGAGAGAAAGCCTCACAAAGGCACCATGCATGCAGATGTGAGATCTCAACAACCGTGATGGCAGCCAACACTTACTGACAACACGGTGTGAAGAGGTGGCACTAAATTATCACGAGGAACCTATATATTGAGTACAATTATTAGCCCTGTTTTACAGATGGGGAAACTGAGACTTAGAAATGTTCAAGAAATTTCCCCAAATTACAGACTGGAAAGTCAGGGAGCTGGCTCTGAGTCCTACAGACTGGCCTGAATGCTGTGGTTGTGACTTACTCTTGGATTTGGTGCTAAATATCATCAGGTGTCTGATGTGCTGTAAATAATTATTGACTGTGTCAGGGGTAGTGGTCAAATTCTTTTCTGGATTAATTTGAAGTAAGGGGTAGATGGTCTCTTTGGGGGATGATTTCATAATATTCTTGTTAAGGATGGAGGCAGTCTTACGCGACATTTTTCATTCCAGGATAAATTTGCTCTTTAGGTTTTCTTCCATCCAGCTGCAGCACACTCTGTCAGGTGCAATATTATCACCATTGTGACACGTTCTCTTTTAAAATGAAAGGGCAAATACATTGAAAAATGGTATTGACAGCTGCTTTCCTGGAGTTGTTATGGCTTTAGCCTGGTTCTCGTATTTCACAATGGTCCCCCGAGGCGGAAAACACAGATACTGACGCCATGATGTTACTCATAGGTAGTGGCTGCTGAGCTTTGAAGCAACAAGTTTGGGTGGAACTGCAGTGTCTTCAACAAGAAAAGTCATTTAAAATCCACTTGTAAAGTCCTGCTCACAGAGCAGTGATAAGGAGAGGAATAAAAGGGCTTTTATTTTCTGGTGATTTTGAGGTAAACATTGTATTTTGCTGGTTAGAATGTGTCTTCCTCCAGTATTACCATTCAATAGAGTTTTTACTTTCCTACTTTATAGGTCTATGAATCCAGTCATCACTTTGACATCTATAAAAAATATAAGGATGGGATCACATTGTATGAAAATCCAATTCAGTAGAAAACACCGTGGCTTTCGATGGTCATACCTCCATTATTCAGATTTGGATTACACTCTGATTCCTTCAAATTGGGTCCTGTTTTGTGCTACATGTTGTTGAATTTTAAACTCCTCAACAAACTGGCCTTTATCAGAGAGAATGTCAAGTACTCTCAGTCACTAATGAGCTGGCATTTTCTTGAAATTCCTCAAATAGTTACAATTACCCAAGGTATAGTGAGACATCTGGCATATGGGAAATGGGCCTCCAAATAGACCAATGAGAGAGGCCATCGAGAGGGAAACCATCAGAACAAGGAAACACACATCAACCTCACAGGGCGCCAAAGCATGCTGGGAGTTCAGGGGACCATCTGCTTCCTGCCTCCATCCCCACCTGTATCATTGCCCTTCATCATCAAAGAGGTGGTGGCTGCTGCTGACATGGTCGTTTCCTGGGCCAAGATGTCCATTTAGCGTGTACTTAGAGTGCATCTTGCTGTGCCTGTGAGGGCGGGGAGGCTGGAAGATAGCTCATGTTGCAAGTCATGCCACCGAGCAGCAGGTTATTCTGGGAAGATGCTTTGCAAAGTGGCCCCCATGAGCATTCACCCAGTGTCAGCCGGAGGCAGTGAAAATAAGAAGATGAGAACATTTATTCTTCTTTAGAGATCTCAAAATACTCGACCTTGTCTTTGGGTTTCCCAAAGCAAGCATGCTTTATCTCACAGCTTTTACAATCAATGGAAATCTCTCAAGCTGGTTTAGAATGCAGTAGCTCAGGGAAAAGTTTCTCTCATTTTACGTATACATCAGAAACCTGTCCTCAAGAAGGGTACCATAATCTGATAAGAGTAGTTTGCATATCCAAGTCTAGCCCCACACACCCACAAAGACAGGTGTTTGGTATATAAGGACAAATATTCCAGCAGAGGATGGGATGCTCCAGGTGTACTGGTGGTAAGACTGTTAGTCACAAAAGGAGAATTCTTCAGAGAGGCATACTAAATAAATAGCAGAAAAAATACAGGTAGGCACTGCAGTATAATTTTGGAGTTATCTGATTCAAAATTGATATGAGAAGGTATAGAAAAAAGTGCATTGATTTATCACTGAATAACCAGAGTTTACAGTTAGATTTAGTGAGAGGAAGGTCCCCAGGGGTGACTGACTGTAAGATCCCTACCATGGGACAAGAGGCCCCAGAGCATTAGAATTTAAACAAGACAGCATGGAAAGCATGCCATGGGTGAGAAATCAGGACATGGTGAGATGGCCTGGGAGTGACGAGGGCCTGCAGGTGTAGGGAATGCTGGTGTTGACTGAAGAAGAGAATCTAACCCACATAATGTCCAGGATTTTATGCCCATCAAACTCATCTATACAAAAATCTACACCTTGAAATATACATATAAGAACCTTGTATAATCATGTTTTAACTCAATATTTTAATAAGTTATTTTAATTTATAAAACTATATTATGAATACTATTGATTTGCAAGAGGAAAAATAAAGCAAAGGAAGTAAACACATTCAGTAGCAAGTTCTCGTGAAGCGTTCCTAGGTCTGGGCATAGCTAAAAGCAACCGCAGCCCTGGCCCTTGACACTTAAGGCTTAGTGGAGCTTAAGGTGCGGAAATAAAAAGACGACGGACTAGAGAGGCTGGCGTTGAGAAGTCTTTGAACAATAGAGGAGGACACTGAACTGTTAACGGACAGCTTACTTAAAAACCAAGCAAACACAGGTCAGGCATGTCCAAAACTAAAGTTATTCAAAAAAGATTTAAATCATTGATTTGACACCTTTGGCAAACACAGACAAAAACTCACCATATATACAATAAGTAAGTAATAATATTTTTAAAAGAGCCAGGTGATCAGTAGACACATAGATTTCCAGAATAATCAACAGAAACATTATTGGTATTTGCAGCACACAATCACGGATGATAAGGAAGGTGAGACACCCATTTAAAAGGTGTCAGAAATCTGTGCATGTCCCCTAACAACACCTCACTGAAGCAGACCAAGTTGGAAAACTGGGAACACTGAAGCGAACCCATCTCAGCACCTGGGTTGGTAAAACATGTTCTAGGATCACTCGTGGCCTTGGGCACTGGTTCTTTTAGTGACAGTGCAGAAATTAGTGCCTCTAGACACTTGTCATCTCACCTCTTTTTTGGAAAAAGAGCAAGCAATCTAAGTGTAGGGGTTGTTAAACCAAAAGAAATGGCCGGAGGATCTAATCTGATTACAATCTATGCATATTTCTACCTAGAACTATTTAGTAAGATCTTAAATCTCATAGGTCCTGCCTAATTTCTGTGACATCTGTGAGATCAAGAAGAAATCAACTAAAATTAAAAATGAAATATTTGACTTTCAAACAAGCAAAGACCTCGTTGGTGGAGGTTCAGTGCTGTGGAAAGCCTTTCTGCATTACGTATCCACAGTGCATTGTGAACAGGTATTTATTTTCTGGATTCATTGAAATAGTTTTTAGGAAAACATTTCAGGATCTCGTTTTTACTTTACTTCAGTTTAGGAGAACATTTGCTGTGTGCCAACTCTGTAATTAGATCTGGGTGGTGTGGACATGAATAAAAATGAAACTTGCTTGAGGAGGGGGGAGGCGTAGACACACACGAACATATCTCAAGGTGGGCCTGGGTTCTGGACAGAGGGGTACACACAGTTCTGGGAGAACACAGAGGAGCAGCGCAAGGAATGGAGGGAACAGGGAAGGGTCCCAGGAAAGACGGTAGTAAAATTACTAGGAATGAATAGATGTTCACCAAGGACAGATGGGAGCCAAGTGTGTATGCACGAGTGTGTGTGTGTGCACGAGTGTGTGTGTGCACGAATGTGCGTGTGTGCATGACAGTGTGTGTGCGTGTGTGCATATCTGGGTGACTAAGTTGGGAGTGATGTGGATAAGATTTGGGAACATAGTAAAACTCAGGCTTGGGAATGATACAAGCATGTGTGGCAAGGGCAGTAGTGAGGGGCAGTGAGTACCTGTACCAGGAACTGGAGCAGGAGTGGGGATGGTTAATAGCCACAAAAATATAGGTAGAGAGAATGAATCAGATCTAGTGCTTGATGGCACAACAGGGTGACTATAGTCAATAATTTACAGTACATTTAAAAATAACTAAAAGCATATGCTTGGGTCATTTGTAAGGATAAATTCTTACAAATGGAAACAAGAAACAAGAAAGGATCAATTCTTGAGGTGATGGATACCCCTTATACCCAGATGTGGTTATTATGCATCATATACCTGTATCAAAATAGCTCATGTAGCCCATAAATATTGTATATACACCTACTATGTACCCACAACAATTAAATAAAATGACAAAAATCAGTATTTTTCTGTTATTGTCTCACTTCGACATAACCTTTTCCAGCACCTTCCCCACGTTTCCTCCATATTTGGAGCTCAGATGGAAATCAAGCTGAAGCACTCTTCCTTCTTCGTGCGGGTCTGCTTCCGTTTATCCTGTTGCACTTCTGTTCTCGCTGATCTATATTGCTGGAATGCCCCAGCTTTGTTAATCAATGCTCAGTGAAAGCCCCTTTATCAGCACCACCCTTATATCTCACAAGAGTTGCTCTTCCCTGGACCACCCTGGTTTAGAGAGACTGGGTCTGGACTTACTCTAAACTGTACTAGATGAGGCAGGATGGTTGAGTCGAGCCTTTGGGTAAGGTGGAGTCTTTGAAAGATTGTTTTTAGGTGGGGCGCAGTGGCTCACACCTGTAATCCGGGTACTTTGGGAGGCTGAGACAGGTGGATCGCCTGAGGTCAGGAGTTCAAGACCAACATGGCCAACATGGTGAAACCACATCTCTACTAAATAAAAGAAAAAAGAAAAAATTAGCTGGGCGTGGTGGTGGGTGCCTGTA
This sequence comes from Homo sapiens, assembly GCF_000001405.40. Taxonomy (NCBI): domain Eukaryota; kingdom Metazoa; phylum Chordata; class Mammalia; order Primates; family Hominidae; genus Homo; species Homo sapiens. The sequence continues at coordinate 156,352,515 of NC_000007.14, read as the reverse complement.
GTGCCAGCTACTCGCCAGGAGGCAGAGGTTGCAGTGAGCCGAGATCGTACCACTGCACTCCAACCTGGGTGACAGAGTGAGACTCCGTCTCAAAAAAAAAAAAAAAAAGATAGTTTTACATAGAGAATTGATGGGGACAAATTAGCATTTTGGACAGTTTATTCCGATGTGGTTCTCATGAAGGGTAATATGATGAAAGAGAGAGACGGAGTGAGGGAAGATGTGCTATGCATCTACTGAGGTAGACTAGAAGAGGGAGGATGAAGTGCTCCTCTGGGTAACAGTGACCAGGATGACAAGAAGGACTTGATTTATAAAATAGGTTAGGCTGGGCACAGTGGCTCACCCCTGTAATCCCAGCACTTTGGGAGGCTGAGGCAGGCAGATCACAAGGTCAGGAGTTCAAGACCAGCCTGGCCAATATGGTGAAAGCTTGTCTCTACTAAAAATACAAAAAAATTAGCTGGGCGTGGTGGTGCGTGCCTATAGTCCCAGCTACTTGGGAGGCAGAGGCAGAAGAATCGCTTGAACCCAGGAGGCGGGGGTTGCAGTGAGCTGAGATCATGCCACTGCACTCCAGCCTGGGCAGCAGAGCAAGACTCCATCTCAAAAAAAAAAAAGATAAAAATAAATAAATAAATGAAATATATTAGAAGATTGATGAGCAGAACTTGCTTATTAGCCGGGTGGGAGACGCCACCATCAAACGTCAAAGTATTTATTTTCCATGAAATGGATGGTTTTGGATGCAGACAGGACCCACAAATACCTTTCCTGAGTCATTAGACTGTAAGCATTTTAACCCACCCTCTGAATATTAACCAGTTGTTACTTTTGTTCCTATAATTTTAATAAAGAATATTTGACTGTTGAATACTTAAAGGCCTAGAAATCTCATCAAAAACACAGATGAGAATTGTGTTGTTTCCAGGTTGGTGTGAGACACAGTCATTTAGATTGTTTCTTCATCGGTCCTCAATATTGTTACTCAGTGTTTCAGAGAATGCACAGAGCACCTTCCCATTTTTATAAAGTGGATATTAATTCTTTTTAATTAAGAAAAAATTAGCCAGGCTTGGTGGCTGACACCTGTAATCCCAGCACTCTGGGAGGCCGAGGCAGGCAGATGACCTGAGGTCAGGAGTTGAAGACCAGCCTGACCAACATGACGAAACCCCGTCTCTACTAAAAATAGAAAAATTAGCCAGGTATTGTGGTGGGCGCCTGTAATCCTAACTACTTGGGAGGCTGAGACAGGGAGAATTGCTTGAACCTGGGAGGTGGAGGTTGCAGTGAGCCGGGATCATGTCACTGCACTCCAGCCTGGGCGACAGAGTGAGACTCCAACTCAAAAAAAAAGAAAAAAAAAAAAAAAGAAGAAGAAAAAATCCAAACTTTCTAGAAAAGCAAGGAAAAGAAGATATTAAATATCAAAGTATCTATGACTGGCGTTTAATAAAATGTTGCCATCTTTGCATTAGCTATTTTTCTACTTGAGCATTTTAGAGAAAATTGACACATAATGGTAATTTGTCTCTCATTACTTCAATATGCATCTCTAAAGTATAAGGGTAGTTTTCCTCATACCCACAATGGCAAATACCTAACAGAAAAACTCTGTTCTCATCTGTTATCTAACCTGTATTCAGGCTTCCCCAAAGCCCCCAGTGTTTGTTCTACAACTGGTTTGCTCTGTTGGGCCCCACCTGGAGGCTGTATTTGTTTTTGGTCACCAAGTCCTGGGGTCTTCTGCTTTCCAGCAGTAATGTCCTTCATTTTCTGCTTGTGGCAAAATTATACGTAGGATTTCATTTCCAAAGTGAAGGGACTATACTTAATTTTCATCAGAAATTTTACTGCCATTAAAGCTTTAATCAGAGCACCAATAAACCACAACTAGCTGATAAGTTTCATTCACTTTCTACTCACGCTCTGATTGAAACAAACATTTATGTCAGATAGGCAACAAAGAGGTGTCGTGGGAGTCTAAACGTGGCCCGGAAAACAGAGCATCGTTCTCTAAGTGATCAGGATTTCCTGGAGTATGGATGAATTCATACCCAATGGCTGTTCTCTGTGTTGTTAAGAGATTGATTAGGACTTAAAGAACATAGACATGCAGAATGATGAACACACCAAAAATAGTGTGGGTAATTCAGGATGGAAATAAATGCTGAATTCTTAGAAACTGATTATAAGAGTTTTATACTAGATGAAGCAGGTTTTTAATTAAAATGTTCACTGTGGACAGGTTTCCTTTGTTTTTAGCTGAAATTTTGGATTTTCTGCTTTAATTGAATTCAAATTTAATTTCTGACTTTAATTCCAATTAAATTTTGCTGAGATTTTGGATTTTCATCTGAGTTTCATGACCCCTTTCATTGCTGAAAGCACCTTTTGGGCTTGTTGGAATTAAAGTCATCCTTCTCACAGAAGAAAACAGAAAATCCAGAGCTTCTCCATCAGTCTCCATCCACCCTTATCATTAAATGTGCAAACCCTGTTGACCCAGGGGTAGGGTGACAGATGACATATTTCGGAATGTGTATTACATCTCTGCTTATGACACGGTCCAGTGTGTCTTCCTGCTGTGGCCATCTCTGCCTGTCCATTTTGAAAAGACAGTAATTCCCCAAAAGTTCTAAAATTAGCAAACAATGACTAAAGGAAGGTGCAGGAAGCCCACTGTAGGGTCTGGAGAGGGTGGGCAATAGGAGGTGAGGGCTCTTCAGTGAGTGCAGTCCACGCCTGTGGTTAGACGTCAATCCACCCCTGCAGTTAGATGTCTTCCCTTAGGTACTGAGCTGTGGGGTCAAATTTTAAAATGGTCCTAAACATTTCACATGTTGAATTGTTATGTCTTTTAAATACGTGCCTTTGAAGGATTGTGCATCTATGATCGGGTCATTGCCACCATGATCTTCACGATTATCTTGAGGCAAAATACATGTGCATAGAGACCTGCATGTGACGATCACACCTCTATCATAAAGTTCCGTTTAAGAAATATGACTTCTAGCACAAACATTCCACTTCTGGCAAATCTGGGAGCAGCATATCGATTCTGTGAAATGAAGTATCCCTCGCGACATTCATCACACAGAACTGACCTCAGTTTGAGACGTGGCCCTTGGTTATAGACGTCTCGCCATCTGGAAGTCAGGAAGAACCGATGACAGAGCTAAGAACACAACCTGGGTTTCAAGAATCTTTGGATGTGTATCTATTGCCAAATCTCTTAAGATGTTGTAATTCAAGAAAACACAATCTTTTACTATGATCCCAATGTTCACTTCTTAAAGCTCAGCATTTCCACTGAGATGTGAATGGTTCCTTGTTGCCTTCTAAGGACAACAGATTTGGTGCCCGGACACCTGAGTGCCCGGACACTCGTCCTGCCTCTGCTACTGACGGAATGCAGCCCGATGCCAGTCCTGACTCTTTGAGTCCTGACTCTACTTCCACGAAGGAGCTGGCTGAACCTGAAGGTCCCTTTCTGATGCCCTAGTCTACTTGTGAATATTTACGGACGACCTCATTTTACTTATATTTATTTCCCCCCCAAAATTCCACCTGCACTTTTCGCTTCAGAAGATTGTACATCTAATTACAAAATCTTTCACTCTCTTGCATTTCTACATATGCGTACAAGCAAATAGAAAAATTCCTACAGAGGTGGGTATAAAAGCAATAAATGCCAGGTGCGGTGGCTCACGCCTGTAATCCCAGCACTTTGGGAGGCCGAGGTGGGTGGATCACCTGAGGTCAGGAGTTTGAGACCAGCCTGGCCAACATGGTGAAACCCCGTCTCTACTAAAAATAGAAAAATTAGCCAGGCGTGGTGGTGTGCGCCTGTAATCCCAGCTAGTCGGGAGGCTGAGGTAGGAGAATCGCTTGAACCTGGGAGGCGGAGGTTGCAGTGAGCAGAGATCATGCCATTGCACTCCAGCCTGGGTGACAGAGCAAGACTCCATTAAAAAAAAAAAAAAAGTAATAAATATGTAGGTGTTAATTTTGCTAGTCACTACAGAGAACACCAGGGAACATAAATTCCACCGTTACTATCAAGTAACTTACAACTTAGAAGGAAGAAAAATATCTCATTAAACAACTAGAGCACTGCTTAGCACAGCATGAGAAAGACTGGCAGAGGCTGACGGACAAGAATGACGGGGTCCATCACCCCCACTAACAAACACTAAGGTGGGGCCGGTAGATCCCAGGTGTGTGTTTGTCCTTTAACAAGTCACTTGGAGGCTTGGAAGCTTTGTGTCCTGGTGGGTAAACTAGGGGAACTGGACCTTCTCTCTAGGGTGGAAGCCAAGGTCCCAGGAGCGATGTGTGTGGAACCCCTTCAGCCCGAGAGCCACGCAGCCGCAGTGCCAGCCCGAGAGCCATGCAGCCGCAGTGCCAGCCCGAGAGCCACCCAGCCGCAGTGCCAGCCCGAGAGCCACCCAGCCGCAGTGCCAGCCCGAGAGCCACGCAGCCGCAGTGCCAGCCCGAGAGCCACGCAGCCGCAGTGCCAGCCCGAGAGCCACGCAGCCGCAGTGCCAGCCCGAGAGCCACCCAGCCGCAGTGCCAGCCCGAGAGCCACCCAGCCGCAGTGCCCGTCACTCTAACCATACTCACATGGGTGGACAGGGACTCCATTCCCAGGGGACCGTCCTTTATTTGGCAGTTAACAGAGCACAGGAGGCTCTCCTCAAATTTGTATTTGGGGGCCCCTTAATGACCTCTGGTTATATTCCAGTTATATAGAACTGGTTATATTCCAGTTCTAAATCACTGACTACATATATAGACTTGATTAAGAAATTTTTATCTCTCTGGGCCTACGTCTTCATTTGAAAAATCAACTAGATGACCTCTAAAATGCCATGAATTTAAGGAGTAAAAGGAGTGGTAATTATCCCCTAGAACGTGTAGGTTCAAACTTCATTGCGTGCAGAGAAGGTGTTTGAATCACTGCCTTGCTTTTTTTTTTTTTTTTTCTGGAGCAGAAACAGATACATGTTACCAAGTGTAATCGTGTGCCAGGACTTTTAAAAATTACTTTTTGTCAGCTGTGGCACGTTTAAACACCCGAAATATTTCAGGAGACAGTTAACTTCTGTGTTTTAAAAAAGATTTAATAAAGACGTGCGTGTCGGGACTTGCTCTGCCAGCACCTCTGTCTGTAGCTGGCAGTGCAGGGCCGGGCTTTCGACTGTGCAGTCAGGGATTTTCACTACTTAACTTGCTCCACACACCGTTTTAACTCTTCATTCATTTCCTTATTTTCTCAAATCACTGTCAAACATTAGCATGTCGCTTACTGGACGGAGGCCGTAATAACATATTAAATTATTTCTTAATCATCTAAAAATACCAAATCTGAGTCTGGTTTCCCTGGCTTGCAGCAGGATTGCTTTAGTTCAGAGATGGGCAGTTTTACCTTTTGCGAGGGAAGGTAGGGCAAGGTGGGCATTTGTTGTTTTGTACCAGTCTCTGGGTCCTCAGAACGCCTGCCATGGAAATACCCTTTGGTTCTGCAAAGCAGTTAAGATCCTATCTCTGCTCAAATCATCATCACAGGAGAGAGAAGCAATTTCAGTGAGACTATCAGCAGCATGCCCGAAACACCTTATTAACTTTTTCTTCTTTTGTGGTCCATCTTTTATCGAGGCCTATCTGCATTCAGCATCTGGCCCGCCTGCAAATACTAAATATCATTTTAATAATAATAATACGTTGCACTTTTCGAGCTCCCTTTCATCCGACGAGCCCAGAGCACTTTGCAACATTAATTAATTAAGCTCCGTACAACACCCCTTTGAGGTAGGTACACCCTGGTACGGTACAAGATGGTTCAAGTGGTTCTCTCTCAGGCTCGCCCACTCTCGAGCGTAAGCAAAAATCCCGACAAAGTTTCCCTGCTGCAGGGTTCAAGTGAGTACTGGATGAAAGGCGGGCTTCCGTACTGAGAACTTTCTGGCATGCATCGCTCTGAGTCCTGGCCCAGTCCTTCACCACAGCTTCCTGCAAAGGCCCTTTGTGTAAGATCCGGAGTGTTGATGAGTCCTGGCCCCATCCTCTCTCCTTCTCCCTGCTTCCTTCTGCTGATGTGTGACTCGTCTCCGGGGAGATGAGACCAGCACTGACTCTAGAGCCTCTGCTCTTCTTCGTGGAAGAGTGAAGGAATCAGAGGCATTAGGCTGTTGACAAGCCCTGCTATGGCCGAGGTCAGAACAGAGACAAATGTTACCTTTCCAGGGTTCTGTAGCAACAGAAGTAGCAAGCTCTGTCACTGAGGAACTGGAACAAGATAGAAAACCTGCCAGGTCACAGGCTAACGCTTCCAAATATTCCCCAAACATCTCTCTGCAAGCCGGGTGGGATGGCCCGTGATGACAAGGAGTGGAGTGAACAGGGCTGAAGCCGCGTTCCCCTGGGCCTATCCCGTGTGGGACGATGCACACCCAGGGAGGTGAAAGGTGGCATTTGGTGGAAGGAAGGGAGCGGTGCCTGGTTCTGCAGCAGTAACCAAGCTGACCAGGGCTGCAAGGAGCTCTGCTGTGAGCTCCAGGGAGGCCTGCAGGCTCCTCAGGGGAGCTGGTGAAGGCTGGCTGTCGAGATGGTCTGTTGGCTGCAGTGACCTGGTTCTTATTATTGGCTCTTGGGGTTTTTCCTTCTGTGAGCCCACTTGTCATGGTCGACGTAGAATTAGGATGGGATGGCCTACTCCCTTCACAGCTATGGGCTTTGATTCAGTTCGAGAGAAAGAGTGAACAGGTGCCAAGTGGTCGATTGGGTAAAATCAACTAAAGACTGAGACAGGAGAGAGCACGAGGCCGCTGTTCCCCGCTCGCTGGCAAACAAGGAAGGCGGCTCCTTTGCAGGACTCCGGGGAGGTGCCAGTCTAAGCCAGTCAGACCCGCTGCGGCCCAGGCAGAGGCCCCAAGGGGACAGCTGCTGTCCTCCCAGGGCGAATGCGGGTGATTAAGAGGTGTGTGTGTGTGAGAGAGAGTGGGACTGTGTGTGAGAGAGTGGGACTGTGTGTGAGTGGGACCGTGTGTGTGAAAGTGTGACTGTGTGAGACAGTGTGAGTGAGCGTGACTGAGAGTGTGACTGTGAGAGAATGAGTGTGTGTGTGAGAGTGAGTGTGACGGTGTGTGTGACTGACAGTGTGTGTGACTGTGTATGAGTGTGACTATGAGTGTGACTGTGAGTGTGACTGTGTGAAAATGAATGTGACTTTGTGAGAGTGTGACAGAATGAGTGTGACTGTGTGAGTGTGTATGAGTGTGAGTGAGTGTGACTATGTGAGTGACTGTGACTGTGTTACTGTGTGAGTGTGTGACTGTGGGTGAATGAGTGTGGCTGTGTGAGGGTAAATGTGTGTGAGTGAATGTGTGTGTGACTGTGACTGTGAGTGTGACTATGCGGGAATGAGTGTGACTGTGTGTAAGAGTGAGTGTGATTGTGAGTGAGACTGTGTGTGACTGTGTTAGTGTGTGACTGTGAATGTGTGCATGAGAATATTTCATGTGAGAGCTTGTGTGAGTGTGAATGTGTGCATGAGTGTGAAAATGTGTTTGTGAATGTGTATAAATGTGACTGAGTGTGAACATATGAATGACTATGTGTGAATGTGTGTATGTGAGTGTGACTGGGTGTGTGACTGTGAATGTGTGTGTGAGAGCATGAGTATGAATGTGTGTATGACCATGTGACTGTATGTGACTGTGTGTGAGTGACTATGTGTGAGTGTGAATGTGTGTGACCGTGAGTGTGAGTGTGACCGTGTGTGGTATGAATGTGAGTTTTGTGTGTGTGGGGTGTCACTGTGTGTTTTGCACATATGAGTGTGTTTGGTATGCGAGTGTATCTGTGTGAGCATGTGTGTGATTGTGTATGAGTGTGTGATTGTGAGTTTGAGTGTGAATGTGTGTGTGTCGGCATGACTGTCACTGTGTGTGTTTTGTGAATGTGAGTGTGTTTGGTACATGAGTGTCTCTGTGTGAGCATGCGTGAGCGTGTGTGTGTGAATGTGTGATGCTCGGTAGGGCTCTTCCATAGGACAGGCCCAGCCCCAGGGCTTGTGGTTGCACACACACAGTTGTGGCCTGGTGCAGAGCTGGCTGTGACGCTGCTGTGCATGCATCTTTCTGGGGAGCTGGTAGCTCCCAACTGCACTGGCTTTGCACGTGTGAAGAGGGGCTGAGTACTTGTCTGACCTTGTGACCAAAACGTTTCTGGGTTCTGAATATATGACCTGGAACTGAAGACCAGCCTGGCCCAGTCCTGGGTTATGTTTGCGCAGTCATTAACGTTCACTGGGCTTTGCACAGCTTCAGCTCCCCGAGGAGCCCTCTGCACAGGAGCAGCTTTGCAGCCTGACTTGAGTTGCTCAGGGCTTCCCCACACCCTCTGTGTACTAAACTCACCTAGAGAAGTTTCAGAAATCCCACACCCACACCTCAACCCACCATAATTAAATCAGCATCCTGGAGATGCGACCCTGGCAGCATTAGGATTTTCTTTTCTTTTTCTTTTTTCCTTTCTTTTCTTTTTTTTTTTTTTTTTTTTGACGGAGTCTCGCTCTATCTCCTAGGCTGGAGTGCAGTGGCGCGATCTCTGCTCACTGCAAGCTCCGCCTCCCGGGTTCACGCCATTCTCCTGCCTCAGCCTCCCGAGTAGCTGGGACTACAGGCGCTCGCCATCACGCCAAGCTAAATTTTTGTATTTTTAGTAGAGACGGGGTTTCACTGTGTTAGCCAGGATGGTCTCGATCTCCTGACCTCGTGATCCGCCCACCTCGGCCTCCCAAAGTGCTGGGACTACAGGTGTGAGCCACTACGCCCGGCCGGCATTAGGATTTTCAAGGCTTCCTCGGTGATTCCTGGCGCAGCCAACTTTGAGAATCAGATGCTTGGATGGTTCTTCTGTATCTTTAAATGGTTATTCTGAAAACAGCGACTTTTCCAGCCACAGCTATAGACCATTTTGTATTTCATTTGGGCTTGTTGTAATTATCTAGACCTACTGGGCTGGAGCAACAGTAGCAACAAGTCATCTGGAGATGAAATCTGAGTGACATTTCTTATAGCAATTACCTTAGTCTTTGGACAACTCGCACACGGGTTACATTTTGTTTCTATCCCAGATATTTTTCTGCAGCACTCCCAACACCCAAATCTTCCTTTGCACAGTTAGTTTGAGGTCTAGGGATATTTGGCAATGTCTATTTCAAAATGGCATCATCCTCCCAGATCTTAGCTTGTTGGATCATCTTTCCTAACATTACTGAAGAGAGAAGACAGAGAAGAAAAAGAGGGATTCCTCTCATGTTCTTTGAGTAACACGAAGTCCACCTGCCATCTGAGCTCCCACGACACGTGTGTACATGACTAGTGTGGCACTCTTCCTTCTTGGGGCATGCCTTCCCGCTCATCTCATTTCGAGTCATTTCCTCTGATTGACACACGAGTATCAGGGCTCCCACCCTTTGCACTCAGGAGGGCTGGTCGATTGACGTGGTTGGACACCAGGGAAGCGGGCATCCGACCAAGTGGCCATGGTGGACAGAGAGCTCAAATTGCGCCTTGCCACCTGCAGCGTTCCAACCCACTGAGCCAATTGGACATGTTGCTTTTGCAGCTGTGCAAGGAATATAACACAGCAAAATACTTTCATCACAGTGCCTGGGAATATTCCCACAACTTCCCTGCTGGCAAATCAAGAGATGGGCATTAGATAAGACTGCAGAAGAGAAGTAGACACCCCAGTCAAGTTTAGCTTAGGCTCAGGCAAGCCCCTGACAGTTCAGGTGTTTATCTGGAACTTTGCATTCTCTGCACGTGTGGATTCTGAGAAACCGGCCAGGGATTTGGGTGAGTGTGAACTTTTGGCTGGAATGGGCTGCACATTGACCACATCCTTGGAGATCCTCTCCTTTTTCCAGGTAGACAAGGAGGATTCGCAAGCTCAGCAACATAGACCAAAGCCCTCTCCTTTCTCCAGGTAGACAAGGAGGATTAGCAAGCTCATCAAGAGCCCAAAGCTCCTCTGGTGACTCTAGGGCTAGGATGGAGGAGACTGGGTGATAGGGAGCAGAGGCAACGTGGTGTGGCTGGAAGGAGCCCAGTGAACGGCTTGTCTGCAGCTTTCTTTTAGCTCCAAGACCCATATTTCTAGTTCACGAGATGTGGTGTTGTGTAAACAGAAGTACTAGCCATCGGGGAAACTGGATTTTGATGTTGGCTGTGCCCGTAACTTGGTTGTATTGAGCAAATCTTTTATTTTATTTTTTTCTGGGATTCAGTTTCCTTATGTATGAAATGAGAACTAAGAATTATCCTATAGGCTTATGTTAATAGAAATAAAATAATGCATATTCAAGAATTTCGAAGAATATATAAAGAAACACCACTTTTTCACGTGGTTATTATCTTTTTAAATACATCATTCTCAAATGTGATGCATTAGCGAAATGGAACAGCAAATGGTTAACATAAAATTAGCTGTTTAGATGCTTTTACGATAATAAGTTGCAAGTTTGTGTAAAGTTGCGAGTTTGAGTGATAGAAAGGGCAAGTTTGGGATTTATTATGAAGATTTTTATTGATTTTTAAATAGATTTTTATGTGGGTCTTGGTATGTGCCTGCCATACTTTAATTCTGGTTCTAAAATAAATTTACAGTTTTAGTAGACATTTACTGTATTTCAGTACAACACATCCCACTTTCTTCTCCTCCTCTCCCACAAAGTGTTGTCGGTCAATCCCAAGGGTTGCTTAGAGTTTGGGTGTCCCTCAGGCCCTGCACAGAAATCATTCACAGAAAATGGGCTCAGGCTTGCCCTTGTCCTCTCTGGCCTTGGGCCCCATAGATGTGGGGTAGAGCCGCCGCCTGCCTGGGGTCTGTGGCTGGGATTCTGGAGCCATTGCCTTGGGCTCTTGAAGCTGTCCCCATCCTGGGCACCGAGGCTCCCACGCCCTCACTGGGCCTTCACTGACAACACGCTGTCCTCAGCGACCAGCACCTGGCCCAGCCCCTGACCCCTACATCCATGGCTGAACTGTTATTGGCTCTTCAGAAATTGTTTTCTAAAAGGGCCGCTTCCCTAAAAAATAAATTAGGACATTTGGACCTATTTTAAACAAGGTTTTCACATGCTCTAATGAACAACGTTTGCTCTGAAAGAACAATTCCATGCAGCTGGGGTCAATGAGGGTCTCTTGCCTTCACACCAAAGCAGCCTTGGCAAAGTCCAGAAAGGAGGGGTTGGCCTGGGCCATCCTGAACAGAGTGTGGGCCCACCTGGGCAGGATGTGGGGTCCAGTCGCTCCTGCATCTCGGAAGGCTCTGCTGCTGCTCTTTGCACAGTTTGAAACGTACAACTTCTGTTGTGAGTGTCCCAGGACTGCATTTTAGCAGTAGGATTTTCTGGCTTAACTCTGCCCCTTGAATGTAGAAGGGCTTCCCTGCTGGAGCGCTGGGCAGGCAGCAGGATGCTCCTGGCCTGGGGTGTTGGAGTTGGCAAGGGAGAGACTCTCTCCCAAATGTGCAAGACCCTCCTATGATATGCACCAACGTTTGCCAAAATGTGCTGCCAAGAAAAGGCCAGAGTAGAAAATAAAAGCCAAAGTCTCTCCCTCCTTTCTGTCAAGAGAAGCTAGAGTGCCTCCCAGGGAAAGACCTCTCTGCTAAGAGTCCACTCTGACTGCTCTTTTTTTTTTTTTGAGATGGAGTCTTGCTCTGTTGCCAGACTGGAGTGCAGTGGGGTGATATGGGCTCACTGCAACCTCCTCCCGGGTTCAATTGATTCTCCTGCCTCAGCCTCCCTAGTAGCTGGGACTGCAGGTGCGTGCCACCATGCCCGGCCAATTTTTTTGTGTTTTAGTAGAGACGGGGTTTCACCATGTTGGTCAGGCTGGTCTCCGAACTCCTGACCTCAGGTGATCCGCCCGCCTCAGCCTCCCAAAGTGCTGGGATTATAAGCGTGAGCCACTGCATCCGGCCTGATAGAGTCCACTCTTAATGTCTGAGTGAACATGGAGGAAACCCTTGAGGATGGGGATTGGCTTTGCTCTCTGAAGACCATGACTCTGTTATCGACATGGATATTTCTGCATTTGTGTAATTACGTGTTGACAGTGACACCATGATGATGTTTTCACACTGTCAGTGTTCCAGTGGTGGGAAGAACCTGCCTGAGGACAGAAGGAAGACTCTGTGAGCAGAGTGGAGCTTGGAAAGCCAAGGCAGTGGAGCAGGGAGCCTTTCCACGGGCTTTCAGGCGTCCTCTTGGGTTCCTCCTGTTCACATCTGAGGCCTCTCATTCCATCTGCCCAGTGTGGTCAGGGCCCCTCCCCGGATATGCTTGTCCCTTGCAATCCCCAGCCTTAGCTTTGCTGATAGTTGAAGGGGCAGATGCATTAATAATGGAGAAAATTTGGATGTGACTCATACTGTAAGGGTGTTTGCATTCTAATAAGGACCCAGGAGACCTAAAGCCATGGTCCAAAGGATAGATGTCTGATGGTACAATTTAAAACATGTGGAGAAGTGTGCTTTACTTCTCTGTTTGTTGGGTTATATTTGGAATTTTGGTCTGTTCTTTTCCCTTGGATATGTTTATTGAAGTTTAATTTATATACAGTAAAAAACCCTCTTTAAAGTGTACAGTTAGGGTTTTGACAAATGTTTACAGTTGTGTAACCACGATGACCGCAGCCAATAGAGAAAACACTCCCACAATCTCCCAAATTTCCTCCTGCCTTTTGCAATAAATTCTCTCTTTCTACCCAAGACCCTGGAAACCACTGATCTGATATCTGTCCCTATAGTTTATCTCCTCTGGAATATTGTATTAATAGAATCATATGCTATGCAGGGTTTTATGTCTGGCCTTCCTCCAGTTAACAGAATCCTTTTAAAATTCCTCTGCAGGTATGGTAGACAGTAGTGTGTTGCTTCTAATAATTCCTGAGTCATATCCGATTATACTACTTTTGACAATTTGTTTATCCATTCACCATTGGATGAACATCTGGGTGTTTTCCGTTTGGGGCTATTATGAATAAGGTTAATATCAACATTCTTGTGTAGGTCTTAGTTTCTCTTGGGTAAATACCTGGAGTGGGTAAGTGGATATGGTTACTAAACATAAGAAAATGTCAAGCTGTTTTCTAAAATAGCTGCACCATTTTGTATTCCTATCAGAAATGTGTGAGAGTTCCAACAGCCAGCCTTTACCAGAACTTTAGTCATTCTAATACATATGTAATGATGTCTCATTGTGATTTCAATTGCATTTCCTTGATGACAAATGGTCTCAGATGTATAGATACATCCTCTTTGGTGAAGTGTCTGTTCAAATCTCTTCCTTCTTCCCTTTTTAAATCATAGTGTTTGTCTCATGATTGATTTGTAAGAGTTCCTTATAAATTCTGGTGCAAGTCTTCATTAGATATGTGTTTGGAAACATTTTCTCCCAATCGTTATCTTGCTTTTTTTATTTTTCTGAATAGCATCTTTCAAAGAGCAGTAGTTGTTAATTCTGATGAAGTCCAATGTACATCTATCCATTGACTTAGCATTTCTCTTATTTTTCTCAGCAAAATCTCTCCCCTAAAAGTTTGTACCAATAGGAGTGCCGATTTCCTCACTTCACTGGTGTTACTGGATTAATATCCAAAATTTTAAAATTTTGGCTGTTTAATAGGCAGAGAATCCAATCACATTATCTTACATGGAATTTGTTTTATGGTCGGTGAGATTGAACCTGTTCTATGGTTTTTGGCCTGTGGTCTTTCTCCTGTGAATTTCTTGTTCCTGCACCTTACCGGTTTTTCTATAGGGTCTCCAGTGTTTTTTCTTATTAATTTGAACAGAACTTCCAAAAAATCACTAAGTATTAATGATGATAAGGGATGAGTTTGGTCCCTGTTTTTAATGAAAACAACTTGTTTTTTTTTATTAAGTAGCTAATATTAAAGTTTCCAATATTAGATTTTGAAGAAATGTTGTTTTAAAACATAAAATGGGTACAGGTTGAGAATCTCTAATCTGAAAATTCAACAATCAAAACGCTCCCAGATGGTGAACTATTTGAGCACTGACATGATACCCAAAGAAAATGCATCACTGAAGCATTTTAAATGTTGGATTAGAGATGCTTAACCAGTGATTATAATGCAAATATTCCAAAATCTGAAAAAATCTAAAATCTGAAGCTCTGCTGGTCCCAAGCATTTCAGATAAGGGATATTTAACCTGAAATGCTCATCAAATATTCCCTTTGACTGTGTGTTGATATCACTGACACCTGTTTTTCTCCCTGATGCTCTTATATTTTCTAATGTTAAACCATCATATTTCTAGGATAATTGCAATATGATCATGATGAGAGATACTTTGCCTGTACTCATGAAATATATATTTGGCTTGGTAAAAATCAAGAATTTCTGTATGTCAACATACATCATGCATCACTAAAAAAGAAAAAGCCATATATCATCTCAATAAATAACAAAAAAGTTTTGACAAAATTCAACACCACTTCATGATTTTAAAAAAATTCTCAGAAAATTCTGAATAGAAAGCTCTGTCTTAATCTAATAAAGGCATCTGTGAAAAATCTACAGCTAACATCCTCCTTGGTGAAAGAGCACACACTTTTTCCCAGAGATCAGGACGAGAGCAAAAGTGATGCTTTCTGTTCAACATTGGACCTGAGATTGTAACCAGTGGTGTAAAGAAAGAAAAATTAGTAAAATTCATATATACTGATGGAAGAAATAAAACTGTTTATTCACATATGATGTGATTATCTACATAGGAAAACCAAAATAATCTACAAAAAGTGTACTAGGACTCGTATAGCAAACAAGGTCAGACTATAAACAATTGTGTTTCTGTATGCTGACAATGAACAGTTAGAAAGTGAAATTAAAAACAATACCTTTTGCAACAGCATCAAGAATCAGGGTTACACCTCACAAAATACATACAAGAGTAATATGTTACAACTACAAAACATAAAATAAGTTATATACAAAATAATAATGTAACAACACTTTCTGCCTATTAAACTGTTAAAATTAAAAAATAATATTCAATAATGTCAAAGAGACCAGAAAATTGGCACGGAGGTACCAACTTGGAAAATAAACTTCGTTCTGTGTATCAAGTGTCTTAAAATAATTTCCGCATGGAGAAGTCTAGAGTTATGTACAATTAGATTGGTATGTACAACAGAACTTTATAAAACTGAAATTGTGAATAACACGATTGCGGGGAATTGATTCTAGAAACCCCCATGGGTAGCAAAATTCCTGGATGCTCCAGTCCCGTCTATGAAATGGTGGTGTATTTGTGTATAACCTACACACATACCCCCGTGTAATTTAACGATCTCTAGATGACTTGTAATAGTGAATACAATGTAAATGCTATGTAAATAGTTGTCATACCACATTGTTTTTTCATTTATATTATTTTTAATTGTTGTTATATTCACTTTTTAAAAAATACTTTTGATCTTCTCTTGATTGACTCTGAGGATGCAGAGCCCATGGGTATGGAGGGCTGACTGTATGACATGATCATGAGGTGGTTAAGCCAGTGATGGCTCCCCAAAAGACGGATGTAGCATTTTGTTTTTCAAGAACATTGAAGAGGCAGCACCCCATTAGCATCACACATGACACACAACTGCGGAGACCCAGGGGACAGACATCAGAGGCAGCAGGCACAGTGTTCGAATTCTTGCTTCAATAGTTAACCAAGCTTTCCAAGCTCCACATTTTGGGTCTATGAAATAGGAGTAACAACACAGTATGCACAGGCTTAAATTTTATAGGCATCAAATTGCCCAGTAAGTATAAATACTCAGCTAACATTAGCTATCATTATTAACATGCTTTTAGTAGCAGGAAAACACTATCAGAAATGTGCTGGTTCTCAGCTGGCTGCCTCTTCGTGGCAAAGTAGGGGCAGAAAGGATTTCAATTTTATTCTCTGTACTTTTCCCTGTATTTCAAGTTTTCCTACAATGGTCATTTCTTATTTCCGTAATAAAAATTAGCTGTGCTAAAAACACATTTTAAAGATATTTAATGATGATAAGCTCATGATATAAGGTGAAAAAACACAGGAAACAGAATTGTATAAACACCATAAAATTTAATTTATATGTAAAAGTATAGATTATAGTGATTCTCCTGCCTCAGTCTCCCGAGTAGCTGGGATTACAGGTGCACGCCACTGCGCCCAGCTAATTTTTGTATTTTTAGTAGAGACAGGGCTTTGCCATGTTGGCCAGGCTTGTCTTGAAGTCCTGATGTTAGGTGATCCACCTGCCTGGGCCTCCCAAAGTGCTGGGATTACGGGTGTGAGCCACCGTGCTTGAACCCGGGAGGTGGAGGTTGCAGTGAGCCGAGATTGTGCCACTGCACTCCAGCCTGGGTGACAGAGTGAGACTCCGTCTCAAAAAAAAAAAAGTATAAATTATAAAGACTGAATGGAAATAGAATATGGCTGTCTCTGGGTAGTGAGAATAGATTTGAATTTTTTTCATACTTTTAGTTATTTAAAATTTTTTCTAAATGTCATGTTTTTATAATGAGAAGAGAACATTAAGGAAACTTAGAGTAATCAGTTCATTATAAATACAGTCCATCCTCATTATTGGTGGATTCCATATTTGTGAATTGGTGTATGCACTGACATTTTTAGCCCCCAGATTAGTACTCGTGGTGCTGACGTGGTCATTCACAAACAAGCGTGAAGCAGCAGAATGTGTGAGGCACCCATGTGCAGGTTCCCAGCTGAGCTGAAACAGGCAGTGCCCTGCCTTCCTGCTCCAGCTCAAGCTGTAAACAAGTGTCTTTTACGTTATCTGTTTAGTTTCACATTTTTGTGCTTTTTGTTGGTAATTCTGCTGTTTAATATGGCCCCAAGCTCAGTGCTGAGGCGCTGTCCATGTTCCCAAGTGCAGAAAGGCCATGATGTGCCTTACAGAAAACACGTGTGTCAGAGAAGCTTTGTACCATGCTGCTGTCTGTGAGTTCAGTGTTGATGAACCAGCAATATCCACCTATTCAATAAGGTGTCCTGGGACAGAAACACACACCAAACATGGTACGTATTGATCAGTTGATCAAAGTGTTGTGCCCAGAGGCTTGCAGAGGCTTGCAGGAACCTAACCTTGTTTTTACCGTAGGAGCGATGGTTTGGCAGCCTCTAGTTTAGCATTCACAGTGGCTTTACAGAGTGTAACAACCATGAGTAGTGAGACTCAGCTGCATGTGCGTTGGTTTAGTTCTGGTAAGTCACTGTGATGGGGACCCATGAGCTAGGGAAGAGTAATCAAGGACCTTTCCTTACGCAGTCTCCACTCTGACCCATGTGGCTAGGGCCAGTGGAAGACTTTATCCCGTGCCAGCCTCCTAGACCCAGCCTCTGCTGACCTCAGTTTTTGCTACCTGCTCACTGATCAGGCAGGGAAATTCTGCACCAGGCATCTTCTGTGTCATTGCCTGCATGACTAACTAGATAGTCAGTTTCCTTCTCCCATGTTTCTGGACTCTGCAGAGCCTCCTGGGGCCATGGCACAGTGTCTTCAGTTCCCCTGGTGACTCGGTGAGTATGGGCTGGCTGCCACCTGATGTCTGGACCTGGGTTGTGCGTCACCCACAAAGCCAGGCCTGCTGTGTGCCAGAAGGTCCCCATCTCCTGTCTTCCTCCCTGTAACTGCAGTGCTGGGTTGAAGTGGGTGGGCGGTGCTGCCTCCAGGCTTACAAAGGAATGTATGTGAACACTCGCACTTGGGAGTCTTGATGCAACAAGGTGAACTCCCTGCCAAACAGCTCCTGTAAAGCCTCCGAAAACTCATGCTTTTCATTCCTCATCTAGTGAAGACATTCAGAAACCACCACTGACAGTGAGATTAGATAGCAGGGGACCCTCCACATGGCCCCTGCTGCATCCCCTGGCCCCAGCATCTCACCTGAGTCCAGCCGAGGGGCTTTCACATGGGGACCCTCAGCTGCTACCAGGGTTGCACGTGTAGCTTCCCAATGGCCCCATTCTCACCTGCATGATGCAGGTAAGGGGGGCGATGGACGCTGTGAGACACACCTGCACCTTTACATTCAACAGTAGCCGCCATATACAGTTTTTGTAAGTGAAATTATTTTTTATTTATTTATTTTTTTTAGATGGAGTCTCGCTCTGTTGCCCAGGCTGGAGTGCAGTGGTACGATCTTGGCTCACTGCAACCTTCACCTCCTGGGTTCACGCCATTCTCCTGCCTCAGCCTCCCGAGTAGCTGGGAAGACAGGTGTCCACCATCATGCCTGGGTAATTTTTTTATTTTTAGCAGAGACAAGGTTTCACCATGTTGGCCAGGCTGGTCTCAAACTCCTGACCTTGTGATCCACCTGCCTCAGCCTCCCAAAGTGCTGGGATTACAGGTGTGAGCCACCGAGCCCGACCCAGTGAAATTATTATTTTTTATTATTATATTTTTTGAGATGGAGTCTCGCTCTGTGACCCAGGCTGGAGTGCAGTAGCACAAATTCAGCTCACTGCAGCCTCTGCCTCCTGGGTTCAGGCAATTCTCCTGCCTCAGCCTCCTGAGTAGCTGGGACTACAGGTGTGCAACGCCACACCTCGCTAATTTTTGTATTTTTAGTAAAAACAGGTTTTCACCATGTTGGCCAGGATGGTCTTGATTTCCTGACTTCATGATCCACCTACCCCGGCCTCCCAAAGTGCTGGGATTATAGACATGAGCCACCATGCCCTGCCCCCGTGAAATTATTTTAACAATATATTTCACCTAATCCAATATATTGTCCAAAACACCATTCAGTGGGCAATCAGTGTGGAGGTTAGGAATGAGACATGTGTGTTCCTCGAACCCCATGTGTACTCCACACCTGCCCCTGCCACTCATGGACTCAGAGGAGCCACATCCAGGCATTGCAACCACCGTGGCCTGTGGCCGCCACATGTGAAGGCAGCATGTGTGCTCCACGGACAGTTTTCTCTCAAGGAGCTCATGGAGCTCACTCCATACACAGTCACAGAATAATGGGAGACCAGGATGTCTCTGGGATCTGAGGCTGGGGTGGAAAATGCAGAGAGGGCAAAATGGTGAGCAAGACGGGGAGGCTTGAAAGACGGGACCGAGACCCAAGAGAGATGGAGAGCCCAGTCCTGCTCCGCTTAGAGAGAGGTTTTTATAGCTTTTTAAACAG
The DNA here is from genome assembly GCF_000001405.40 of Homo sapiens. NCBI lineage: Eukaryota > Metazoa > Chordata > Mammalia > Primates > Hominidae > Homo > Homo sapiens. The sequence goes on along the minus strand of NC_000007.14, from coordinate 156,333,265 downwards.
TGCCTGTCATTTACATCCCAGTGAAAGTGAAGGAGCTTAGAATGGACTTTGACGAAAGAAAGAAGGGAAGAGTTTAGCTCTTTGGGCTGGTGAGAAGGGAGCCGAGAGGAGAGGGAGAGAAAGCAAACCACGGCAGCCTGCTTCATCATTTCACCATCTCCCCTCTTGCCAGCAATGTGAGTCTGACTGCTTTGGTACAGGAAATAAAAAGGCCCAGTGGCTTTTACCAAAAATAGAATTATTTGTTCAGGAAAGCCTTGCATACGCACTGTACACCACAGATCATGGTCGAAGCCTCTGGCACAGAGGGAAAGCCATGAGAGCATATGTGTAGCCCCAGCCGCTGCAATGGAAATATCTATAAAATGAGACTTACTTCATAATATTTTGTAAGGATTCAACTAGTTAATTTATGTAAAGTGTTTAGAATGGTGCTTGGCACATAGTATCCACTTTGTGAGTGCAATTATTATTAGTATACTACCCACAGTGCATTACACTATACAATAGAGTAACTACTGTAATTATTTTATTTCTTTATTTATTTTTGAATTGGGATCCGATTATGTTGCCCAGGCTGGAATGCAGAGGTGCAATCATGGCTCACCGCAACTTCAAACTCCTGAACTCAAGCTATCCTCCCACCGCAGGCTCCTGAGTAGCTGGGAATACAGGCACACACTACTATGCCTGGCTAATATTTTACATTTTTGTAAAGATGGGATCTTGCTATGTCACCCAGGCAAGTCTTGAACTCCTGGCCTCAAGTGATCCTCCTGCCTTGGCCTCCCAAAGTGCTGGGATTACAGGCATGAGCCCCTGTGCTTGGCTGTCACTACTGTTTTCATGTGGAAAGTGTGTTTGTATCACTCCCTAGGTGATTTTTGAGCCTGTATAAAGTGCTCCTCCAGGACACTGGGTGCTGCAGTGGTCACCCAGCCAGGTAAGCTGTGGTTTCCATTCCTTAAGGACTCTCCTTCTAATCTAGTAGATGGGATACCTGCAGCCAAACAGCTACAAAGGATAATGGAGGGCAGCACCACGCCATGTGAGCTCTGAGAGCAACAGACATTGGGAAAGGGGTGAGCCTTCCTCCCCTCACTCCATGATCAGTCAGTGATCCCATGACCTGTTGTGATCCCATCAGTGATCCCATGACCTGTCAGTGATCCTGTGACCTCTCAGTGATCCTGTGACCTCTCAGTGATCCCACCAGTGATCCCATGACCTGTCAGTGATCCTGTGACCTGTCAGTGATCCCACCCATGATCTCATGATCTGTCAGTGATTCCCATGACCTGTTTGTCAGTGATCCCATAACCTGTCGTGATCCTGCCAGTGATCCCAGGATCTGTCAGTGATCCTGTGACCTCTCAGTGATCCCATTATCTGTCAGTGATCCCGTGACCTCTTAGTAATCCTACGACTTATCAGTCATCCCACCAGTGATCCCACGATCTGTCAGTGATCTCATGCCTAGTCTGCCAGTGATCCCATGACCCGCCCATCAGTGATCCCGTGATGTGCCTGTCAGTGATCCTGTGACCTGCCGTCAGTGTGCTGACTGTGGGCACTTGTCTCCCATGATGACTGCTGGTTCCAGTCTTGACTCTCGGCCACTTACCCGACACCTCTCACATACCTCAGTCATCCCACATTCAGCGTGTGCAAAGTAAACCCACGGTGCCCTCACCCCTCCCCGTCTTTCCTCCAGTTGCCCCTAACTCAGATAAATGGCAGTGTCTGCCCACCTTGCTCACAATGGAAGCCTGGGAACTAGCCTGGGCACCTTCCTTTCTCTCGCCCCCAAACAGAATCAGTCTCCAGGTCCTGTTCACCCACCTTTGACTGACATTTCTCCCAACTCTGACATTTCTCCCAGCTCTGACCTTGACTGGTCCGATTGGCTCCTTCCTGCTGGGACTCCTTTGAGACCTTTGCTATGGCTCTGCCCCCACACTCACTTCTCCACTGTGTGTCCAGAAGGGGAATGTGAGGTGCTTGCCTGGCTTTCTGCTGACTTAGGAGTGGTCTGGACTCTGTAGCCCGCACATGACATGGTGGGGCCTCCCCATCCTCAGCCTCGGCACCGTGCCTCCTGGCTCTGCACACTCTCTGCTCCGTTTTGATTGCCCTATGGCCTTGCCAACTCTGTGTTCCTCTGCTGTCCTTCTTAACTCAATTTCCAGAGAAGTCTGTTTCAGCTCTCTCACCACAGCCTCCACCTGGCCTCTTTCCCCTGCCGGCAGGGGTGAGGGTGCAGGCTTGAGGAGTCCCTCCACCTCAGCGACCCCTCTGCAGACCCCGTGCCTTCTTCTGGCTGGTTTTGTGCATCATTGCGGTGCTGGACTAAGAGGTCCCTTTCCAAAGTAAACCCCCCATCCCTGGATGGGGTGAGCTCCTCTCCATAGACTGAGAGCCTCTGACCTCCTCCCTTGGGGCACTTGCCCTCTTGGTAAGGAATTGCTCACCTGGGCAATTCTGTGATAAGCCTGTCCTTTCCTGAGGCTGAGTCCCGCAGGACAGGGACCGCCATCCACTGGGCCACAGCTGAGGTCTGGCATGCAATAGGTGCTCACGGAGCAGTCATCAGACAGCTCTTAGTTATGAAAAAGCGTATTGAAGCTGTAGGAGTGAGAGGGTCTGAAAGGGGACGTAGGGCTTGGGCTGGGACAGGGAGGATTTGGAAAATTGAGGAAGACTGTAGAGGAGGCGATGACGGGCGCACAGCCCTGCAGACCCTGCCCTGGAGGCCAGGCAGTGTGCATGGGAGAAGCATGGAAACAGCAATGGCTATTTTAGTCTGGGGTCATATTGAAGGTTCTTGAAAGTCAAAAGAGAAATCAGGTCATCTTGTGTTAGAAAATAAAATCAACAAAGAATTTTGAGTTGAGGGGATTTCTTTTTTGAAGCAGCGTCTGGCTTTGAGGTCTCCAAGTCAGTTTTCAAAATGCACCAGGAGAGCTCAGTTTACCTTCGGTGTCTCTTGTCACCTAGAATAGGGTCCAAGCACACTGTGACCCTCACAGAAGCTTCTCTTCCCACTAAGATACACGGTACACAGCTCATTGCTGCAGAAACATGAAATGTTCACTGTACGTTTACGTGACCAAACAAGCCAGCCTGTAAAATACTTTTTTAAAAGTCTAAATTCATATTTCTCTTAGTATTGGGATAAGATTAATTGAATGTTGTCTTCATAGGGAGTAAGTAGGCAGACACTGTAACTTCTACTGTTTTTTTCTTTACGTTAAGGAGAACTTAACCTTTGCATGCTTTTCTGCAATGGTGTAGGTGTGGGAATGAAGGGAATGGCTGTGCGTGGTCATCTCCGCATGTGACTTCCAGGGTCAGTTATGCATCTCTGGCCAGCCGGCAATTCGCTGGACTGCCCATAAGTTCATTTTCTCATCTCTCAGACAAAGACAACACTTGCCCTGTTACTGTTCCCATTGACAGGGTATTTGTTCCTAGTTGTTTTGAAATTTTCCCTCTTTTTTTCTGAGCAGAGGGTGGAAGGCTGGTTGAAATGTTGGAAGTTTGTGGAAAAGCTCTACAGATAATCCCACGGTTGGGGAGGCTTCACGTATATATTCCTGCACATTCAAACATGGCAGGAGTTTTAGGATGAGCTGAGCAGGCGTAAGACAACCTGGTTACCCTCACGGGAAAGATGTCCATTTCCCAGGCAATGTGCAGAAGCTGAGGCCCCCGCAGCTTCCTTGGCAGCATGCTGGATGGCAGAGAAATCTCTTTGAGCTGGAGGATCGTGAGGGAACACACTGAGCTCCAGGGGCTTGTGGGGCTCAGGGTTCAAATCGTGGCTCACTTGGCCTCAGGATATCTGTGTCAGCTGCCAGAGGTGGGAAAGTGTAATCAAGAATGAACCAGATGAAGGAATCACCCCTGTAGAGGGCCATGGAAAACAGCCCAAGGCTGCTCCCTTGTAAAGTTTGAGAGTGGCATTTGCTGAGAGGCAAGGTGGACATTGTCCCCTCCACAGGCTGGTACAGGTGCCAGCCACAAGCAGGATGGGAAGCCTGGGGCTGTGGGGCCCAGGGAGGGTGTGGAGAAGGGTCTGGGGTTCAGAAGACCCAGAAACTGTCATGATCCCTTGCACCAGAAGTGATGAGTTGGGACTTAGCATTTCAACAGCTTTGCTTATGAGAGGGACCCAGGGAAAATGACTGTTGTAATTTCATCACATCATTATTCCAGAGCTGTGCCTCCCACTATGCTGGTGAGATGTCCTTAGCACAGTTGCATCCAGAAACCATGTCTTGTGGATGTCTTGGAGCCAGCATCCCACAAACTCATATCGACTCTGGTCCCTGGAAATGTATGTCCATATTTGGTGCAGAAATGTGGAAACACACTTATGTATTTACTTTTGCTGCTATTTTGTTCACGTTGGTATTTGTTATCCTGGTAATTCTCCTTAATTTAAGAGCATGAAATACATAATAGGTGAGTTATAGGGGAAAATAATCACACTAAAACCCCAATTATACCAACAATAGAATCATTTGTTCTCATTGTCTCTGGCCAAGAAGAAGCAAGGAGCCACTGATATTCTTACTAATTATTTTAGACATTTAATAATGGGCTGACTCAGGAAGCCAACAAAAGTTTTCCCATAGGGTTTCAATATTCCCTGAAATTGTGTGGTGAACTGCAAGCAAGCATTTGGTTTAGAGAAACCGCCCGACTACAAAAGGCTTTTCTTTTAGTTGCTGTACTGTACCTTTAAAGACCTCAAGCAGCTCCCACGCCCATCAAAGGGTCTTCAACTCTTCCTTCAATTTGCTTTTTGCTTTCAAGACATTAAAGAACACTTTCAAGTCAAACTTATAGCAGGAGGGTGTGAAAAGGAGTCGCTAAAGTGCCATCCTTGCTAAGTTGACCAAAGGGATTGTGTGGAAAAGCTTCATGTTTTCCTATTCAGGCTGAAAGGAGTTGGGGGATCTTGCACAGAGTGAACTGTGGATCCCTCCCCGGACAGGACCAGCTTTCATCGGCGCAGCCCCTTCCCCCACCTCCCTTGTTTATGTTCTTCTCCAGTCCAGGGAGGGCCCTGAATTTTTCTTTAGCTTTTGTTTGCTAAAGGAAGGTTCAGGGCTTATGTAAAAATTGGCACCTCAGTCTAAAATAGTTTCTCCTGCCTGCAAGAGCGCAGGCCTCTGAGAGAGTGAGGTCAGCTTTTAGGCTTTGCTTTAATTGTTGCTCTTGTAATCCCAAGATGTTCAATGCTTTTTTTATTGCAGACATGGGCTGGGGAGACAAACCTTTTTACAAACTAAGTGCCCTGCTAAGCTTCTGAATGTTTTCATAAGACACCTCAGGGAATGTTGAGCTACTCGGGCTTTAGCCACTCTGGTTTTTGTGGAAATGTGGCTTTGTAAAGCCCCTGTCCCTGGCCGTGAGAGCTCATAGGCTAGTTGTAGGGGATTAGCTTCACAATAGAATGCAGTCAGTATGGGTGATCCCCAAGAACAGTGTCCTTGCTGAAAATCATGACCAACAGTTAAGAAATTAGTTCTAACATGGACATTCCAGTGAGCATGAATACCATGTCTAGACTTGCTTTCACTATTGGGCAATAGCCTGGCCAGCCAGCTCTGCAGGTAAGGCCAGTGCTGTGCATTGGAAATACAGATGGTGGCCTGACTTGAAAACCCGTAAGGTGTCACCAGTCCTAGGAAGGGAGTCAAGAATCTACCTACCAAAGAGAAGGGATTTGGGGTGCCAGGTTTTGAAGTAGATCTTGTGATTAAGGCAACAGCATGGCCTTGGGCACAAGTATGGTGATGGTATCCATTGGTATCTGATGGCACCTGTTGGTATCTAATGGTGTCTGTTGGTATCTGATGGTATCTGTTGGTATTTGATTGTGTCTGTTGGTATCTGATGGTGTCTGTCATTATCTGATGGTGTCTTTTGCTATCTCATGGCATATGTTGGTATCTGATGGTATATGTTGGTGTCTGTTGGTATCTGATAGTATCTGTTGGTATCTGTTTAATATCTGATAATATCTGTTGTTGTCTGCCAGTATCTGTTGTTGTCTGTTGGTATCTGATGGTGTCTGTCGGTATCTGATGGTATATGTTGGTATCTGATGGTGTCTGTTGGCATGTGTTTAATACCTGATAGTATCTGTTGTTGTCTGTCAGTATCTGATGGTATCTGTTGGTATCTGACAATATATATTGGTGTCTGTTGGTATCTGTTTAATATCTGATGATATCTGTTGTTGTCTGTTGGTATTTGATGGTATCTGTTGGTATCTGATGGTGTCTGTTGATATCTGATGGTGTCTGTTGTTATCTGTTAGTATTTCTTAGTGCCTGTCAGTAAGGGGCCCATGGAGCTGCCTGGTAGTTGGGGTACAGTATTATGCATGGGGGAGGAGCTGTGATTATGGACATCTCTGCGGAAGGTTCCTGAAGTTGCCCTTCTTTTGCAGTTTGATGCTTCATACTTCATGTAAACTGGCCCAAAGTGTCCAGTTTGATTGAAAGTTGCAGGTGGGAGCATTTAGCTGAACATGCAACCTAATTTTGCAGAAGGGGGAGCATTTTGTACAGGAAACATCAATGAGCTACAAACTGGACCAGCAGGTCAGGGTTCAAATGTTGGCTCTTCTACATTCTGGCTACTTGAACATGAAAAAAAACCCCATAACTTAGTGAATTTAATAAATGCTTTAGGGACACCCAATATATGTAAGCTATTTTGTTACCTGCTGAGAGTAACGACAATTGGTAAGGCAATATCTTCTCTCAGGAAATTCATAATCCAATAGGGGATACAAACTGCAAACAACTCCTCAGATGTTGGGAATTAGCATGATAGATACATGATTACAAAAACACACAATTACAGGGTGGAAGAGGCCTTAAAAAGGTCAAGGTTACAAAGCATTTGGGATATATGGAATAGGGAGTTATTAATTCTCTCTCTCTTTTTCTTTTTTTTTTTTTTAAGATAGGGTCTCCCTCTGTCGCCCAGGCTGGAGTGCAATGGTGGGATCTTGGTTCACTGCAACCTCCACCTCCCAGGTTCAAGTGATTCTCCTGTCTCAGCCTCCCGAGTAGCTGGGATTACAGGCGTGTACCACCACAACCAGCTAATTTTTTTATTTTTAGTAGTGACAGGGTTTCACCATGTTGGCCAGGCTGGCCTTGAACTCCTGACCTCAGGTGATCCACCACCTTGGCCTCCCAAGGTGCTGGGATTACAGGTGTGAGCCACCATGCCCAGCCAGGAGTTATTAATTCTGACTAAAGGTTTGGGGAGGGCTTCACAGAGGAGAATCCATCTGAATTGGACCTTAAAAGTGAATAGTTCAAAATAGCCCTGTTGCTGCAGTTTGGGGCAGTGGTGAGGGTGCTGGGAGTCTCACATCTGTATCTCCAGAGTGAAAGTACTGGTCTCAAAGCTCCAGGCTTTCCCTCAGCACATGTCTCTAAGTTGAGAGGAACTGACAAATGTTTTCTGATGTAAGGGCATCTGCAGTGTTCTGTTTATCACAAGACTTTTGGAAAATTTGGGGGGTAAATAAAATACTACTTTGTATTGGAAAACCTAACATTGGGAAGACTTTGCTTATGGAGATGAAGGCTCCCATTCAGTATCAGCAGCAGCATTCCTGGGTCTCACTCACCAGACTGCAAGTTCCCACAAAACCCTCGGAACACAGCATCTGTTTCAGATTGTGGGTCTATCATCCCTTGAATAACATGTCGCTATGTATAATCTATTTTACAATTTAAAACAAAACACACACACATATGTTTTGAAATTTAACTTGAAAATATAGTAACTTACTTTATACTGCAGGCCATTTGGACTCTGATTTTTGAGAGCTCACTAAATACATAGATCTGTAGACCAAGAAAGAGCCATTCCAAGGTTCTCAAAGTATTTTGATATGTCCACACAGAGGCCTCTGAATCTGATGACCTGAGTCCCAGCCTCCATCCCTATCTCCAAAATTGCATTTGATGATTATTAGCAGAAGAATTTGAATTTTTTTGTGTCATACCGAGAAGCTTATTTTTCTAGTTGCACATGAATTATTTCAGAGCTCTTGTCACCCAAGGCTCTGAAAATTATAACCAAGTTCAAAGAAGCTCACAAACATGTTCAAGAGCTTGGTAAAACAGAAACTTATTGTCACCTTACTTATTATTACAGGCCACTTTGTTTTATGGTGCATTGCTTTATTGTGCTTCACAGATACCATGTTTTTTACAAATTAAAGGTTTGTGGTGACCCATGCCAAGCAAGTCTATTGGCGCCATTTTTCCAACAGGCTGCGCTCACTTCACTTCTTCGTGTCACATTTCGGTAGTTCTCTCAATGTTTCAAACTCTTCCCTTGTCATTATATCTGTAATGGTGATCTCTGATGTTACTACTGTAATTGGTTTGAGGCACAGTGAACTGTGCCCATATAAGGTGGCAAACTTAATTGATAAACATTGTGTGTTCTGACTGCTCTGTGAACCAGCTGTTCCTCCCACTCTCTCCCTCTCCTTAGGCCTCCATATTCCCTGAGAGACAACAATATAGAAATTAGGCCAATTAATAAACCTACAATGGCCTCCTAAGGTGTTCAAGTGAAAAGAAGATTCGTTGTACATTTCCACTTTCAACCAAAAGCTAGAAATAATTAAGCCTAGTGGAGAAGGCAGGTCAAAAGCTGAGATAGGCTGAAAGCTAGGCCTCTGCACCAGTTAGCCAAGTTGTGAATGCAAAGGAAAAATTCTTGAAGAAAATTAAAAGTGCTACTCCAGTGAACACACAAATGATAAAGAAGAAAGTGAAACAACCTCATTGTCACTAGGGAGAAAGTTTGAGTGGTCTGGGTAAAAGATCAAACCAGCTACAACATTCCTTTAAGCCAAAGCTTTATACGGAGCAGGTCCTACCAGTCTTTAATTCTATGAAGGCTGAGAGCAGTGAGGAGACTGTAGAAGAAAAGTTTTAAACTAGCAGAGTTGGTTCATGAAGTTTAAGGAAAGAAGCCATCTTCATAACATAACAGTGCAAGGTGAAGCAGCAAGTGCTGATGGAGAAGCTGCAGCAAGTTCTCCAGAAGATCCAGCTAAGGCATTTGGTGAAGGAGGCTACACTAAACAACAGATTTTCAGTGTAGACAAAACAGCCTTCTAGTGGAAGAAGATGCCGTCTAGGAGTTTCTTAGCAAGAGAGGAGAAGTCAGTGTCTGGCTTCAAAGCTTCAAAAGACAGGCTGACTCTCTTGTGAGGGGCTAATGCAGCTGGTGGCTTGAAGTTGAAGCCAGTGCTCATTTACCATCTGAAAATCCTAGGGCCCTTAAGAATGATGTTAAATCTATTCTGCCTGTGCTCTGTAAATGAAATAACAAAGCCTGGGTGACAGCATATCTTTTTACAGGCTAGTTTACTGAATATTTTCACCCAGTGTTGAGATCTACTGCTCAGAAAAAGATTCCTTTCAAAGTGTTACTGCTCACTGGAAATGCACCTGGTCACCCAAGAGCTGTGATGCAGATGTACAAGCAGGTGAATGTTGTTTTCATGCCTGCTGACACCACATCTATTCTGCAGCCCATGGACTGAAGAGTAATTTTGATTTTCAAGTCTTATATTTTAGAAATACATTTCATAAGGGTCTAGCTGCCATGGGTAGTGAATCCTCTGATGGATCTGGGCAAACTAAATTGAAAATGTTCTGGAAAGGATTCACCATTCTAGATGCCATTTATTGAGAACATTTGTAATTCATGGGAGGAGGTCAAAATATCAACATGACCAGGGGTTTGGAAGAAGTTAACTCCCATCCTCATGAATGACTCAGAAGGATTCAAGAGTTCAGTGGAGAAGGGAACTGCAGATGTGGTGGGAACAGCAACAGAACTAGAATTAGAACTTGAGCCTGAAGATGGGACTGCATTGCTGTGATCTCTTGATAAAACTTGGATCGATGAGGAGTTGCTTCTTATGGGTGAGTAAAGAAAAGTGGTTTCTTGAGATGGGATTTACTCCTGGTGAAGTTGCTAAGAACATTGCAGAAATGACAACAAATAATTTAGAATATTACATAAACTTATTTGGTAAAGCAGTGGTAAGGTTTGAGAGCGTAGATTCCCATTTTAAAAGAAGATCTACTGTGGGTAAAATGTTATCAAGCAACATCACATGCTACGGAGAAAGCTTTTATGAAATAAAGAGTCAATCATATGACATACTTCATTGTTGTCCTCTTTAAGAAATTGCCACAGGCGCCCCAACCTTCAGCAACCCCCACACTGATCAGTTAGCAGCCTTTGACAGTGAGGCAGAACCCTACATCAGCAGGAAGTTTACAACTTGCTGAAAGCTCAGATGACTATTAGCATTTTTTAAGCAATAAAGTATTTTTAAGGTATGTACATTGTTTTTTAGACATAATGCTATTGTACAGTTTATTGGCTACTATAGTGTAAATATAATATTTATATGCACTGGGGAACCAAAAAAGTTGTGTGACTTGCTTTATTGAAATATTCCCTTTCATGCAGTGATCTGGAATGTAACTCACAATATCTGTGAGGTGTGCCTATAGATTTGAAAACCCAGCCATCTTCTATTAAGTCAGACATTAAAGAGATTTGTAAAAATATAAAACAATGCCACTCTCCTAAGAAATGTCTATTTTGCTTTGAAAAATGTAACTATTTTCCAAAACAGTATGTTGTTTAAAAAATATTTATAAATAGAATATTTATGTGAATTAAAAAATATATATGTGGCCGGGTGCGGTGGCTCATGCCTATAATCCTAGCACTCTGGGAGGCCAAGGTGGGTGGATCATGAGGTCTGGAGTTTGAGACCAGCTTGACCAACATGGTGAAACCCCGTCTCTACTAAAAATACAAAAATTAGCCAGGCATGGTGGCGCATGCCTGTAATCCCAGCTACTCAGGAGACTGAGGCAGGAGAATTGCTTGAACCCGGGAGGCAGAGGTTGCAGTGAGCCGAGATGGTGCCACTGCACTCCAACCTGGGCAACAGAGTGAGACTCCATCTCAAAGAAAAAAAAATTATACACACACACACACACACACACACACACACACACACACACACACACATATATATATACTCCAAATTGTTTTGATTTCTAATACAGTAAATCTTGACCTACATCACCCACATAAGCATAAACTCTTTGAAGTTCTTTGTAATTTTTAAGAATGAGAAGGGGCCCTGTGACCAAAAATGCTGGAGAAGCGTGCTTAGATAGCTGCTTATCTAGGGCATTGCCAGCTCATGTGGGCATGGGGGGTGCTGCCCACCACTGCAACTGCCCTGAGTGTGCCTGACTCCAAATTCCAGGTTCTTTCCAAATACTGTTTGGACCTTTCACTTTTAATGGGAGGTGTTTAAGGCATTGGAGTCAGCAAAGTGGAAATTCAACTGCTTGGGATCCAACCATGAAATTCTAGGAAACTAGCACTTCCTCTACCATTCCTTTCTCTCTTAACCACTTTCCAAACTCAACTAATCGTCTTCTGGTTTCCAAACTGCTCTGAGGGTTGCTGATAGAAGAAGCCAACCCAAATGCCCATCAATGATGGACTGGATAAAGAAAATGTAGCACAGATACACCATGGAATACTATGCAGCCATAAAAAAGGATGAGTCCATGTCCTTTGCAGGGACATGGATGAAGCTGAAAACCATCATTCTCAGCAAACTAACACAAGAACAGAAAACCAAAAACCACATGTTCTCACTCATAAGTGGGAGTTGAACAATGAGAACACATGGACACAGGGAGGGGAACATCACATACTGGGGCCTGTTGGGGGACGGGGGCAATGGGAGGGAGAGCATTAGGAGAAATATCTAATGTAGATGATGGGTTGATGGGTGCAGCAAAACACCATGGCATGTGTATACCTATGTAACAAACCTGCACGTTCTGCACATGTACCCCAGAACTTAAAGTATTAAAAAAAAAAAGAAGAAGAAGAAGCTAGGCACTTGTAATGGTATGATGAGGAGATGCTTGTCTACATCTTAGCTTAATGTTTAGAATGTGCCCAGGACTTCCTTCTGCCTGTCTGCCATTCCTCTTCGCTGTAGTATCTGTGGTTCAAGGAAAGAACAGCGTCCCTCTGCACCATATTTCTAATTCCCATGGATTTTGTCCTTTCAATGGTAACTGATGAAATATCAGGTAATAGGACAAAGTTTGCATTAAACAAAAAACCTCCCTTACTTTAGAAAACAATACTTGTGGGGTTTTCTCTTTGACTTAGACATGTACTTTGTTCCTGACACTTTTAAAAGGGTCTTCAAGATCAAAGATTTTTGTACAACACCTGTTCCAACATTATTTTCAATGGCTATTGACCCATTCTTTGAGATTTTTATTTTATGCAGGTGCTTTTTCTTTCAGTGAGATTATAGAATTAAAATGAACAAAAACTAAAGTCTGTGTGTTCATGGGGATCTATAGGTACACGCATACACAAGTACATAGCTTTTGATAGCACATTTCCAGAAATCTCAGCGTTAAGTCCTTGGCTGCTACCATGCTGAGTTATAAACGCTCTTTTGATAATCTTTTATTAACAGTAAACTGAATAACTGAGGGATTAATGCAAAAAAAGGGAAGCAAATACATTAAGAAATGTCTGCTTCACATGAAAAATACATCTGGGCATTGGTCACAGTCCCTATTTGAGTTTTCTTTTGCATATTGTCAAATAAAAAAAGCCAACCTTTAGAATCTTGATGCCCTTCAAGGGTCTTTAACTATAGAAACATCAAATAGGTTAGCTCCTGTACAACAGCGGAGTAAAGTCCACATGCCAATTCACCAATATATGGTGTAAATATCAATATCAAATAGCTAAATAATAACAGAAAATAAACTCACAAGATTTTCTCCAGAGACGAAGAGCCACATTCACTTACACATTTATGTCTAAGCTGGCCCTCTGGATAAATTTTTTTATGTTTAATAACTATTCTGTTCAGTTAAAACCAGGGCTTCTGAATCACTCACTTTCAGAAGCTGGTCTTTCAGACCCCTCAGCGGTCTCTGAGGCTGGCCCGGAAGACCTTAGGATTCTCCAGCTGCAGCCAAGGGCCTTGCCTAAGTGTCCAAGAGCTGCTGCACCGGGCCAGGCATGGTCCACACCTGCCTCATGTCGGGGCTCACCAGGTGCCAGTGAAGGCGTCGGGAAAGACAGGGCTGTCCTCCATCATAACTAGGAAATATGAGAAGTACTTACATAGCTTACAGTTCTTTTCTTTTCTGCTTTTGAGTCTCACTCTGTCACCCAGGCTGGAGTGCAGTGGTGCCATCTCGGCTCACTGCAACCTCTGCCTCCCGGGTTCATATGATGCTCCTGCCTCAGCCTCCGGAGTAGCTGGGACTACAGGTATGCCCCACCACGTCTGTCTAATTTTTGTATTTTTAGTAGAAGTAGCGTTTTGCCGTGTTGGCCAGGCTGGTCTCGAACTCCTGACCTCAGGTGATCCACCTGCCTCGGCCTCCCAAAGTGCTGGGATTACAGGCGTGAGCCACCGCGCCCGGCTCTACAGTACATGTCTTACTGCAGGAAGTGTTGCTCTGCTGTTCACCGTACCCTGAGCCGTCGAGCCATCTTCCCACGGCTGCTCCTCTGTGCAGGAATAGACGGCCCCTCCAGCCACGAAACCCTTATCACCCTGCTCTGTGCTCCCCAAACACTTCACAGAGTCAAATGGGAGCCCTTTTCCGTCCTGTGGGCCTGAGCTCTCATGATCATTGCTCTGACACTCAGTGTAGTCTGAAAAGCCCCGTACACCTTGTCTTCCCCAGCAGACTCAGTTTTCAGAGGCCAGAAACAGCATCTCTGTGCCTTGAGCTCGGCGCTGGTTTTGAAGGACGTAGGCTGTGTCAACACAAGTACACTGGAGCTGTGTTTACCTGAATTCCCTTCCCTGCTTGGTCCTGGGCTGTGAGGCCCAGAGACATTTTGTGTGATATTTAGCAGGTGTGGTGTTTTGGCGGCTTGTCATGATTCTAGACTCAGAAGGTAAGAGCGAGGGCAAAGGCTTCCCTGTGGCTCCCACATGGGTGCCTGCTGTTGGCTGACCGGGTGGGTGGGGCAGCCACTGGGCCCTCAGCAGCCTCCACTCCTGCCAGATGGAGCCGCCTTCAGTGTCCGTGTGTTTAGCTGGATGACGGAGGGAATCCGCTTCTCCTGCAGGAAGCCCGGTAAGGAAGCATGGGCCTTGCCAGGGGAGAAAGAGGATGCAGTTCCGGGCTGCCCTGGCGGGTCCAGCTCAGCCTCCGTGTCATGGTTGTGCCTGTTTTCCTCACTTCATTTTCATTTTCCCCTTCCTGGCTGTGTGCTCCATGGATTTCAGAGCCCAGCACCAGACACAGAAAGAAAGTCTTCACACACAGTGTCCAGCCCGCTCCCATCACTGCGTGAGGTTGAACCCCTGCAATGTGCTCTCCGAGTGGTTCTGCTTCTCTCCCCGTGATCGTGTGCCTATAGATCCCCGTGATCGTGTGCACTAGGCAGGAAGGGGCCTCATCTCCGGGTCCGTGTGCGCAAGTCAGGAAGGGGCTTCATCTCCAGGTCCGTGTGCGCAAGTCAGGAAGGGGCCTCATCTCCGGGTCAGGTACCGAGCCATCCGGAAGCTGTTCCCAGGCACTCAGTGAGGGAGCGCCGGAGCTGGGCTACTCGTGATTTGGAGCTCTTTACATTCTAGGGTGCACTTGATAAACTTTGTTTTAAACTACCCTCACCTTCTCAAGCTTCATGAGAACACACAGATTTTGCATTCTGGGTTTTACTGCAGCTGTTTATCCTACTATTGATTATTTTTAAATTTCTTCTCTTCCAAGCTTTGGCATTTTTTGGTTAAAGATCTCTCTCTTTCTCTGTCTCTCTCTCTCTCCTTTTCTCTCTCTCTTTTCTTTCCAATCCCCTTCTTGATAACTGTTATTTTTTCTGACTGCTTCCTGCTTATTTTATGTGTTTCTTGAGGTCTGGTGATCATATTTTACATATGGAAACTTCACATCTTTTATAAACATGAAACTCCACCACCAGAAGGGGATGCTTCGGTTCATCTCTGTCCATAAAGTTACAGGAGAACCAAGGAAAATAGGATGAGGTGTCACAAAACGTCATCCTCCTTTATAGTAGAGGGAAAAAGATAACACTACAGAAACAATCATCTTTTACTTTTGTTACTTTTTGCGAAAGCTTGTGTTTTCATATACTTTCTACCAATGAATGGCAATAGCAGGCAGAGGCTGTCTGCCTCATTTACCGGTGTAGATCTCCAGTGAATCAGAATGGCGATTGTCCTGGCACCCAAACTCCTCTTAGAGCTGGGGCTCAATCAAGGTCTGATTTTGAAGAAAAAATTCTGTCATTACTTAAATATTCAGGCTCACATAATCACGGTAGAAACCTCTGCCATTGTAATGGGACTTCGGTCTTTCAATATTTATTCACTAATCTTATTGAATAACCAAAGTTTTGTGGCATTCATAGTCTAGGCTTTACTACCATAAGATTCTTTGACTTGTTTTATTGACACTGATATATAGGGTTGAGGAATTGTGCATGGCCAGATAGTTTGCGGATGATGAGCTTGGGGGTAGAACCTGGGCCCTGAAACTTTACTCCGAGCTCTTCCCACAAGATCACTCTGCTCCTGTGGATAATATTTCCCTTTATTCTAAAGGCTTTCTGACAGACCCCATTCTGGAAGCCAAGCAATTAAAGTATACAAAAGCAAGAAAGTTTTTTATATCCATCAGAACCCAGGTAATGAAATGTACTATGTGACCACCAAACCTAATTATACCATGGCGCATATGTGTTTTTATAAAACACTATTTTTATATATTTTAAGTTTTTCTATAAGATCTTATAAATACATTATTTTTCATTTCATTATTATAGTAAATGTGATAGTGGAACACTATGTTTAAAGGCCAAATGCAGGAGTTTTCAAACATCCATGAATGAGAGTACCTTCGTGGAAGCCTGAGAGTTCAGTGGAGAGGTCCCAGCACCCATTTGGAGCAAAAAATCCAATAGCAGACACATTGAAGAGGGTAAGAAGAATAGTTTCATGTTACCCACATTACCTCTCCCTCAAAATGGCACTGCTTAGTGTCATAGGAGACCTCCTTGGCCTGTGATTTTTCCCAAGGGGAAACATGAGAATGTAGTGAGTGCCCAGATTCTCCACCTACCTGAGAGGCTCACGCCTTTCTCGCTATACCAGGACACTGAGGAGATTGGCATGGCTGAACAGTTTGGATGTAGCTGTGATCAAAGAAAGGGAGCAGGGGCTCACAGCATTTGGGTGCAGAACTCAACAATGGGTTCAGTTTCTACTAACAACTTTATGCACTTCACCAAGAGGTTTGCCCACAAACCATGTAGGATGGATCAACTGTGGACCCCCTCCCCCACCAAATAGCCCATGCATACTCCCCACACTCCATGCATTTCCTCTACACCCCCTATAGCTGGCAGTCTGTGCATAGCCCTGCAGACTGTGTGTCTTAGTCTCTGTAGATTGTGCACAAACACATGTAGATAGCTGGCTCAACTCTGCGAGACTGGAAGAAGGCACACAACTTTGAACAAGTCAGGACACTACACTAGGACAAATAAATGGAAGACACTCTGGACTTGACCTGGCTTTGGGGAATGAAGGGAAGGCTTATAATTATAAGACTCTGTCCACTCCCAAGAGTAAGCAAGGGGAGTGAAGTGGGCATATCTCCAGAAAAGATCTGAGAGACCCTCAAATCCCTCACTGAGCTGACTGCAGGTCTTTCTCTCTCAAAGCCAGTCAGTAAAGACTAGAAGAGGTGACCATGTCTTCAAATGCAAAGGGCCAGGTACAGTGGCTCATGCCTGTAAATCTAGCAGTTTGGGAGGCTGAGGCGGGTGGATCACCTGAGGTCAGGAGTTTGAGACCAGCCTGGCCAACATGGTGAAAACCCATCTCTCCTAAAAATACAAATATTAATGGGCATGGTGGCGGGCACCATAATCCCAGCCACTCGGGAGGCGGAGGCAGGAGAATTGCCTGAACCCAGGAGACGGAGGTTGCAGTGAGTCGAGATCATGCCATTGCACTCCACCTTGGTTACAGAGAGAGACCCCATCTCAAAACAAAACAAAATAAAACAACACAAAACAACAACAACAAATGCAAAGACAGCAATGCAGGACTTCAAGGAACATTAAAATCAAGGAAATATGACACCAACAAAGGAGCATACTTTTCCAGTAAGTAACCAACCCCAAAGAAATGGATACCTATGAATTGAATAACAAAAATTCAAAATAATTATTATAAGGAAGCTCAGTGAGCTACAAGAGATCATAGACAATTCAACAAAATCAGGGAAAAAATACATGAACAAAACAAGAAGTTCAACAAAGAGATAGAGGTTATAAAAAAGAACCAAACAGAAATTCTTTAGCTGAAGAGTAGAATGAATGAAATGAAAAATACAATAGAGTGCTTTAAAAGCAGACTTCTCAAGGAGAAGAAAGAATCTTTAAATTTCTAGATAGGTCATTTGAAATACTCAAAGGAGAGAAAAGAAACAAGAATGAAAAAGAATAAAGAAAGCCTGTGGATTTTATGGGACACTATTAATCAAACCAATATGTACATTATGGAAGTTCCAAAAAGAGAAAAGGGGAGGGGGAGGGGGGCATATAGCTTATTTAAAGAAATAATGGTTGAAAACTTTCCAAATCTTAGGAAAGATATGGGCATCCAGGTTCATGAAGCTTAAAGGTGTCCAAACAGGACCAACTCAAAGAAGATTGCACCAGGCCATATTCAAATTGTCAAAAGTCAAAGACAAAGAGAGAACTTTGGAAGCAGCAAGAGAAAAGAGGTTTATTACGTACAAGAGAAGTCCGTATAAGATGATCAGTGTATTACTTAGGAGAAACCTTGAAAGCCAGGAGAGAGTGAAATGGTATATTCAAAGTGCTGAGAAAAAAAAAACTATAAACCAAGAATATTTTATGTAGCAAAACTGTCCTTCAGAAATGAAGAAGAGATAAAGACTTTTCTAGACAAACAAAAACTGAGAGTGTTCATCACAACTAGTCCTGCCTTACAAGAAATGTTAAAGAGAGCTCTTTAAGTTAAAATGAAAGGATGCTAATTAATAACATGAAAACATACGAAAGTATAGGACTCATTGGTAAAGGTAAGTATATAGTTAAATTCAGAATATTCTATTACTGTAATGGTGGTACATAAAGATTTAACTCTAGTATAAGAGTTATAAGATAAAAATATTAAAAATAACTATATCCACAATAATTTATTAATGGATACACAATATAAAAATGTAAATTTATGATATCAATAACATAAAAGATGTGGTGAAGAAATAAAAGTGCAGTTTTGTATGTGCTTAAACTCTTAAAGCAGCTTAAAGTAGACTATTATAGCTATATTTTATGTAAGCCTCAGTGGTCACTAAGAAAAAAGGTATAGCAGATACACACAAAAGATAAAGAGAAATAAATCAAATTATATCACTACAAAAATTATCAATTACAAAAGAAGACAGCAAGAGGGGAAGAAAGGAATGAAGAACTACATTTGGAAAAAAATTCACAAAATGGCAATAGAAAGTCCTTATCTATGAATAATTACTTTAATTATAAATTGATCAAATTCTCTAATCAAAAGTCACAGAGTGGCTGAATTGATAGAAAAAAAAAACCAAAATCCAACTATATGGTACCTACGAGAGATTCACTTTAGCTTTAAGAACCTAAATAGGTTGAAGGTAAAGGAATAAAGAAATGATATTCCATGAATATGGGAGAAGGGCTGGCTATACTTATGTGAGACAAAATAGACTTTGAGTCAAAAACTGTCACAAGAGCCAAAGAAGTTCACTCTATCCTGATAAAGGGGTCAATTCATCAAGCGTATAGAGTAGTCCCCCTTATCCATGGGGGATGCCCCAAAACCATGGAGAGTAGTAAACCCTGTATTTATTATGTTTTTTCCTATACATACCTGCCTATGATAAAGTTTAATTTGTAAGTTAGGCACAGTAAGAGATTAACAACAATAATAATAAAACAGAACAATTATAACAATATACTGTAATAAAAGTTATGTGTATATGGTTTCTGTCTCTCAAAATATCTTATTGTACTGTACTGTGGGTAACAGAAACCACTGAAAGTGAAACCACTGATAAGGGGGGAATACTATATAACAATTGTAATGCACCCAACATTGGAGCACCTAAATACAGAAAGCAAATATTAACAGAAACAAATGAAGAAATAGACAATAATGCTATGATAGTAGGGACTTCAAAACCCCACTTTCAACAATGGATAGATTATCCAGACAGAAAGTCAATAAAGAAACAGCAATCTTGAACAACGCTGTGGACCAAATGAAACTAATGGACTATACATAACATTTAATGAAACAGTAGAATGCACATTCTTCTCAAGTGCACATGGAATATACTCCAGGATAGAGCATATGTTGGGTCATAAAACAAGTCTCAACAAATTTAAGAAGATTGAGATCATATCAAGTATCTTTCATAAGCACAGTGGTATAAAACTAAAAATCAAAGACAGGAAGAAAACTAGAAAATTAACAAGTATGTAAAAATCAAACAACATACTCCTGAGCAATGGATCAAAAAAGAAATAAAAATGGAAATTAAAAAATACCTTAAGACAAATGAAAATGGAAATACACATTCCAAAATTTGTGGGATGAAGCAGAAACAGTTTGAAAAGGGAAGTTTATAATGATAAATGTCTATGATAAGAAAAAAAGAAGGATCTCAAATAAACAACCTAACATTAGACCTCCAAGAACTAGAAAAAGAAGAACAAAATCAGCCCAAAGTTAGGAGAAAGAAGAAAACAAGAAAGATCAGGGCAGGAATAAATGAAATAGAGACTTGAAAAACAATAGAAAAAAATCAACAACATTAGTACTTGTGTTTTTTGTTTGTTTTTGTTCTTTTGTTTTTGTTTTTGAGATGGAGTCTCACTCTGTCACCCAGGCTGGAGTGCAGTGGCACAACCTCAGCTCACTGCAACCTCCGCCTCCCAGGTTCAAGTGATTCTCCTGCCTCAGCCTCCCAAGTAGCTGGGACTACAGGCGTGCATCACCAGGCCTGGCTAATTTTTTTTTCTTGTAGTTTTAGTAGAGACGGGATTTCACCATGTTGTCCAG
Organism: Homo sapiens; assembly: GCF_000001405.40. NCBI lineage: Eukaryota > Metazoa > Chordata > Mammalia > Primates > Hominidae > Homo > Homo sapiens. Next base: position 156,312,996 of record NC_000007.14, on the reverse strand, counting down.
GCTGGTCTCAAACTCCTGACCTCATGATCCGCCTGTCTTGGCCTCCCAAAGTGCTGTGATTACAGGCGTGAGCCACAGTGCCCGGCCAGTACTTGCTCTTTTTAAAAAGACAAACAAAATTGAAAAACCCTTAGCTAGACTAACCAAAAAAAGAAGATGATGCAAATAAACAAAATTATAAATGAAAGAGAAGGCATTATAACAGCTACCACAGAAATACAAAGGATCATAAGAGACTACTATGAACAATTACATGCCAACAAATTAGAGAATTTAGAAGAAATGAATAAATTCCTAGAAACATATGACTTACCAAGACTGAATCATGAAGAAATAGAAAATCTGAACAGGCCAATAACCAATAAAGAGATTGAATCAGTACTCCCAAACCTCCCAACAAAGAAAAATCCAGGTCTAGATGGCTTCATGGGTGACTTCTACAAAACATTTAAAGAAGAATTAACACCAGTCCGTCTCAAACTCTTCCAAAAAGTTGAAGAAGAGGAAATACTTCTAAACTCATTTTACAAAACCAGCAATATCCAAATACCAACGCCAGACAAGGGCACTAGAAAAAAAAATTAAAGGACAATATGCTTGATGAATATAGATTCAAAAACCCCCAACAAAAACTAGCAAACCAAATCCAACAATGCATTGAGAGTGTCATACCTCATGATCAAGAGGGATTTCTCCCTAGGATGTAAGAACGGTTCCGCACATGCGGGTCAATAAAGGTGATATGCCACATTTATAGAATAAAGGACAAAAATCATATAATCATCTCAATCAATGGAAAAAGGGATTTGACAAAATTTAATGCTCTTTTATTATAAAAACCCTCAACAAATCAGGTGTAGAAGACTATATCTCAACATAATAAAGGCCATGTATGACAAGCCCACAGCTAACATTACACTCATTAGTGAAAAGCTGAAAACTTTTCCTCTAAGATTAGGAACAAGATAAGGTTGTCCACTCTCACCACTTCTATTCAACATAATACTGGAGCAATTAGGCAAGAGGAAGAAATAAAAGCCACCCAAATTGCAAAGGCAGAAGTCAAATTTTCTCTGTTTGCAGATGATATGACCTTACATATAGAAAACCCTAAAGACTCCACCAAAAAACTGTAAGAGTTAATAAGTGAGATAAGCCAAGTTTAAGGATACAAAATTAACATACAAAAGTCAGTTACATTTCTAGACAATAACAATAAACTATCTGAAAACAATCTCATTTACAATAGCATCCAAAGGAATAAAATACTTAGGAATAAATTTAGCTAAGGAGGTGAAATATCTGTACACTGCAAATTATAAGACATTGAAGAAAGAAATACACAAATAAATAAAAATATATTCTTTGCTCACATATTGAATTAATGTTGTTAAATGTCCATTCTACCCAAAGGAATCTTAAGATTTAATGCAATCCCTATCAAAATTCCAATGACATTTTTCATAGAAATAGAAAAGCAATCCTAAAATTCATATGGAACCACAAAAGACTACAGATAGCCAAAGCAATCTTGAGCAAGAACAAAACTGAAGGCATCACACTTTCTGATTTTAAAATATTATCAATGGCAGTAATTAAAACAGCATGATGCTAGCATAAAAACAGTCATACAGACTAATGGAATAGAATAGAGAGCCCAGAAATAAATTCATGCACCTACAGTCAAGTAATCTTCAAAAAAGGTGCCAAGAACGCAGTGGTAAAGGATAGTGTTTTCAACAAACAGTCCTGGGAAAACTGAACAATCCCATGCAGAAATTAGATTTTTATCTCACACTTAATAAAATCAGCCCAAAAATGAATTAAAGGTGTAAAAGTAAGATGTGAAACTGTAAAACTACTAAAAGACAACATAGGGAAAAATCTCCTTGATTGGTCCAGGCAGTGTTTTTTAAAAATAGGACACCAGAAGCACAGATAACAAAAGCAAACATAGACGAGTCGGGTTGCATCAAACTGAAAAGCTTCTGCACAAGAAAGAGGATGATGAACAGAGTGAAGTGACAACCTATAGGCTGAGAGAAATTAATACGTGCAAACTGTTCATCTGACAAGGGGCTCATATTCAGAATAGATAAGGGACTCAGGTCAATAGCAAAACCCGAAGGAAAACAGAACCAAAAAATACAAAAAGTTGATTGGAAACTAGGCAAAGGACCTGAACAGACATTTCTCCAAACAAATGGACAACAGGTATATGAAAACATGCTCAGCATCACTAGTCATCAGAGAAATGCAAATCAAAGCCACAGTGAGCTATCCTCACATCTGTTAGGATGGCTATTATAAAAAGATGAAAGATAATAAATGTTGGTGAGGGTGTGGAGAAAAGGAAATCTTTGTACACTGTGGTGGGGGTGTACATTGGTACAGCCGTTATGGAAAACAGTATGGAGGTTCCTCAAAAAATGAAAAATAGAGTGACCATGTGATCCAGTAACCTCACTGGAGGGTATATACTGAAAGGAAATGACATCAGTGTGTCAAAGAGCTGTCTGTACTCCAGCGTTTACTGCAACACTATCCGCAGCAGCCAAGATGTGGAATCAATCTAAGTGTCATCAATGGATGAATGGATAAAGAGAATGTGGTATGTATACACAATGGAATACTATTTAGCCTTAAAAAAGAAGGAAATCCTGTCACATGCTGTAACACGGACGACTCTGGAGAACATGATGTTCAGGGAAATAAGCCAGACACAGAAAGACAAATACTGCGTGATCTCACTTATATGTGGAACCTACAGAGGCTGAACTCATAAAACCAGAGAGTAGAATGGTGGTGTCCAGGGGCTGAGCAGAGTGTGGGGGGTGGGGTGTGGAATGTGGATATTCAGGTAACAGGTACAAAGTTTCAGTTATGCAGGATGAATAACTTCTGGGACAGCATGGGACCACAGTTAGCAATGCTGCACTGCACACCTGACATTTGTTAGGCAAGTAGATCTTAACTGTTGTCACCAATGGAAAAAAAGGTAACTATGTGAGGGGATGGATGTATTAATTACCTTGATTGTGGTAATCATTTCACAATGTACAGGTATATCAAAACATCATATTATATATCTTAAATAGACACAATTTTTATTTGTCAAGTATGCCTCAATAAAATTGGAGAAAAAGTTCCATTTTCTATTTATTTATGTATTTATTTATTTATTGTTTTACTTTAAGTTCTGGGATACATATGCAGAACGTGCAGGTTTGTTACATAGGTATAAATGTGCCATGGTGGTTTGCTGCACCTATCAACCCGTCGTCTAGGTTTTAAGCCCCACATGCATTAGGTATTTGTCCTAATGCTCTCCCTCCCCTAGGCCCCCACCCCCTGACAGGCCCCGGTGTGTGATGTTCCCCTCCCTGTGTCCAAGTGTTCTCATTGCTCAGGGAGTTCTATTTTCAAATCCAGTCTAGCCGTGACAAATAAAAGAAGCAAATGGACAGGTGCTTTAGTTTCTCCCAGCAGTGCTAGCAGCTGAGGATGCCTGGAAAGGGCTCCCTCCATCGTCACACCAGCCCCGCATTCCCACTCTCTCCCGCCATGAAGCAGCAACAACGTTCCGTGAGAGATGGAATTTCTGTCCCATAACCGTGCCAGACTGTTCAGGAAGAGCCAAGGTCCTGTTATGTTTGCCATTTCAATTGGCTGATAGTAGAATAGATGTCATAGTTTCTCGGGATGTAATGAGAGATTTATCAAATTGTTCCAGCCGATTACAACAAACAGCTTCAGATTGAGAACGTTATTCAGTGCCAGTGGATTTCCAGGGAGTGAGTTAAGCGGCTCCTTCCTTTGGGGCTGGAGTCTTGGCTGCCGTCTCTGGCCCAGCAGCAGCTCAGAGCGGCTTGCTGGAGAGCTGCCTTCGTGCCCACTTAGTATTCCAGACACTGCTGCTGCTTCTCCTGAGTGATGCTTTCGACAACTAGAGAAGGTCCTTCAACACCATAGGATTATTTGGGAAATAGAATGCAAGTCTTAAGGCATTGTCACTGGTTTTGATACAATGGAATTTTAAATCTCTCCTTTGTAGATAAATATATTTTTTCCTTTGCTGCCAGAAAACATTTTAAGGCTTTCTGCCAAAGTCAGTACAGCTTAATCAATTAGCAAACACTGAGCACAGTCTACATGCAAAACATCAGTTGCCATTTGGGGAGCCGGAGAAGTAAAACAACAACATCTTACATTTGCAACATTGGCAATTGCAAAGCACCATCTTTCATTTAATTTGATCTTTCTATCAACTATTCATTTAGGTTTCTCGATGGCAGGATTTGTTTTAGATTTATCTTTTTATTCCTCCAGTCTCCCTGCCTAAAGTTAGTACTGAATATTTATTGAAGAAATGAATGAATGAATGCCCAATTTTAAGCAAAGTGAAATTTCCTCACCAGCCTAGAACAGTATTGCTGTGTGAAGATTCACGGGCAGGTCTCTAACCTCTACAAGTCACTGTTGAGATGGAGCAAATAATCTGAGGTAATAAAAGATGACACTCGCAGATGTCTGACCCCAGGCCAGTGGGGCAATGAGAAGGAATTCAGAGCAGGGAGCACTCAGCCTCCGTGGTCTTTCCTGCTACCTAGTTCTCCACCCACCCCCTTGCATTTTACAGACTTCCTCCAGGGACTCACAGCAAAAGGGTCTGCTCCCCGGAAGAGGAAAGCCTATTGTTCACTCTTTTCCTTATCATTTTTTTCCATAAGTGAATAAAATGTATTGGGAAAGGGACGGCCAGTTCCCTATCAGTCTTAGCCTGTTCCGTCTTTGTTTTCCTTGAGTTAGAACAAAATCGGAAATATGGATAGAACTTAGCAAAGAGAAATGGCTCTCCGAGGAACTGCCTTCCTCAAGTGTTATCAGAGGACTGTTTGGCATCCACTACGGCCTCATTACTTCTCAGGATTTGCCACTCTGTGTGCACTGACTTCACCCCCAGCACTGCATGGTGGGTGCAGGAAAGGGCACGTTGCTTCTCACAAGGGCAGGCAACAGAGAAAGTCCAAAAGAAAGCAGGAAGGGCATGAATAAGAACAAAGAGCGATGCTACAGAGAGGAAAAAAATGAGAGCACTTTGGAAAGGGGTAGCTTCAACTGGCTCCCGTATCCTCGATAACCACTCCTAATTTCACAGGCCTGACAGATAATCAAGGTCTCATTATACCCAGTGTCAGGGAGAGGGTAATATTTTCAGAGGGCAACTACTTAAAAAACAATTTCTGTCACACCGCCTGCCCATGCGTCAGGCACACTGCCTCCGCGTCTCGCTGCTGATTTGGAGATAAATTATGCTGATTGCTCCCGATATGAGGGGAATCCATCATCATTCCCCTTTGATTCATCTCGGCCACCCTGTAATTGCTCAGGGCCTGTCTCCGAGGAGCCGCCCCTTTCTCTGGGGTGCTAATGAGTCCCTCGGCCCCCTGCCTCCTCCGGCAGGCCCCTTGCTGAGCTGTGGTGGGGGTGCCGGGAGATCCTGGGACTCCCAAGACCAAACCCTCTGCCATGGAAGGATTTTCCTCTCCTGCCCGTGATTACCAGAGGCCAGCCTCTCTTCTGAAGTTCAGCGGATTCCACCTGCTGGTTATGGGTGGTCAACGCTACTGGACGGGGTCTGGGGAGGGCTCTATTGTTTTCAAAACCTTCTACTGTTAGTAGTTTTGAGATGAAGAACCACATCAAAACTTCTCCCTACCCTGTCTTCTATGTTTTCTTCCTTCAGCCCTGGAGTTTGGATTATGAAATACAAGAGGACATTTTCAGGTAATCCACGATTTCCTAGGCCTCAGAATCTTGCGGTTGGTAGCAGTATGTGCTTTGTTACAGTTTAGACACCTGAATCAGGATAGGGTTTTAGGACTTACAGGACACCATAGCTCAGCACAAATGTGCTCATTACTGAATATGTTTATTCGATCTCAAGAAAAGGGTAGGATAAAATAACAGGCATGAAAGCACTTTGAACAATGGAAAGTTCTAAATGAATGTATATTAGGGACCCTTAACGCTTAACCAGCAATTGGATGCAAAATGTCATGGGACTGTCCACGCAGGCGTTTGTCTGGAGAGTGGGCTTAGAGCTTTCATCAGATTCTCAAAGCCGTCTGTAACGAATGAATAAGTAACTAACGAACTAACTCAATAAATTGCTGCAAATCACAGATAATATGGCTTTGCTATTGTTTTGCTGGTTAGAAGCACTGTCGATTTTGTGAAAATTCAAATGCGGTTTGATGATTTTTTTCTTATTTTGCTGATGAGCTGGAGGCAAAACTAGGATTTGAATCTGGTTTCCCAGCTCTCTGTCCAGGCTATTATTGTGACAAGCCCTCCTCTCTGACCCTGGAGGGATGGGCTGCAGAACGGACTATGGGATCCTGTGTTGCTTCATGTGGTTCACTTCCCTGTTCATGTCCTTGTCCTGATTCCCACCAGGGACTGTGACTGTGGGATCCTGTGTTGCTTCATGCGGTTCCCTTCCCTGTTCATGTCCTTGTCCTGATTCCCACCAGGGACTGTGACTGTGGGATCCTGTGTTGCTTCATGTGGTTCCCTTCCCTGTTCATGTCCTTGTCCTGATTCCCACCAGGAACTGTGGGCACAGTCATGATCTCACACTGTCATCCTATTGTTTTCTCTGCAGCATTCAGTTTTACAGATGCCCCCCAGCTTACAGTGGGGCCCCATCCCAATATGCCAATTGCACTGAAAATACCAAAAGTCGAAACTGCATTTAATACACCTAACTTACAGGACACCATAGCTCAGCACAAGTGTGCTCAGGCACTTACATTAGCCTACAGTGGGGAAAAAGCAGCTAACACAAGTCCTTTTTTATAGTAAGAGTATGATACTGCATATCCGTAGCCCAGGAAAAGATCACCATGCAAAACTGGAATGATGGTGTCTACTGAATTGCTATTGCTTTCACCCCATTGTAAGGTTGAAAAATGAAAAAATTGTTAGTGGAGCCATCCTAAGTCAGGGACCATCAGGAGGACTTCCCTCAGCAGCTGCATCAGACTCAGCTCCCCTCGTTATCATGAGCTGTGGACAGAAATGCAATAACTCCATTGTAAAAAGGCTGTGGGACGCTGGAGATGCTGGAGGCCCCAGACCCCAAGCTTGCAGCAGGATGTGGGTGGTGGTGGAAATGCTGAGAGGACGAGAGATGCGCTCTGTGGCTCTGGGCAGAGCATGCACCCTGCAGCACTGTGCTGGCTGTCACAGTCCCTGGGGTGGGGAGGGGACAGTGGGGCCCAGCAGGACCATGTCCCGAGCAGGAATAGGTCCCAGAAGCCATTGGAGGCAACACCTGCAAATATGACAGAGACATCCAGGCAAGTCAGAGACATCTTGGAAGGGATTCAGGTTTAGCAGGTGGGGTAAGAACCGTGACGTGTGGGTTACACATTCTTTCGCGGATGCATGCCTGCATTTATTCCTGGCTCCTTGTGTTCATTTATTCACGGGATGATTAGTAAGTGCTTTTCCATTCGTCTTGCTTTCCTGCTGCACCCGGTCCTGAGGCCCCTCCACCTCCCTGCCCTTGTACCGTTTCCCTCTCTCTCCCATCCAAACCTGCTCTGAGCCAGGAATCAGAACTTTGGCCTGGCGTAGGTATTTAATACAAAGGACAGGTGCTCAGGTTCCAGACTGAATATACTCACTTTCCTCCTCTAACCTGGACAGGAAAAAGCAGGAGAGGATGCATTCTTGCTTCGAGGGGCCCTGAAACCATCACTTGGTGGGACACACGGCAGGGACTCCAAGGCGGGGATGGGGGACCTTGGATTCCAGGGAAAGGGAAGAGATGAGTCAGAAGAGAACCTGCCAGGAGGAAGATGCGAGACCCTGGATTTCACAAGAAGAGCTGCTGATTACACTTGATTGCGTGAAATTTATTTTGCCTTTTTAGTCTTGTGAGCTTGGAGAGAACGCCAAGGCTCCCCAGCCTCTCTGGTGGATTTGATCTTGCAATCTTCATTGTGAGATGAGACGCTCTAGAGGCGACTGGGCTGGGTTTTCCACTTCTTACCACAAAACAGGTATTGTTTATTGAGTGCTTACCCTGCGTTAGGCACTGCACCAAATGATTTGCAGAAATCATCTCATTCAGTGCCACCTTGAGCCACAAAGTCAACACCTTCCTCCCTGGTTCTTAGCATACACTGCTTTATTTTAGAGGGGTGTGCCTGTGTGTGTGTGCGTGTGTGTGTGTGTGTGTGTAGTATATGTGTCTCCTATTCCCCCTATTTGGTAGGTTTCTTAAGGATGAAGTCTGGTCTCCTTAATCACCTCTTTAAACTTCAATGGCCAGCAAAGACTCTTCCATATCGTAGGCCTCGAAAGCATTGCATATGTGGAATTAGGAAGAAAATCCGGAAGGGATGTCTGCAGATACAGAGCGAGAACGGCAGAATTGGTCTCGGTGGGGGTGCCCTGGTCCATAGGCCTGCAAGCCAGCCCTTTATTTTTTATGTGCCCTTGGTTTTGTGGGCTTAAGCCACCTTCTTGATGCTGTTCTTTCATTTAATAGAATGGCTCAAAGGTGAGCATTTTCTTTCAGAAATTGTGTATAAACCCTGCATGTTGAACTGGAATTGGAGGTATTAGTATGAACTCATAGTTTTAATATACTTAGGTAGGTCACCAGCTTGCTGGGGGAGCAGATACAGGTGAGTGTTCCTGTGTTTGTGTTTCTTACGTAGATTCCTGGCTTTGCTAAGAGGACCTGGAAGCTCAGACACCCTAAAGCAATGAGCATGCCACGTGCCCAGGCTTTGGTTTCTGAATCCCATTCTGCAATGAAAGGACAGAGCATTCTTTGGAGAAAAGGTTGATTTAAGGGCTGGGCTGGGCCAGGGAATGAGATGAGCCTGCAATAGGAAGTGCTCGAAGCATGGTGGGGATGCGTCAAAAAGATGCCACCGCCAGTTTGAATGACCTGTTGATGACAATTTGTTGTTGTAGATATCAAAATTGGAAAAATATACTATCACAATTTTTTAACAGTATCCTTGGGTTATAAGATTGATACACACAATAAACTCCACCCCTTAAAAGTGTACAATTTGCTGGGCATGGTGACTCACACCTGTAATCCTAGCACTTTGGGAGGCCAAGGTGGGTGGATCACTTCATGCCTGGAGTTCCAGACAGGGACCAACATGGTGAAACCCCATCTCTACTAAAAAAAATACAAAAATTAGCCGAGCGTGGTGGCAAGCACTTGTAATCCCAGCTACTTGGGATGCTGAGGCAGGAGAATCGCTTGAACCTGGGAGGCAGAGGTTGCAGTGAGTTGAGATCGCACCACTGCACTCCAGCCTGGGTGACAGAGCAAGACTCTGTCTCAAAAAAAAAAAAAAGTGTACAAGTTGACAAATGTAACATCTGTATATACCTGTGAAGCCGTCATCACAATGAAGACAATGGACACAGCCCCCGAACCTTCTTTATGCTGCTCTGTAAGGCCTGGTCCCTGCTCTTACCCCGACCATCCTGATCAGCTTCCTGTCACTAGAGATTCATTTACAATTTCTAGACATTTATGTAAATGGAAATATAAGGTGTATACATTCACTTTTTCTGACTTCTTTGCACAGCATAATTATTTTGAGATATTACTATACATATCAACAATTCATTCTTCTATTGCTAGTAGGATTCTACTGTATTATTATAATATAGCACAATTTGTTATTCCAGTCACCTGTTGGTGGGCATTTGGGCTGTTTACAGTTGTGGCTATTACAAATAAAGATGCTGTAAGCTATCATGGATAATTCTTTGTGTGGACATATGCTTTCAATTCTCTTGGGGAATACTTACGAATGGAATGGCTGGGTCATAAAATGGGTTGTAAAATGGGTGCATGTTTAACTTTTTAAAGAAACTGCCTGTTTCTAAAAGTACCGTAATAAAGTTAAAATGAGGTCTTAATTTCATATTCTTTTTTTTTTTTTTTTTTTTTGAGACAGTCTCACTCAGTCGCCCAGACTGGAGTGCAGCGGTGTGATCTCAGCTCACTGCAAGCTCTGCCTCCCGGGTTCAAGCCATTCTCCTACCTCAGCCTCCCGAGTAGCTGGGCCTACAGGCGCCCACCACCATGCCCAGCTAATTTTTTGTATTTTTAGTAGAGATGGGGTTTCACCGTGTTAGCCAGGATGGTCTCGATCTCCTGACCTTGCGATCTGCCCGTTTCGGCCTCCCAAAATGCTGGGATTACAGGCATGAGCCACTGCACCCGGCCCTTAATTTCATATTCTAAACAGAAGGTGGGAGAGTTCCAAGGGCATTGTGTCATTGCCAGTGCTTGGTATGACCAATGTCTCAGTTTCACACGGGCCATTCTTATAGGTGTCTAATCGCATTATGGTTTAAATTTGCATGTTTATAATGACTAATGATGTTGAGGATCTTTTTCAGGTGCTTATCTGCCACCTGTCTATCACTTTGATGAAGTGTTCATTCATACTTTTTATTAGATTGTTCTGTTATTATTGAGTTTTGAAAGTTCTGGATACTTTTTTTTAAAATCAGATATTATTTTCAATTTTTTTCCAGCCTGTGGCTTATATTTGCATTCTCCTAACAGTGTCTTCTGAAGAACAAGTTTTAAATGTTGAAGAAACCTAATTTATCAGTACATATGTTTACAAATTGTGCTTTTACAGAGTTGTTTGGCTATTTGAGATCCTTTGTATTCCATGTGAGTTGGAGAATCAGCTTTTTAAATTTCTTCAAAAAAAGAAAGCCAGCTAGGCTTTTGATTGGGAGTACATTGAGTCTGTAGATCACTTTGGGGAGAACCATTATCTCAACAATACTAAGTGTTCTGATCCATGAACATCTTGTAGCTGTCTATTTAATTCTGCTATTTTTTTTCTCTGCATGTTTTGTGGTTCTCAAGGTACAGTTTTTACACATTTCTCAAATTTATTTCTAAGAATTTCACTTTATATTTTGATCTATGGTAGGTGGTCTTACGTTTTTAACTTCAAATTCTGATTGTTTGTTGTTGGAATAGAGAAATACAAATGCTTTATGTATGTTGTATTAGCTTGCTAAGGCTTCTATAACAAAATACCACACAGGCTGAGTGGCTTAAACATTAGACGTTTATTTTCTCACCTCCCAGTTCTGGAGAAATCCAAGATTAAGATGACCTCAGGGTTGATTTCTTCTGAGCTCTTTCTTATTTTAGCTTAATTATCTCATTAAAGTTTTTATTTTTATATATGGTTACGTTCTGAGGTACTGAGATTAGGACTTCAACATATACATTTTAGGCTGACGCAATTCACTCCAAAACAATATCCGTCTCATATTCTGCAATCTCACTCAATTCACTTCCAGTAGTATCTTTATAGATTCCACAGGATTTCCTAGATAGATGGTCATGTCATCTCATAAGAAATGCTACTTAACTCCCAATTTTCCAACAGGATGTTAATTTATTTTTTTCTTTTCTTTCTTTCTTTTTTTTTTCTTATTGCACTGGCTAGAACCTCAAATGCAATGTTGAATAGAGGGATGAGAGCAGACATCCTTGTCTTGTTTCTGAATTTAGATGGAAATCACTCAGTCTCTTACCATTAGGTATGGGTCAGCTTTATCATTTTCATAAATGTCTTTTATCAGGCCGAGGAGATTCTTTTTCCTAGTTTGATGAGATTTTTAAAAATTATGAATGGATGTTGGATTTTGCCAAATGCCTTTTCTGCAAGACTATCGTATGGTTTGGTGTTTAGTGTGTTAATAAGTTGAATTACATGGATTGATTTTGAGTGCCAAAACAACTTTGCCTTCCTGAGATAAATTCCACTTGATTATTATGTTCATGAGGGATATTGACTGTGAGTTTTTAAATGTTATGTCTTTGATTGTAGTGTGAGAATAATGATGACTGAATTGAATGAGTTAAGAAGTATGTCCTTCTCTTCAATTTCCTGGAAGAGTTTGTATAGAGCTGTTATTGGTTTTCCTTAGATATTTGAGGAACTCAGATGTGAAGCCTTCTGGGCCTGAAGGTTTCATTGTGAAAAGTTTTTCAACTATGAATTGAATTTCTTTGATAAATTTTGGGGTATTCAATTTACCTGTTTCTTATTTAGTAAAATCTGATAGTGTCCTTCAAGAAATTTACCATTTCATCTAAGTTGTCCAATTTCTTGGTGCAAAGTTATTTATGATATTCTCTTATTGTACTTTTCATATCTGTAGGATCTCTAATGATGTCACATTTCTCATTCCTGATATTGGTGATTTGCATCTTCCTCCTCTCTCACTTCTAAAAATCAGTCTTTTATAAGTTACTGATGTTACTAATTTTCTCAAGGTATCATTTTTGGTTTCATTGATTTTCTCTATTATATTTCTATTTTCTACTTGTATTATTTTCCACTTTGATTTTTATTATTATTATTTCGGTTTCTGTTGGCTCTTTTTTTCTCTAGTTTCTTAAGAAGCTAAGATCATTGACTTGAGACCTGTCTATTTTTGAGTATAGATATTTTGTGCTATAAATTTCCCTATAAGTACTGCTTCAGTGGCATCCCATACTTTTTTTTAACATATTGAATTGTGTGTGTGTGCATTTTAGAGACAGCATCTTTCCCTATCGCCCAGGCTGGAGTGTAATGGTGTGATGATAGCTCATTGCAGCCTTGACTTGCTCAAGCAATCATCTTGCCTCAGTCTCAAGCCTACTCAAGCGATCCTCCTACTTCGGCCTCCTGAGTAGCTGGGACTACAGGTGCATGCTACCACATTGGCTAATTTTAAATTTTTTTGTAGAGACAGGGTCTCACTATGTTGCCCAGGCTGGTCTTGAACTCCTGGCTTCAAGCTATTCTCTTGACTTGGCCTCTCAATGCACTGGGATTAGAAGCATGAGCCACCACACCTGGCCAACATGTTGAATTTTTATTTTTTTTCAGTTCAAAATATTTTCTAATTCCTCTTTTGCTCTCTTTGCTGAAGATAAGTTTTTAAAAAAAATTTTTTTAGAGATGTTATTTAGTTCCTAAATATTTTAAGATTTTCCAAATATCTTTGTTATTAATTTCTAATTTCATTTTATTGTTATCAGAGAACATTGTGGTATGACTTGAATGCTTTTATAGTTATTTAGACTTGTTTTATAGCCCATAATGTAGTTTGTCTTGGAAAATGTTCCAAGTACTCTTGAAAACAATGTGTATTTTGCTGTTTTTAGATGGAGTTTTCAATAGAGATCCATTAAGTCATGTTGGTTGATAGTGTTGTTGAAATCTTTTATATCTTACCGACTTTCTGCTTACTTGAATTCTCGAGAGAGGGGTGTTGACATTTGGATCTATAAGTATGGGTTTTCTGTATCTCCTTTTTCTATTAGATTTTGCTTTATGTCTTTTGAGGTTCTGTTAATACATCCATAAACACTTAAAATTTCTGTGTCCTCTTAATGAATTCTTCTTTTATTATTTGGAAATGGCCATGTTTATCTCTGTATAACGGGCATTGTTTTACAGAGTCCCCATGGTTTCTGCCTCCTGGAGTTCATGCCCTGTGTGACGTTGCCATGACGGGGGCAGTACCTGTGACTTGGTTCTAACCAAAAGACTACAGCAAAGGTGACCACATGTGCATAATTATAAGTAAATAATACGTAATTTTGTTTCATAATTAAAGTGCCCCTCTTGCTTGCATCTCTCTTGCACTTCCTTTCTGACTGTGGAGGCAGGAAGCCATGCTTGGGAAGTCCTCATGACCAGACACCCAGCGAGGCATGCTGGACCCCGACCTGCAGAAATTGTGAGACAGCAAAAGTGTGATGCTAAGTGTGTGGCGATACTGTTACATAGCAATAGAAAGCTAGTAGACCTTATAATAGTCTTTGCTCTGAAATCTATTTTGTCTGATAGCTTTATTTTGATTAGCAATAGCATGGGAGATGTCTTTTTTTTTTAAATAAAAGTAGGTTCGTTATAAGTAAGATACATTTGGTCTTTCTTATTTTCTTTCAGTCAGACAATCTCTGCCTTTTACTTGGGAATGGTTAAAGTCTTTATATGTATTTTTTGTTTTTTATTGTCATATACATGACATAAAATTAATCACTTTTACCATTGAAGTGTACAGTTTAGTGGCATTAAGTATGTTCATAATGATGTGTAACCACTACCACTATCAATTTTCAGAATTTTTCTAATAATCTCGAATGGAAACTCTGTACCCAATAAACAATAACTCCCAATTCTACCCTCTCTCATTCCATCACACATAACCCCAGCCCGTGGTAACCACCATTCTACTTGCCTCATACAAATGAGATCATACAGTATTTGTCCTTTTGTGTTCAGGCTTATTTCACTTAGCAGAACATCCTGAAGGTTTATCCAGGTTGTTGCATGTGTCAGAATTCCCTTCCTTTTTAAGGCTGAAAAATCTATTGCACGGATATACTATATTTTGTTTATCTATTTATCTACTGATAGACGTTTGGGTTATTTCCAACCTTTGGCTATTGTGAATAATGCTGCTATAAACATTGGCATGCAAACATCTGCTTGAGTCCCTGCTTGCAATCCTTTTGGGGATATACCCAGAAGTGAAATTTATGGACCATAGGGTAATTCTATGTTCAACTTTTTGAGAAACTGTCCTACTGTTTTCTTCCAAGGCTGTACCATTTTACATTCCCACCAGCAATTTCAGTTTCTTCATATCTTTGCCAAGACTTATCTTCTGTTTTTTGATAGTACCCATCCTAATGAGTGTGGATCTCACTGTGGTTTTGATTTGTATTTCCCTAATGACTGGTGATGCTAAGAACCTTTTCATGTGCTTATTGGCCATTTGTATGTCTTTAAAGAAGTATCTTTTCAAGTTTTTAGACCATTTTTTAAATTGCTTTTTTCTGTTGTTGTTGTTGTTGGGGGTGGTGAGTTAAGATTCTTTATGTATTCTGGATATTAATCCCTTATCAGGTATATGATTCACAAATATTTTCTCCTACTCAGTGGATTGTCTTTTTAATGCCCTCAAAGTTTTCAATTTTTATGAAATCGAATTTAACTATTTCTCATAGCCAAGAAGTTATTGCCAAATCTAATATCATGAAAATTTTCTCCTCTTTTTTTCTAAGAGTTTTATAGTTTTAGTTCTTAGGTTCTGGTATTTGATCCATTTTGAGTTAATTTACCTACAGGGCATAAGGTAAGGGTTGAATTTCATTCTTCACATGTGAATATCCAGTTTTTCTGGTACCATTTGCTGAAGATTGCCCTTTCCTCATTAACTCGTCTTGCCATCTTGTCAAATATCAGTTGACCATATATGTGAGCATTGGTTTCTGGGTTCTCTATTCTATGCCATTGTAGACTGTTTATATTTAATGTAATTATTGCTATGGTAGGATTTAAGTCTATCATCTCGCTATTTGTTTTCTTTTGACTAATGTTCATTCTGTTTCTTTGTTCTTTCTTTTGCTCTTTTTATTTAGATTGATTTAGTATGTTTTGTAATTTTATTTTATCTCCTTTTTTGTCTTTTTAGTTATTACCCTTTGTTGTGTTATTTTAGTGATTTGTTTAGGGTTTATAGTATATGTCTTGAACTTATCAAAGTCTACTTGCAAATTATAATGTAGTACATATGTATAGTATTAGAACTTTTCAAGCATATATTTTCATTTTTCCCCTTCTAGACTGTATACTCTTACTGTCATTCATTTTCCTTCTACACATGGTATGAACTCCATAATACAACTGTCTTTTAATAGGATTCAAGTAATAAGAATTTTTTTATGTTTACCCATGTGGTAACCGTTTCTGATGCTCTTCATTTCTTTGTGTTGATCTAGGTTTTCAAGTTGTGTTGTTTTCCGTGCTGCTCAAAGAACTTCCATTCATACTCTCTGTAGTGTAAGTCTTCTGGTGATGAACTCTGCCCACTTTTGTGTGTCTGCAGAAGCGGGCTGTGTTTTAAATGCATATGGTTCTTTCATTTCCATCTTGTAGAAGTTGCCTCATTCCTTCGTTCATGATCATCTTCCTCCTCTTCTTCCTCTTTCTTCCACTTATAGACTCTCAGGATTGCCTCAGACCCACCCAGGTAATGCAGAAGAATGTCCAAGTTTAAGTTCATCTGATTAACAACCTTAATGCTGTCTGCTACCTTAATTCCCCTTTGCCATGAAGCCTAACATGTTCACAGGTCCCAGAATCTAGAATTCACAGTTTCTTGGACATGGGCTTCTCTAAGGAAGGGAAATGATTCTGTCTACCAGAGTGGAAATATGCTGCTCAGAGGTCAAGGAAAATAAACGCAGAGAAGTTCCACTAAATCCAGAATCAAGGTGGCCACTGGGGAACCTAACTTTATTAAAGGCAGGAGGCCAGTGAGAAATGGGATACAGAAACAGTGGAAGGTGACAAAGTGGAAAGATCAACTTTAGACTACTCTTTTGGGAAGTTTAGCAATGAGAGGAGACAATAGTTACCAAAAACTGTGTTGGCAATATTGAGAGACAGTGCGGTGAAGATAAAAGGAGTTTAGATTACAGGTCTAAGACTGGGATCTGCTCTGATTCAATGTCTGAATCTAGACAATTCTTTGAAGCACTGGGGGCCTCAGTTGTATATGGAGGGAAAGTGAAAATGCTGGCCTTATCTACAGAACTATTCTCGAGAAGCAAATGAGACAAGGGATGTGAAAGCGCTTTGTAAAGTGCAAAATTCCACATAGCATAAAATGTTATTTTTGGTGGGCTTGCCTGGCCTACTGTTTCCATGTTTAGGTACCTTGGGAGTTTCTAACACTTCGGCTCATACTCAATCCAAGCAAGGGTTCACTGCCAGCTGTTCCCCAATCTGTACTTCCAGCAAAACACCTTCAAATGTGCTTTCCTAAGGGAGGGCCAGAGTTACAAGAAAAAAAGTGTCTTTTACTAATATTTGGAAATCTTATCCTATATTGATTTCCTAATTATTCTTCATCTCATAGAAACCATTATGGTCTCCACTATCAAATAATCCAACTTTAGCTTCCTCTACAGTTAACACTGAGATCGTTCCAAGACTCACTTGGCCTGGAGCAAGACAGCACCATAGTTTCTTTATTCGGTTGCTGCAAAGTCCCACAATTATTAAACAAACCTTTTTTGTTCCTCTTAATAGAGCCACCAGTTGTAACTACTTTCCTTTCTTCATCTCTGAGTTATCTTGGTTGTCATGATTGGAAACTCCTATTGTTATTATTTACGTGAACAATGCTGAGAGACCTTCCCCTGCCCTGTGCCTCCCCCACCCTTAGGGAAACGAGAGTATTGAATGCCCAGCTTCTCATGTCCCCAAGGATCACTGTCGTCTGGGATACACGGTTGCCATGTTGTTCAAATCATTGCTCAGAGGATTCTTTCCAAATGGAATAATGAATGATCCAGGATTTATGATGTTTTTAAAATACAGTAGAGTGTTTTAGTTTCACATGGTAAATCATTAGATGTTTAGATGGGAATGCATTGTTGGGAGTTAGGCCTAAAATAAGTTCACAAAACATTCAACAAAATGGTGATTTTCATGAAATTTTTGTCTGGGACAGAGCTTGTCTGCTGGCTGCAGAAATGAGGGCTATGAGAAACAGGCTAACAAAAGAATCGCCGTAGCCAAAGCACACTTAAAACCCTTTCAAATGAGATTTGCCATTTACTTATGGTGACAGTAGGAATTCCAGAATTTTAGCCTTTTCCACCTAGTGCTTTTTATTTCTAAATATAGTTGTGTTGTGAAGTTGAAAAAAATGATCTTTGAGTTACAGTATACCTTGACTAAACTAATTATATTTCAGCATGGGTTCTCAGTTGCTCATCTTTGGGAAGAATTATAGGATTTTATTAAAAACACATTCTAATGTAATAAATACCTGATTAAAAAAACATTTAGAATGATGCATGTAATTCTATGGACCTAGAAAAGTGGGGAGATGAAGAGATTTGGAAGCACTGACAGTATTCTGCTGCAACTGGCTTCACCCCTTTAATCAGACCTTGACTGATACAAGATAAATAAAAGCAGAGGGATCACCTTTAGCCTTCTAAACATCCAATAGCAATTTCCTGACTTTATAGACTTGAGTGTCTAATCCATAAGCCATGCCAATGGTTTGACTTGTGGCAGAATTTCAGTGGGTGGGAAGTATAATATGTGGAATAATCTCCTCCCCTAGTAATTTCTTGGGCTTTAGGGAGCAGAGAACATAGAAAAAAAAGAGAAGATAAAATAAATGAGGGAGATATAATTGTCCCTCTCATTTTAAGAATTCTACCTAATTTCTACTTCCCATGGGTATAGAATAAGTAGTTTTTTCTCCTTATTTAAAAAAAGAATTAATTTGATTTTTCTAATTGGAACACTTTCTACCTGCTGATTACCAATTGGAGTCAGGATCATGAATAAAAGTTTTGAATTATAATTCAAGAGAATTATGTAGTTAAATAATTAAGTTATCAACAAGGAAAAAGAAAGTCTGGATGCTATGAAGAACAAATGGAGCTGCTGAGCCTTTCTCCCAAACCCAACCCTGCAGATGTAATGCGAGCTATGAGGTGATGAACAGTCGGAAATGTTCAACAGCAGACGTGAGCATGATCTCAAGCAGTCAAATGGTGGGAGGGTCCAGATGTGAGGGAACAAGGCTAGAGAGGGTCAGGGACAACAAATGGGGGATCAGCTTGGCCTGTCTTCCTAGTTGTGCTCTTTCTTCTTCTTTACCTTGCTCTGAATGGGTCATTTCCTGCAAAATATAATTGTATCAAGAAAACTACAGTGCCAGCCAGACAAATTTATTATCAGGACAGCAGCAGAAACTGGCTGGGGACCAAGCAGTCAACAGTAAAATGCCCTGGTGGCTGGCCCACCCTTAATGGTCTCTGCTACTCCTTTCCAATGCAAGAGTTAGGCACAACTGCTCCTGAAAAGAACGGGTGAAGTAATGCCTAAGGCGGACCTACTAGTAGACTTCTTAGGGGAAAACAAAGAATGGTGGAAACCATGCTGCGAAACTGGGACACCCTTCCCTGGGGTTGTCCTGTCCACCCACCTGGATAAGAACACAGTAAGCTCAACTCTCCACCTCTCCTCACTGTTAGACATCAATTGACAGCCCAGAGAATGAAATCGAGCCCAAAGGGAACATCACCTGCCATACAATAAACTCAAGCACTGTGAAAGACAACCAACAGAGCAGTCTAAGCCAGAGGAAGCAGATGTCGTGGAATAGACAGAATAATAACTGAAATTAGGAAGGTGCTCTTAGGGACTGAATATGTTTTGAGAGCTGAACGAGGATATTGGGAATGTGGAAAATGAACAACTAGCTATGAATAAATAACTTGTAGACTTATACTGTAGCCAAAATAAAGCAACAGGGATCAGATTTATCCTCCTGCCTGGGAAAACCAACGAAAGAAAGAAAGAAAGAAAGAAAGAAAGAGAGAGAGAGAGAGAGAAAGAAAGAAAGAAAGGAAGGAAGGAAGGAAGGAAGGAAGGAAGGAAGGAAAAAGAAAAGAAAAGAAAAAAAAGAAAAGAAAAGAAAAGAAAAGAAAAGAAACCCAATGGTTTTCAAGAAACTGGGCATCAGGCGATGAAGGACAGTGATTCCTGAGAGATGGGGGCTGAACTGTGGACCCCGTGACTGCTTGGGTATGCATCCTGGAGAGAGCTTCCCAGACACGGTACAGGAGGGGGAACTGAGGTGGATCCCAGAGGACTTGCCTGAGTTGAGAAAGAGCTAAGAGTCAGAGAGAAGAGGGTTACTAGAGTTCATAGGACAGAGAACCAGAGGAGAGAGCCACAAAGAGAGAAAACTCCAGAGATCTACAGGGGGTTTCCAACGAATATCCCACAGAGTATTGATCAACATAGGCATGTGACAAAATTATCTGGTCGCAGAGAAAGAACCCTGTAAAAGAATTAGAGAGAACAGTGTCCAGTCTTCAAATAGGTCTCAGGATAATACTGTTTTTTTCTGGAAATACTGTTTTTTTTCCAGCCAAATTGGAAAAAAATCATAGATCATGGGAAACTGGGTCGAGCATTCAGGGAGATCTTGCCTGAATACAGGGCGATAATTACCCTACATTGATCTCTACTCAAGAACCACTCAACAAATTGTAAAGCAAAAGCCAAAAGGCTCAAATTATTTACAAGTAACTAAACTACATCCCAGAATAAAGTTCAAGATTTTTAGAAAACAAAAATATCCAGCACACACCAATGTAAAAATGTGTGTTCTAACTATACAACAATGTAAAATTCAATATATGGTATTCAATCAAAATTACTAAGTCTACAAAGAGGCAAGATAATTACATGCATAACTACAAGAATAATCAATTAATCAAATGTAATCCAGAACTGACAAAATGTTAGCATAGTGGATAAAGACATTGAAGCAGTTATTATAACTACATGTTTTAAAAGAACATATATTCTATATGAGTATAGACGTTAATGATATAAAATTACTCAAATAGAATTTCTAGAGATGAAAAATGCAGTGTTTATGAGAAAAAATACACTAAAAAGGATTAATGGTAGATTAGACATTGTGAATGAAAGATTAATGAACTTAAAGGCAAAACAATAGAAACTATCCAAAAGGAAACACAGGAAGAAACAAGAATTTTTAGAAAATTAAAACAGCATTGGTGAGTTGTGGGGTATATTCAAGTAGCTTAATATATGGGTATTTAAAATACCCAAAGGGAAGCATAAAAATATTTGAAGAAATAACTACCAAAATATTTTAAACTTGGGGAAAACTATGAGCCCATAGATCCAAGAAGATCAATAAACCCTAGCATATTTTTAAAAATGATACTGAGGCACATTATATTTAAATTACTCAAAAGCTGTGATAAAGAGAAAATCTTAAGTGTAACCAAGAGAGAGACAGATGGATACACAGTCAGACACAGACATATTACATACAGAGGAATAAGAACCTAAATAAATGGAGTGTTATTATTTGTCTGTAGGTCAGAAGACTCAATATTTTTAAGATGCCACTCGCCCCCAAGTTTATCTATGGAGTCAGTGCAATCCCAATCAAAATGCCAGCAGATTTTTTAAAAAAGAAATTGAACTGAATTTAAAATGTATATGGAAATGCAAAAGATGTAGAATGGCATAAAACAAATCAACAACAACAACAAAAAACAAGACACAAAACACTTTGATGGAAAGAAACAAAATTGGAAGACTAACCCTATCTAATCTTAAGAATGATTATAAAGTTACAGTAATCAAAGCAGTGAGGAATTGGACTTGTGATAGAAGATGGATCAATTTCTGAGAACAGAGCATCCCAAAATAGACTCACACATATAAACCCACAGAAGACGGATCTTTGACAAATGTCAAAAGGCCATGCATTTTAGAAAGAATATTCTTTCAATAAATGGTGCTGGAATAATTGCATAGGCAAAAAAAAAAAAAAAAATGAAACACTTGAATCCATGTTTAACACTGTATACAATAATTGACTCAAAATTAATCATAGACAACGTAAAATTTAAAACTGTGAAACTTCTAAAAGAAATCCTTAGAGTAAATAATTGCGACATTGGGCTAGGCAAAGATTTCTTCAGTATGATACCAAAAAATAATCCATAAAAGAACAAATTGGTAAATTAGACTTTCTCAAAATTGAACACTTTTTAAAGACACTGTTAAGAGAATGATAAAAAACAAGCCATGGGCTGGGAGAAAAACTTTGCATCGCATATCTAATAAAAATACTTGTGTCCTTGATATGTAAAGAACTCTCAAATTCTGCAAGAAAATAAGCAACACAATTAAAAATGAGAGAAGATTTGAATACTTCACCAAAGAAGATGAAAAATAAGCACAGAAAAAGATGCTTAACACCATTAAGCATTAGGAAAATGCAAATTAAAATCATAATGAGATACTATATCTGATACCATATCTAGCAGGCTAGTTAAAAATAAAAAGACTGATCACACTAAGTGTTGGGAAGGATGTAAAGGAATTGGAACACTCATACACTGCTACTTGGGATTTTAAATGATGCAATGGAAAATAGTTTGGTAGTTTTTTAAAAAAAATGTTAAACATCCATCTACTGTCTTATTCAGCCATTCTACTTTTAGGTATTTGCCCAAGACAAAAGGAAGAAGGAAATATATTTTTATAAAAAGACTAGTGAATGAATGTTAATAAAAACTCTCTTCATAATAGCCAAAAATTAGAAACAACCCACATGCAGATCAACAGCTGAATGGACAAACACATTGTGGGGATCCTGCAATGGAATACCACTCAGCAAGAAAAGAAATGTATGACTGATACTCAAAACAAACGGATGGGCCGGGTGCGGTGGCCCAGCACTTTGGGAGGCTGAGGCAAGCAGATCACGAGGTCAGGAGATCAAGACCATCCTGGCTAACACGGTGAAACCCCGTCTCTACTAAAAAATACAAAAAATTAGCCGGGCATGGTGGCAGGTGCCTGTAGTCCCGGCTACTTGGGAGGCTGAGGCAGGAGAATGGCATGAACTGGGGAGGCAGAGCTTGCAGTGAGCTGAAATAGTGCCACTGCACTCCAGCCTGGGTGACAGAGCAAGACTCCGTCTCAAAAAAAAAAAAAAAAAAAAAAAAAAGGATGAAACTCAAAATAACCGCAGTCAAAAGAAGCCAGGCACAAAAGAGTAGATTGTATAACTCCATTTATGTAGCACTCTGAAAAGTGCAAAGTATTCTGTAGTGACAGAAAGCTCAACAATCCCACCTCCAGATATTCATGCTTTTGTGTAATCTCCTCATGTTGGATGTGGGCTGGACCTAGTGATTCCCTTTGAATGGATAGACTTCAGCACACGTGATGGGCTGTCTCTTAGGTTAGGTTAGGTTACCTAAAGACCGTGGCTTCTGTCTTGGGCTCTGTCTCTCACTCACTTGCCTGCTCACTTGCTCTGAGGGGACCATGCTGCCATGTTGTGAACAACCTTAGGGAAAGGCCCACGTGACAAGGAACTGATGTCTCTGTCACAGCTACATGAAGGAGCTGGGAATCAAATCATCATCGCAAGATGACTAGAGCACCAGCTGACACCTTGACTGCAGTCTTATTAGATAGTATACCTGCAGTACTCAAGAAAGCTATGATTGCATTTCTCATCCTTAGATACTGTGAGACAAAAAATGTTGGTTGTTTTAATTTGCTAAACTTTGGGATAAATTGTCACACAGCAATAGATAACAAATACACTATGCAAGGTGTGAATATTGATACGAGGAATGTTATGCTTCTCATTTTGTACAGGGGAAGCCCTTAAAGATATAGATGTTGTGCTTTAGACATTAATAAGAGGAATAAGCTGATATTAGGTCTTAACAATGTGTAGAGAGCAGTAACAAAAATAAAATAAATAACTTTCAAACCAGTAGAATGAATGTCTATACTCAAGGCAAGACAGAAAAAGAAAACAAAAAATAAAATTTATAAGTTAAAAATGTGCAATAAGATAAAACAAATTGCCTAATATTATAGTATTTGAATAAATATAAATGGTTTAAAATCATTGCTCAAAAGAAAAGAGACTCTCAGATTCTAAAACCAACAAAGGAGACTCAGAAATATGTCATTAGCAAGATTTATATTTAAAAGGATCCAGGAAGGCTGAAAATACAGCAAAGGGAAATAATATACCACACAAATGTGAAACTAAGGGAAGGCAAAGTAGTAACTTTAATTTTGTGTAAAGTATAATTTTGTGAAAAATGTAAAAATATAAAAAAGTAGATGTGTTTTGCTTGGGACAAATAAGTGAAGGGGCAGAGAGAGGCAGAATGTGTTTGGGAAAAATCCTTACTCATTAAAATAAAAGGAATGAAGAAAAGGCAATCCTTTCATAAATCACAAACTGAGTGAATTGGAGGAAAATAGATAAATGAACAAAGTTTATTGGATTTATTAGTACATCTCTTTCAGAAAGTAATGGACAAGCAAACATGAAATAAGCAAACATGGCTACTTCCAGTAATGGTGCACCAGGTAATTCAGACCAAAGCATATGCTGAGAACAACTGGAAGACCACACACACACACACACACACACACACACACACACACACACACACACCCTCTCTCTCACACACTCCTTGAAGAATCTGGAGAGTTAATGAGCTGGTGAAGAAGTCCTGCAGCAGGGCCTGGGGGACAATTGAGAGGAGCAGGTAACCCAGCATGAAGGCAACTTCAATCCCTGGGAAATTCTCTGATTCAGAAGGGAGCAGCTAGAGGCTGACTAGGGGAAGGGTAGAGAGCTGACAGCTCTGTAGGGGTGGAGGCCCTGAAAGCCTACTCTTTAGGAGTGATCTAGCAAAGACTAATCAATTTCAAGTTAATTTTTGTGTATTGTGTGAAGTAAGGTTTGAAGTTTGTTTGTTTGTTTGTTTGTTTGTTTATTTTGAGATTCACTCTTGCTCTGTTGCCCAGGTTGGAGTGCAGTGGTGTGATCTCAGCTCATTGCAACTTCTGCCTTGCGGGTTCAAGTGATTATCCTGCCTCAGCCTCCCAAGTAGCTGTGATTGCCGGCATGCACCAACTCGCTTGGCTAATTTTTGTATTTTTAGTAGAGATGGGGTTTCACCGTGTTGGTCAGGCTGGTCTTGAACTCCTGACCTTGTGATCTGCCTGCCTTGGCCTCCCAAACTGCTGGCATTACAGGCTTGAGCCACCATGCCTGGCCTATTTATTTATTTTTTTTGCATGTGGATATCTGGCATCATTTATTGAAAAGATGATTCTTGTTCCCATTGAGTTTTCTTGGAAGTTTTGTGTAAAATCAATTGACGATATTTGTGTGGGTGTATTTCTGACTCTATACTGTCCCATTGCTTTTTGTGTCTATGTTTATGCCAAAAATATATTATGTTGTTTTCTATAGATTACTAAGTCTTGAAATCAGGTAATTTAAATGCTTCATCTTAGTTTACTTTCAAAACTATTTTGGCTATTCTAAATCCTTTGTAGATCTATATAAATTTTAGAACCAACATGTTAATTTCCATGTACAAGAGATTTGTACTGGTATTCCATTGAAGCTATAGATCAATTTGGTGAGAAATGACATCTGAGCAATTCTGAGTCTTCTGATACACAAATATGATGTATCTTTCAATTTACTTAGATTAAAAATTTTCTCTTAGCAACATTTTACAGTTGTCAGCGTTCGTGTCATATATGTATATACACACACACACACATATATATACATATGCGTACATGTATCCATAAGCATTTAATCTTTTTGTTGCCATTATAGTGGTTTTAATTTCCCATTGTTCATCACTGGTGATTGTGTCTTTGTATCCTGAAAACTTGCTTATCTCACTTATTCATTTAGAACCTTTTTGGGGGAGTTAATTTTTTAAGATGTCCTACCTAGACAATCATGTCATCTTCAAACAAATATAGTTCTTCCTATTCTTTTCCAAATAGTATGCATTTTATTTTTTTGTCTTGCAGAAATGCTTTGGTTAGGTCTTCAAATACAACACTGAGTAACAATGGCAAGGGTGGTCATCCTGCACATGTTCTCAATCAGGGAGAAAGACTTTCATTTTTTACTATTAAGATTGGTGTTAATCAATCTTAACAATCTGGTGTATTAGTCAATCTGGTATATTTTTGGCATAATGCTGCATGTTTTTCTAAAATTATTGTTTTAAATTCATCCCATGAATTTCAATATATTGTGTTTTCACTTTCATTCAGTTCAAACTATTTTCTCATTCCCTCTATTCATTGTTTTTTATGTTTTTATTTTTTTTCAACTTTTACCTTAGATTCAGGGGGTACATGTTACCTAGGTATACTGTGTGATGCTAAGATTTGGGGTACAAATGATCTAGTCACCCAGATACTGAGTATAGTATCTGACAGTTAGTTTGTCAATCCTTGTCCCCCTTCTTCACTCCTCCCTCTCGTAGTCCCCAGTGTCCATTTTTACCATCTTTATGTCCATGAGTACTTAGTTTTTACCTCCCAGTTACAAGTGAGAATGTGGTATTTGGTTTTTCTGTTTTGGGATTAATTTGCTTAGGATAATGGCCCCCAATTGCATCCATGTTGCTGCAAAGGACATGACTTCATTCTTTTTTTATGGCTGCATATTAATTCTTTTTGATACATACATTATTTAGATGTATGTTGTTAAATTTCTAAATATTTCCGTATGTCCCCAAATCTTTCTGTTAATATTTTATGTTAATTATTTTGCGGTCAGAGGGAACACTTTATTGCAATCCTCTTAAATTTTATGAGGCTTGTTTAGAAGACTTGAACATGGTCTATTTGGTGACTATTCCATATGCCCTTGAAAAGAATGTTCTTCTATTTTGGGTGGAGGGTTCTATAAACGTCAGTTAGGTCAAAATGCTTGACAGGGTTGTTTAAATCTTCTCTATCCTTACTGGTTTTATGTTTACTTGTCCTTGTCTGCTCTGGCTGCTATAACAAATTACCATAGACTACCATAGACTGGACAGCTTAAACAACAGCAATTTATTTTTCACAGTTCTGGAGGCTGGGAAGTACAAGATCAAGATACCAGCAGATTTGGTTCCTGATGAGGGCTCTCTTCCTGGTGTGCAGACGGCTGTCTTCTTGCTGTGTCCTCACATAGAAGAGAGAGAGCTGTAGTCCCTTTCTCTTCTTATAAGGACACTAATCCCATCTAAACCTCTTCCAAACCTAATCACTTCTCAAAGGCCCCACCTTCTAAAGCCATCACGTGGGGGTGAGGGTTCCAACATATGAATTTGGCAGGGGGAAGGGCACAAGCATTCAGTATGTCACTCTTGTTCTGTCAAATAGAGAGAAAGTAAGGCTGAAATTTTCAACTACAATTGTGAAGTTGTACATTTATCTTTTAATTGTTTCACCTTTTGTCGCATTTCGTTAAGTGTCGTTATTAGGTGTGTGCCTATTTAGGATTTTTTTATCCTTTTGGTTACCAATTTGTCATTTTGAAATATTTCCCTTTAGCCCTGGTCATACTTTTTGTTCTAAAATCAGCTTTGCCTGCTATTAATAGAACATCTCAAGCTGTACACGTGTGTGTGTGTGTGTGTGTGTGTGTGTGTTTGCATGGTACCTTTTTCCATATTTTTTTTGTATTTAAAGTGGATTTCTTGTAGACAGCATAATGATGGGTCTTGCTTTTTTATATTCAACTTGACACCATCTATCTTTCAGCATTTATTGACATGCTTGGGTTAAATTTACCATCTTGGTTTTGTTTTGTTTGTCCTACCTGATCTTTGTTACCTTTTTTCCACTTCACATATAGTGTAAGGACCTTATGAGGCTTTCCTTCTGTAAATTCCTGCTCTCTGTTGTATAATGCTGGCATACATTTTTACTTCTACATATGCTACAAACCCCGCAATTTAGTGTTATTGTTTTTGTTCTTAATAGTCAATTCTCTGTATTTCTGCTGTAGTAAGGTGTAACTAGTGTATAAAAACTCTGCATATTTAGGCCGGGGGCAGTGGCTCACACCTATAATCCCAGCACTTTGGGAGGCCGAGGCGGGTGGATCACGAGGTCAGGAGATTGAGACCATCCTGGCTAACCTGGTGAAACCCCATCTCTACTAAAAATGCAAAAAAATTAGCTGGTCACGGTGGCGGGTGCCTGTAGTCCCAGCTACTTGGGAGGCTGAGGCAGGAGAATGGTGTGACCCAGGAGGCAGAGCTTGCAGTGAGCCAAAATAGCACCACTGCAATCCGGCCTGGGAGCGAGACTCTGTCTCAAAAAAAAAAAAAAAATAAAAAACTATGCATTCTGGCCTGGGAGCAAGACTCTGTCTCAAAAAAAACAAACAAAAAAAAAAACAAAAAAAAAAACTATGCATATTTAAACTATGTGGTTTTGATAGGTTTGAATCATGTATAAGACTATAAAACCATCACCATGACCAAGACAATGAAGATGGTCCACGCTCCAGAGTTCCTTATGCCCCTTTGCAATTCACTTCTCTCTACCCTAATCCCATTCCAAGGCAATCACTGGTCAGCTTTCTGTCACCATAGTTTAGTTTGCATTTTAAAGTATTTATTTAAATGGAATTAGCCACAATGAGTTCTTTTTGGTTTAGCTTCCTATACTCAGCTTAATTATTTTAAGAGTCAACCTTGTTGTTATGTATGTTAAGGATTTATTGGTGAGTAATATTCCTTTGTATTGATGAATAGTATTCCATTGTGGATAGAAAGCGTTTGTTTATCCACTTATCTGTTGATTAACATTTGAGTTGTTTCCAGTTTTGGCGTGCTGCAGATAAAGCTGTTGTGAACATTTGTGTGCAAATTTTCCTGTGAAAATATGCATTTATTACTATTGAGTAAAATAGAAGGATGATTGGGTTATATGGTAAGTGTATGTTTAAACTTCTAGGAAATAAACAAACAAAAGACAAACTATAGGAAACAACAGCTTTTATTATTCTAGATATCAAGCAACAAAGAACACAGATCCCTGAGAAATGGGAAATAAACAGGGTAAGTCCTACAAGTAAACTCACAAACAGCCTTATAAGAGTTTCCAGGTCAGGACACAGATGCAGGAAAGTCATACAGAACTCAGAAGACACCCTGATTTGAAGAGATGAAGCTAAAAATTTTAGAAGACCAAGGCTACTAGAGTTCATATTACAGAGTACCAAAGAGGAGATGGCTGCATAGAGAGAGAAGTGTGAAAATCTACTGAGGCCCTCCTCAATTATTTATATAAGTTTTGATCAGCATAAACATATGAGGAAAATACCAAAGGCTAGCACAAAAATGACCCAAAATGATTAGAGGGAACAATGTCTTGTGCTCACACTAAGTTGCAAAAAGTGCCTGTTTTTTCCCAGCCAGATTGGAAAATCTTATGACTCATGGGGCAATGGGTAGAATAGTCAGAAGGATCTTGCCTCAGTGAAGAACAGTTAGCCCCAGACTAAGCACTGTCTTGGTCCCACTTAACAAATATTAAAAGCAAGATGCAGAAGAATCAAACTGTCTCCAACTAACTTAGCTGTGTTCCAAGATAAAGATCAAGAATATATCTAGAAATATTAAAATACCTACTACGAAACAAGGTAAAATTCACAATAGTTGACATCCAATAGAAAGTTACCAGGCATACAAAGAAGCAAGAAAATATAATACATAAGGAGAAGAAAAGTCAATCAATTGGAAATTGACTGATTACTGACACAGGTATTGTAATTAACCAACAAAGACATTAAAGCAGTTATTATGACTGTATTCATATGCTCAAAAAGTTAAGTAGAAATAGTAAAGATATGAAAGAAGACCAGAAGTAACTATGTAGAGATTTTGAAAATACAGTGTCTGAGATAAAAAATACTTGGAAGGGATTAATAGCAGATTAGATACTGCAGAAAAGAATAGGCAACCTGAAGACATAGCAATAGGAACTATAAAAAAATAAAATACAGAGAAAGAAGGATCTTAGAAAATGAACAGAACATCAATGAACTGTTGTTGAACAGCTTGAACCACTTCAATCACACACACACACACACACACACACACACACACACACACACAAACACACACCCCCCAAAGGGAAGAAAGGATGGAACAGAAAACATATTTGAAGAAATAATGACAAAAACTTTCCAAATTTGATTAAAACTCTGAGCCTACACATCCAAGAAGTTTGGCAAATCCCAAGCACAAGAATATAAAGAAACTATACAGAAGCACATCATAATCTAATTTCTCAAATTCAATTAGAAAAATCAATCAATAAATAAATTCAATTAGCATCATAAATTTTGCAAAAACAAAGTAATGCAAAATTATAAAGCAGTGAGCGGAAAAATGCAGGTTATATAGCAAGGAAAAAATATGGGAATGGCAGATGACTTCTTGTTGAAGACAGTGCAACTGAGAAGACAGTGGAATGGCGTCATTAAAATACTAAAAGAAAAACTTGTTAACTTAAAATTATATATCTTGTGAAAATATCTTTCTAAACCAAAGATAAAAATAAATACTTTTTTAGACATACAAAAATGACAATGTATGTTGAGTTTGATAATGTGTGTAAGAGAAAATATAGATGACAATGATATCACAAAGGTTGAGAGGAGAGAAATGGAAGCATATTATTTTAAGCTTCTTATTTCATAGGCTACATGGTATGAATAACTTGAAGGTATACTGTGATAAGTTAAAGGTGTATATTATAAACCCAAATCCACCCCCCCACCCACAAAATCCCCCCAAAACAATTTAACAACTAATCCAACAAAGAAAATAAAAGGATTACTAAAAAAGACTCAATCCAAAAGAAGGGAAAAAGTAACATGAAACAGGTGATCTAAATATAAAACACTTAAGATGGTATGAATATATTCATATTCCCTAATATATCACTTGTCATGTTAAACATTAATGAACTAAACACTTCAATTAAAGGCAGAATTTCTCAATGGGTTAAAAAATAAAATAGCAGCCAACTATATGTTGCCTACAAGTGACATATTTACATATAAGGAGACAGAATGGTTAAAAGTAAAGAGATGGGTAAAGATATATTTTTCAAATACTAACCCTGTAAGTTCCAAGTGGTGCACTGATGTGTCCTGTGTTGCCATAGCCAACTCAGGATTACATGGAATATTTAAAAAATTGTAAGAAAACATATCAAATCCGTTGTATGCCACACAAACCATAAGCTTTCGGAAGTTTGTAGTTTCAGTGTTAGATTTCTTTTGATGATGTTGTGTCATTGCGAAGTTGATCTTTCATTAGTTGCTGTAATAAAAGAGCAAATACTGTGGAAAAGTTCTTGTGGTCCCATAAACAAAGGGGTGGTGTCTGATCTGATTCCAAGTTCTGAGAAGTTGTACAGTGCCCAATAAGTGCCAAGTTCTTAGGACAGAAATATTTATCAGTTGTTTGGACCTGTTTGATAAAACTATTGGGTTTTATTTTTGTCTTGGGCCCTCCTGACGGAATTACTGAGACACTACGGGTGCCATGAACAGGGAACATTTGGGAACCTGTAAACTAAATTTCTAAAAGTGGTATTGTTCCAGTAATATTAAAATAGAGATTAATTTCAGAAGTGTTACTAGAGATAAACAGGAATGCTTCAAAATTAAAAAAAGGCTGAAGTCACACAGAAGATATAACAATTCTAACAGCCTCAAATTCTAGTAAGCACAAACTGACATGGAGATTACATGGAGTCAAAGAGCCAAAGTCATAATCATAATGGACATTTAAAAAACATGTCTCTCTTAATTATCTGATAAAATGACTTAATAAATTTTAAAAAGACTTGTGTTTGTTGTAAAATCAATGCTATGGTTTGAATGTTGGTGTTCTCTCCCAAATTCGTGTTGAAACTTAATCCCAAAGGTAACAGAATTGAAAGGTGTGGCCTCTAGAAGGTGACTAAGTCATGACGTCTTCACCCTCATGAATGGGATTAGGTGCCCTTCTAAAAGGGCTTGGCAGAGAAATTCAGGTCTTTTCACCCATTCTGTCCCTTCTGCCATGTGAGGACACAGCGTTCCTCCCTCCAGAGGACACAGCAGCAGGGCACTGTCACAGCAGAGAGCAGCCCTCATCAGACACTGCACCTGCTGGGGCCTTGATCTTGTACTTCTCAGACTCCAGCACTGTGAGAAATACATTTCTGTTCCTTATGAATTACCCAGTCTCAGGTATTTTGTCATGGCAGCACAAATGGACTAAGATAATCAATAAAGATTAAACATGTCAACAGTGAGAAAACTATCTTACGGATATATTTTTAAACACTGCAACCAATAGTAACTGCAGAGTACAAGTTATTTTCAAACACATGCAAAAGATTTATAAAAGTTGATGTATTATGGCCACAAAGCAAGCACATATCAAAAGATTTCAATAAACTAAAATAAAAGAGGGTATATTTTGAACATAATTTACTTAAACTGAATACCAGTAATAATAGGACAACTAAGAAACAAGAACAAAGACAAAAAGATTCCTCTGAGAACTAAGACATAAACTTTTAAATAATCTATGGGTGCAAAGAAAAGTGATGGTGGAAATTAGACAATACACTGAACCAAATGATAATAAAAATGTAATATATCAACACCTGTAGGGTTCAGTTAAAGTTTCAGTTTCTTACTTAGAAGAAAATGTATGGGTTTATGTGCACTTTAAAAAAAGAAAAAAGCATAAAATCAGTGTGTTAAGAATCTATCTTAATCAATTAGATGACAACAGCAAATTAAACTCAAGGAAAATAGAATGATTAAAAAACACAAATTAATAAGCTTAAAAATGTGCAAGAGAGAGGATCAAAAAGGTGCATAATTTGGATCTTTGTAAAGACTGAGAAAATTAGTAAACTTTGGGAAAGATTAACTAGAGGAAAGAGAAAAGAAGTAGTTAACCAGTGTCTAGAATGAAGGATTCACCTCTCTAGATCTTTTAGACATTAACAACAAAATAAATGTGTTTTTTTCTTTTTTCTTTTTTTTCTTTTTTTTTTTGAGACGGTGTCTCCCTCTGTCGCCCAAGCTAAAGCGCAGTGGCATGATCTTGGCTCGCTGCAATCTCTGGCTCCCGGGTTCAAGCGATTCTCCTGCTTCAGCCTCCTGAGTAGCTGAGACTACAGGCATGCACCACCACACCCGGCTAATTTTTTTGTATTTTTAGTAGAGACGGGGTTTCACCATGTTGGCCAGGCTGGTCTCGAACTCCTCACCTCAAATGATCCACCCACCTTGGCCTCCCTAAGTACTGGGATTACAGGCATGAGCAGAAGTGTTTTTAAGAACCACTTTATGTCAGTAAATTGTAAAACTAGATGAAATGAAACTAAAACTTATCAAAAATTGACCCCAAAAGAAATATAAGAATAATTCTATGAGTATTAAAGAAATTTAATTAAGAAAAAATTTAAAAATTTTTCCTCAGAGAAACTGCTTGGATGGTTACTTAGGCTGGTAAATTCTACCAGATACTTAAGGAGAGAATAATGTCACTATGGCACCAGCTCCTCTAAGGAGCAGGAAAACTGGGAACACTTCCCACTTTCTAGTAGCGTGACCTTGAGCGAATTACTTATCTTTATGTGTCTCCATTTCCTCATTTGTAAAATAGGATAATAATAATTACCCTATTGGGTCGTTATGAAGAGTAAATGACTTAATAGTTGACAGTTCCTGGCACATGGTAAGCCTGTATAAATTTTGTTAAACAAATTAAATTGTCATAATAACAACAAGATCGATCCACTAATATTTCTCAGTTCTGCCTGTGTCCCAGGGGCCATGGCAGAGCATTTTATATACAGTACTTAGTTCCTGCTAAGGTAAGTATTGTAAGGCAAATTGAGATCAGAAACTGGCTTAGACACTGTATTTTCATTTCTCAGCTTGGGGCTCCCTGAACCCACCCCACTTAATTTGTAAAGCTGAACCTCCCACAAACATAGGAAGACAAGTCTATGATTCAGCATCCTTGGGGGGAGTAAATTTTACTCTTCAAAGCCATGTCAGAGAAATCTTCTTACTCCCCTTCACCAGCAGGTGTGTCCTCGTCTGTACATTCCCGGAATGTGTTGCCTTTGAGCTGATCCTCCAGTTGGCCGACCCCCAAGACCCTTCTCCTTTTAGTCCCTACACTGTCCGTGGAGGGCTACACTATGACCATGGCACAAGGAACCTCCTGCCCACTGGTTGGGCTCTGGTTGGGTTTAGCCAGTGGAAGCCCTGGGCAGGAGATCAGAGGGCAAGAGGAAGAAGAACTCATAGCCCGTCTTGCCCTACCCATCCATGCCCCAGTGGCATTGTTTGGCCAAGGACTATGAACCCTGTCCACTGCGTTTTCTGCTGGATGGGTGGCCTCCTCCTGTGGCTCCAACTCGGACTGAGGTCTCCTCTGCTCAGGGGCTTCCCACAGTTGCCAGCCCCTCAACCCTTCCCATTCCTCTGTTCGTAACTTCCTCCTTGAATTTACAGTAAAATCCTAGCCAGGGAAGGATCCTGATGGACATGCTCAGCCTTGTGTGGGTGTCCCCTTTATTCGGAGCGCAGTGCCTCTTCCAGCCCCAGCATCAGAGGTGGCTTCACACACTGCCTTTCAGCCCCTCTTTGCTTGGTTCCCTGAAGATTTCTTACTTTCCCATTAGTTCAGCTACGGATTAAAAGGACCTGTGCTTCATTTCATCCAGAATTTCCAGATGTCTTAGGTTAAAGTTTTATCAGGAGATCTAGTCCACCATATTATTGAAAATCAAATGGAGTCTAGTGAATTACAAATATTGTAATGGTAGAACAATTCTGTTCAAACAAAATCCTATACAGATTCTTAACATACAAAGTAGGGAAAAGTATGATGTCTCTGTTGCAATACAAGTGGCTTTGCCTCAATTTTTCTGTCTCTCCCTATTTTCCTAATGATGAAGTTGTGGTGAAATTATGACTAGAACTCCATGAAGCTCAGTTTGAAACCCAGTTGTCTACCTCAATTCCTTTTTTTATTAACATATATAATAAGTTATTTGCCTTCAAATACTCTGTTGGTGTACTCAAGGTTCTCCAGAGAGATAGATAGAACTAATAAGATAGATGGATAGGTAGATAGATGATAGGTAGACAGATGATAGGTGATAGATAGATGTATGATTGATAGATATATATGATTGATATATATATATCACATATATAGATATAATCACATATATAGATACATGATTGATAGATATATATGATTGATAGGTGAATGAAAGGGGATTTCTTAGGGGAATTGGCTCAAGTGATTATGAAGCTTGAGGGGTCCCACAACAGGCTGTCTGTAAGCTGGAGACCCTGGGGTGCTGGTAGCCTGGCCCAATCCAGGTCTTGAAGCCTCAGAACCAGGGAAGCTGAGAATGTAATTCTCAGTGCAAGACTAAAGGCCTGTGAACCTGGGGGGCCACTGGGGCAAGTCCTGGGGTCCAAAGGCCGGCTGCCTGGGGTTGTTGTCCAAGGACAGGAGAAGAGGGTATCCCAGCTCAGCAGGCAGATCAACACATTTGCCTTTTCTCTGTTGTTCCCCCCAGGACCCCAGCAGATTGGATGGTGCCCACCCAAACCAAGGGCAGATCTTTCCCACCCTGTCCACTCAGACACACATGCTGATCTCCTCTGGAAGCATCCTCGTAGACACTCCCAAAATAATGCCTTACCAGGTTCCCAGCTATTCCTGAATCCAGCCAAGTTCACACCTAAAATTAACCATCACAGTCAGTTAATGATAGATTTAAAAAGAACCCAGTTCTCTTAATTGCTAATAGAAAGCATTTTTCATTACATTGGATTATCGTTATAAAACATGAGACAGTAAAGACAGCAAATAAGAAAAATTTACAGGTAAGCATGAATTGGATTTTTTGGCCTAAATGTTAGAACCATGGATCATTTGATCTCTTTCACATGTATGCCCAGGATTTGAAATTAATTTAAGGATCAGTTCCAAGTTGGTGGCTTGAATGCCCCACATTTTTCCTACATCAAGTGAAAAATCTCTTTTCCTGTTACATATCTGTGATGGTGAATATTGAGTGTCAGCTTGATTGGATTGAAGGATGCAAAGTATTGTTCCTGGGTGTGTCTGTGAGGGTGTTGCCAACAGAGATTACCATTTCAGTCAGTGGACTGGGAGAGGCAGACCTACCCTCAATCTGGGTGGGCACCATCTAATCAGCTGCCAACACCGCTCGGATAAAGCAGGCAGAGGAACTTGAAGGACTAGACTGGCTGAATCTTCTGGCCTCCATCTTTCTCCTGTGCTGGATGCTTCTTGTCCTGGAACATTGGACTCCAAGCTTTTCAGCTTTTAGACACTTGGACTTATACCACCAGTGATTTGCCAGGGGCTCTTGGGCCTTTGGCCACAGACTGAAGGCTGCACTATTGGTTTCCCTGCTTTTGAGGTTTTGGGACCCCGACTGGCTTCCTGGCTCCCCAGCTTGCAGACAGCCTATTGTGGGACTTCACCTTGTGATCATGTGAGTCAATACTTCTAATAAACTCCCTTTCATGTACATATCTATCCTATTAGTCCTGTCCCTCTAGAGAACCCTGAGCAATACAATATCTTCAGCCTTGGGCACTGGCTTATGATTTAGTGGAGTGATAAGTTATTGAGCATGGTCATTATTCTCTAGGAAGAAGCTTCTAGTGTCCAGATTGATATTCTGTTTCCTTACAAACTGTATATTCTAGAGGTATAGATGACAAGCTTGAAGGAAAATAGGTCAACAGTACTTAAGATAAGTAATAGCTTAATCAATTTTAAGATAGTTTCTGATGGCTAATGTGTAATGGTAATATATTACTTTTAAAATTTCCCTTTAAAGTGGTGTAGACATTTAGAAACTCTATTGTATAAATTCCCTTTCAGAGATGCAAATACTCATTTTATCTCTCCTCAATAGTTATGTCTATTAAAATAGGCCATCATAGAGCTTTCATATTTTCTATAATTTTTGTTGTGAACTTAGGACTTGGGAAAAGTCCCATATTACAATGTGGGCTCAGGAAAAGTTGCTGTGAATTTAAACAGGGAACTCACTGGGAATAAAAAAAAATATAGAATCAGTTTTAAAAATTATCAGTCACATTATCATCGTTCACTTCATGAGTACTAGGTCCATGAAAACAAGGTAGGTCATCTCTACATTTCCCAGGATATACACATCCACCAGGTGCCTCTAGAGCGACAGCAAAAAGCAACCAATCAAAGGTACTTTCAATTTCCCATCTGCAGCGCTGAAAAGGCTGGAGTTTGCAAAGGGAGTAGCTTCTGGTCCTTTTGTTTCTTAGGAATGGAAAGTTAGGGTTTTCCTTTTAACTTAGTTCTAGGAAGTTGGTGGGAGATGGCCTTAGGTTCCCTGCCTCCAGACCCTATTCTCCTGCCTCAATATTACCCCCAATACAATAAAAATGTTTTAAAACAAAAGAAGGCTCAATAGATGTTAGCATTTCTGCACCCAGCATCAGAGAGACTATAGGAAGTTGGGGCCGTGTGGGCTGACAGACCTGAAGAATGAGGAGGGACCAGGTGCAGGGGTCTCAGCATGTCCCCAGGTGGGTGCCTGTAAAGGAGAGGGAAGCGTAAGGTCGGCTGGAACTCAGAATGCTTGGGATTTGTGAGGCCACAGAAGCTGCTCAGAAAATGGTAGAACCAAGGGCAAGAGAAGACGTCCTCAAAGAGACGAGTGACAAAATTCTCAGTTAATATGTGGGGAAACTGGACATTAGCTAGACCAGAGCAACAGAACTGATGAGCAGCCCCATAGCCAGGCATCAGTCTCAAAGGAAAGACTTTTGTTAAGAGTCGTAAAAGCAGTGGTTGTTGGAACTGACAAGAATTCTTGACAATTAGTGCTTAGTCATGATAGTACTATGCCCACACAAAGAGAAAAGGGAGCTCCAAGTTTTTAAAATTAATTTATACACAATAAAGAATTACATACATAGTACTATGTATGTAATTTATCCATAATAGAGTGCCAGTGACTTCAATTTCTAAAGAATTGGAAAGGCTCAGAAATTCTTTCCCCCTCCCCACCAAAAAACCGTATCTACTGCCTTTCTTCCACTAAAGCAATCTATTTTTAGGCTACAGCAGAGGAAAAAATGACTATCACTTTTGGAGTTCAGAGGATTTTAAAAAAAATTATTGGTGCCATCATCCTAATTTCTACTATTTTTTTCCAGCAGCCATGGTATTGCAGCTGTATTTTTGGTTTAAATAAGCCTTGTGGGCGAGTCTAGAAACCTTGTCACCATTTATAACATTGTTTTTATGGGAAAATGTTTTTAAATTAAAGTAACTGAATTAAAAATAAAGTGTTGAGATGAAAATAATTTTTAATAAGGGATTTCATGCTTATGCAAACAGATTTTTATACAATAAAAGCATCTACACAGTCTTGGCCAGTATCTTAAAAATAAAGCACATAATTCTTATTATTATGGTTACTTACATGTGGCTAATTACATAATACTACTTACATTTAAATATCCCATCAAATGGTCTTTATTCATCTCTCTGTGCCTTTGAGCTCAAACTATTATTCCCCAGCAGGTGATAGGCAGAGAGTGGAATGAGATGCCACCAGGTTGGTTATGTAAGGCCCAGCCCAAGTCTAAAAGGTAGGAATAAAATCGAAATTACTTTTACATGAGTTGGCTGCTTTTTAAGTTGTACCAGTGAGCATCATGGAGTGGATAAAACTCTTGAAACTGTAGAGGGTCTAACCCAGCCCGTCTCACCCCACCCTGCAGCCCCGTCACCACATCACATTACCTCTTTCCCACTCCCGTGCCCACAGAGATGGCTCTTGATTTTAATGATGGGCCCTTTAAGTGTACATAAAATAACTAATGGAACAATGGATTCCAACATCGATCAGTTTGGCAATGGGAATGAGACATCAACAAGCTCATTATAATGCTCTGTCCTCAATTATTCTTTTAGATCCTCTTTATTTTCTTTTAATGTTTCATGGCAAGCTAAAGAGCTAAGAAATTACAAATGTGGAACAGCACATAATTCTTTTTATTATTTTAATTAAATAACACTCTCTGTGATATGTCATGGTAATTATCCCTTCCCCCTACTCTTCTTTTCCTGTTAATTTAGGTCCTAAATTCATTTCTGAACTATGGACTTTAATAGAGTTGTTTTAATGAGGTCTTTAAAAATGCGAGTGTTGTTGATAAGCTAGCTTTTAAGATTCATCTTGAATGTGACATACATCTCAGGTAATTTAAAGGTAATTTAATGAGATGCCCAACATTTCTTGTGAAATAATTAGGAAAATAATGGAACTATTTAGTAGTAATCTAAGCCTTAGCAATTTCCTTTAAGTATTGGTCTCTATTCTATTGTGATCTTGTCTATTTTGATTTCTTGTCTTTACTCTGATCCACCAGCTATGATCCAAACGTTTTGTAAGTTGTCAATTTATGTTGTCCTGGGAGTACAGCCCAGGTGCAGGAAAATGCCACAGGCACCAATCCCAAGGCAAATTAGGGACGTTGGCAAATGCCGTCTTTTCCTTAGGCTGCTGCAGACTCTGCATGTCTCCTTGTGTGATGCCACAACTTTTTAAAGATTATATTTCTGATATTTTAATTCAGGCAGAAAAAAGGGGAGTTATTTTGAACATAGAACTTACATATCCTAGAAGAGATAAGCCATTGAAATCACATTTCACTATCTGTGACTTAAAATCTCTAACACTGGGCCAATAGAGCACACATTCAGGAATGTTGTGGTCATTCTCCGAGTCATGTCAGCCTGAAGGTTCAGGGCCGTCCCCTAACCCAGCCCTGAGGGGATCCATCAGCCATGCTTGTTGATTTCTTTTCTTTTTTCTATTTGTCCATTAGGCTCCATCTCTATTTCCAGAATCTGGGAGATATCACCTTGATCCTTCCAAAGTGGTTTTATTATGTTGCTGTCCTTTTCCAAAGGGAGGAGGGTCTGGAGCAGAGGGAAAGGCTCTCGGGAAGTGTTGTCTCTTGTCCTGATGTGCAGGCCTTCCCAGGTGGCAGATTGTCAAGCAAGGGAAGGAATGGCTTGGCTCGAGGCAGGATCCAGTCTCCCCTGAATTCACCAACCATGTTGTTCACTCCCCTTGGTATTAATTTAGCTTAAGGCTCTTTGCACAAATCTTTAGCCTGCAGCTCAGTGAGTTTTAGGTGTGTCCACACCCATCCCCGTGAAGCCCCCCATGCCTCTTCCTTTCAGTGACCCCCATAGTAAGCCCCATCCCCTGGTCATGAGCTTGTATTTTGCTTAATTTGTTATTGCTTCTATAGCCCTCACAGTACCTTGCATATAATATTTAGTCACGTTACTCTGTAAAGGGAGGAAGGATGTAACATGCATCACTTTTGATGAAATGTCAACGTCCAAATACAGGTCTCTGGACTTGGGTCTCACCCAAGTCCAGAGATTTTTGTTTCTAGGGGTATTGTTTATTTTATATTTGTCTTTTGTTATAAAAATGTACTTGTGCTTTGAAGGCCTTTTATTTTGAATTTTTAAAATATTAAATTCAAAGCAAACTAATGTTTACCACTGTTCATTAGAAACTAAATTACCTGTCGTGAATCACAAATTCAACCTTTTCACCCAGGAGTCATCTTGAAGAGTGAGATGGCACACATTTCCGTTATAACGGTAACTTCCATAAGCCCACTGTGTTTAGTGCAAAGGAAGAAGCTGAATGATGTTAAATGTAATTCATGATTTACCAGTAATCAGTGAAATCACAGTTTAAAATGTTCATTTATTTCACATTTACAGCTGAAAGTTGGGGAGAAAGAGATACTGGTTTCTCTGCTCCTGAAATAACCTGCCCAGTTTTTTGAGACAGAGTCTCGCTTTGTTGCCAGGCTGGAGGGCAGTGGCGCAATCTCGGCTCACTGCAACCTCTGCCTCTCGGGTTCAAGAGATTCTCCTGCCTCAGCTTCCCGAGTAGCTGGGACTACAGGTGTGCACCACCACGCCCAGCTACTTTTTGTATTTTTAGTAGAGACAAGGTTTCACCATGCTGGCCAGGATGGTCTCGATCTCTTGACCTCGTGATCCCCCTGCCTCGGCATCCTAAAGTGCTGGGATTACAGGCATGAGCCACTGCGCCCAGCTGTGTTCTTGTATTATGATCTTTGCATAAGCAAAGTAACCTGTGGACAGAGTAGAATTCACAAATGCTTGCTGACTTTTGAAAAAGAAGGTAACTGCAGACATAATGAGGTCTCTCCCTTGCAAGAGAACTGTGAGGGGTACATGAGGCCAGAAATTATGGCTACCCTTTTCCTACTTGTTTTGCCTTAAGTTTTATGGACTCCACTAGCTAAGATTTCAAGATGGAGAAGTGACCAGACCTCAGGATTCTGCATTCCCTTGCTCTTCTTACCCTTCGCAGTTGAACACTTTTGCCATTTTTTCCCCGAGTTTTGGATGGCACAGAAGCTGAGTGGACACCCAGTTTTCTAAGCAGATTTTTTTTGTAGGTTTTGCCATTACCTTTTTAAAAGAAAGGGCTAGGGACGTGTCTCAACAACATTCTTGGAAGGAAAATTAACAACAGTCACAAGCTACAGAGATGGTCAGTGGCTGTGATAGTGGCAGGAGGCAGACAGATCCTAAGCAGACAGGGGCAGGTCCAGGGGAAACCTGACCTCCAAACCAAAGACAGTTCAAAGCCTGAAAACCCAGCCACAAGTTTCAGATAAATCCACAAATGAGATTGAGAACTTCTCTCCCCATTTGGTGCACTTTCCTCTGATTGATTCCCATCCTTCACCTATTTTACATATACCTACCCTTCCCTAATTAGTTTTTTACACTGTCGTTCCCATCTTTGAGTGGTGCCTTTTTTGTAGCCTTTTTGCATACTCACAAACCAATCAGCACATACTCCCCCATTCTGACCCCATAAAAGCCCTGTACTCAGCCACACTTGGGGACTCCCTGCCTTCTGGTAGGGGGTACTGCCCAACTTGGGTCACCTCTCTGCTGAGAGCTGTTTTGTCACTAAATAAAACTCTTCACCTTGCTCAATTGCCAGCTGTCAGCATAAC
Source organism: Homo sapiens (assembly GCF_000001405.40). Lineage (NCBI taxonomy): Eukaryota > Metazoa > Chordata > Mammalia > Primates > Hominidae > Homo > Homo sapiens. The sequence continues at coordinate 156,271,281 of NC_000007.14, read as the reverse complement.
CTCATTCTTCTTGGATGTAGGACAAGAACTCAGGACCTTCTAAAAACAGGTATGAAAAAGGCTGTAACACAGTAGCTCTCTGCCCTCTGCCAGTGCCAGGGAGCTTCCCCACATGACAGGAAGCAGCAACAGAGCCAGGCCAGCCCCAGAGCCATGGACCAGAGTGGGGCAGGGGGACTGAATGAGCTGTAACATAAATGGGCCCAGTGGGTGGGATACCTCCAGCAGCGAGCCTGGGGCTGAGCAAGGCCTGGGCAGGGGCGTCACCAGCAATGGAGGCCTCCAGTTGGTGAAGTGACACTGGAAAATCCTGTGTCAGCTGGACCGGCATTAGAAAATGGTCGGTCCTGGAGTATCCCCCTGGGCCATATCTGTGTCCTAAGGCCAGGGATGGCTTTGTCCTCATAAAGATGACTTAATGTATGTTTCCAAGATCTGCTTTTGTCTGAATGTTCTAAGTAGTAAGTGGAAAGTTATAGCATTGGTATGGATTAATATTCAAAACCAACTACACTGCCCTGATTCATGGAGCGATTGTTCATCTTGTTCTCAGAAATCCTGTGGATACAATCAAAAGCAATCTCACAATGTGTCCCATTCTATTAATGTTGTTGTTGTTCAATTTTCCTGTTACTTTTATGATGTCTTGAATTTAAATGAATCCTAGCAGTCAGTGAATCAGCCTTGCTTCAGCTTTGAGGACTCAAGAGGAAGTATCAGGGCTTTTTGTCAGGGAAATCGTGTCCCATCTATAAACTGGATCATTCCTGCCAACCTTCTTCTCATCTATATATTAAGCTCTGCAAAATCCCAAACTGACTTTGACTCAACATGTTTCTTGTAACCACATCATTTTAAAGGTTAATATCTTTGGCCAGATAATCATGGGATAAATTAATAAGATGGTAATCACCTTGCACAGATTTTTGGCTAAAGACGAAGTCCCACACAAAAGTGAAACAAAACAATTCACATTCCAACTCTAAGACTTCTTAGCTGTGTGTACACAAAAGTATTATTTTACATTTTGGTGACCCAGATTTTCCATCTATAAAATGAGGATACTATTAGGACTCACCTCCTAGATTTTTGTGTGAATCAATAAGTTCACAAATGCTTTAGACAATCCTGGCTTGTAGTAAGCACTCAAGAAATATTAGCTATGGTCATCATCATTGTTATTTATTAACCAAATAGAAATACAAAATCTACAGACAATATTGCGTTACAATGGGCTAGCCATGTCAAATTTGAACCTAACTTGCCCTGAGCATACTTTGTAGATAGGGTCGTCTCAACCAACTCCTGAATGGGCTTCCCCAGGGTACGCCATACTATCTTCAAATGGTAACTTTAAATGGAACAGTTGTTCTCAGTATCTTTTCTGTTATGGTCAATTTTCTGTCCTAACCAAGAAGAATCCATATAAGTAGAGACAAAGTGTATTCTAAAATTTGTCTCCTTGCTCTCCCTACCCCCAAATTATTTGATGCCATGCAAAGCTGGAAGTAGTTTTCACTATTTTCATTTATCAAATTCTACACACTGCAAGATAGATATAAAAACAGGACTCAGAGGGTAAAAGAATGGGAGAAAGTGAAGGATATGGAAGAGAGAAAGGACTGGGATCTGTGCCCAAGATACACTGGCCATTCACAGATTCTCCCCCTCTTTCCCTCTTTCACATCCCAACCCCAACTGAACCCTCCACACAAGCTACGGCTCTAACAGTAAAGCACTCATTGGTCTCTTCCCAGATGAGAAGTTCTGCCGTGGTCAAAATACAACCAATTCTGCTTACTTTGTTATTTTGTTGTTTACATTTGTGACTTAGACAATGTTTAGAATGTCACAATTTGAAATTACTGGGTAAGCGGCAGATTTAATATATTTTTGAGCTGACCACATATTTTCTTGTGCATAAATTAACCTGGATATTTGGTTGGATGTGCAAGTGTCTTTAGACATGTCAATTCCAAGGAAGTTCCAAAGAACCATTCTCTTTCAGAAGAGTTATGTGGCTTACGTTGTGTTTCTAAGGTGCTGGTCTTTCGGTAGGCTGCTGCAGGCTAAAGACGTGATAAACCTTTTCCATTGATCTTTTTATTCTGCAACCCATAAAAGAAAATGCTAGACTCTCCCATTCATTCCTTTCTCCCTCTCCCATCCCTCCTCCCCATCTGCCCCCAGCCTCTCATGTGTGGTCATTAGAAGCAAACAGAGGACCACACTTCTACCTTTTAATTGGGTGTTTAACGGGACAGTGTTTGAAAGCAATTAATGGGGAAAAACATTGTTGTCCTGTTTTATCAATTGATCTTCAAGAAAAATGCCTACCCAAGGTAAGGATTCCGTGTGAGCCAGGAAACTGTTGTCCTTTTCAGTTTTTCCCATGTCACAATTTATTCATTTAATTCAGCTCTCCAAAATCGCCGCAGTGCCAATTATCTCTCTGTGTGTGGAAAATGAGTTCGGCCTACTTGAGTTTTTCCTTCATCTGATGCCTGCTTTTGGCTTTTCTTCTGTGCCTGAGTCATGTGCGATGCGAAGAAAAGGAGAGGATCTTCAGAAATATGTGAAGTGGTTAAAGTGGCTTCTTGGTACCTGCGAAGAGTCCCCTCGAAGCAGCTTAGGAGACAATGGCAGGTTGCGTCTGGCCGGGGTTTGTTTTGTCCACATGATCCATTTCACACGCACCCAGGCAACTGATGAATAGAGGATTAGCACAAGTTTTCACCTTATTGAAATGAGTAATTCAAAGCAAACAAATAGGGCTAACTAGTTAGAATATGAAATTAAAGATTCTCTAAGTCGCTTTGTTGTCCTGCAACTCACATTCACACTCATCAAAAAAATATGCAGATAGACACACAAACACCAGGTCACACGGTGGCCTCCAGGTTAGCCTGCTCGGGTGAGGCTGCATGTTGGAAACGCTAGGCAAATGGATGGGCACCGCACAGTGTGACCTCACGCACTGCGAGGTCATCTGCATCTCCATCGTCAGGACTGGAATTTTAAAAGTAATTAAGCTGTGCATTGAAAAACATGAAGATGATGGTTTGCTTTTAGGTTAATCTCTCTTGATATGACATTTAAGTTTTTAGCCACCGTGACATGACTATTATAAAATCTATCATTACATTGTGTAGAACAAACCCAGACAAATGTTGAACCTAGGATGTCTTAGGTGCATACCCTGTAGCTTTCTTAGTAGCCAGAATTTCTTTATGACTATCCTTGACTAATTCATCCCATTGGGGTCACTGTGGCAATTAACAGTTATGTAAAATAAACACGCACACCCCTTTACAATCAGAGTCCCCGAATTTCACTTTGTTAAAGGGTTGGATTCCATAGTATTCAAAGCCAGCATGAAAAGTAACTAACTCGATGAGTATTTCACTTCTCAATAGTTTCAGTTTATACAGTGACGCTCACATCTGTCTTTAATAACTTCAAAAGCCTGTTTATTTCTATGCATGCTTCCCAAGCAAAACCAGAATGTGAGCTCAATTTCCTATCCCTAATGGGATAGGATCCCTATTTCCCTTTCCTAACAGTCCAACGTTATTGAGCAATAAAGAAAATAAATTCTGAAAGGAAAAGTGACACATTTTTGATATGCTCATTTTCAGTCATTGAAATGAAAATTTTTGCAGATGCATAAAATCTTATTCTCATTTATTCATTTATGATGATGTACAGCTTGTGTCTATCAAGGAGAGAAAAAATAGAAAGCAGTAATGCCCAACTTTTACAAACTCATGACCCAAAGAGAGAGAACAGATACACAAATTCAAAAGCAAGATCATGCAGTCTATCATGAGTATCAAACTATTGGTGTTGACATTTAGAGTAAAAGAGCAGGTGTAGCTAGTAGAAACACAACGTTCTTGTTGCAGGGTCGTGGAAGCCAAGATTATAAAGACAAGTTTTCAAGAAGATGGCTGAGAAATCTGCTCAGCATAGAGGAGACTCAGCATAGAGGAGAAACAATATGGTCTCCACCATGTAGACAGACTCAGCATATAGGAGAAACAGGACAGTCTCCACCATGTAGACAGGCTCAGCATAGAGGAGAAACAATATGGTCTACACCATGTAGACAGACTCAGCATAGAGGAGAAACAGGACAGTTTCCACCATGCAGACAGGCTCAGCATACAGGAGAAACAGGACAGTCTCCACCGTGTAGACAGACTCAGCATAGAGGAGAAACAGGACAGTCTCCATCATGTAGACAGACTCAGCATAGAGGAGAAACAATATGGTCTCCACCGTGTAGACAGACTCAGCACAGAGGAGAAACAGGACAGTCTCCACCATGTAGACAGGCTCAGCATAGAGGAGAAACAGGACAGTCTCCACCAGGTAGACAGGCTCAGCATAGAGGAGAAACAGGACAGTCTCCACCGTGTAGACAGACTCAGCACAGAGGAGAAACAGGACAATCTCCACCATGTAGACAGGCTCAGCATAGAGGAGAAACAGGACAGTCTCCACCGTGTAGACAGACTCAGCACAGAGGAGAAACAGGACAGTCTCCACCGTGTAGACAGGCTCAGCATAGAGGAGAAACAGGACAGTCTCCACCGTGTAGACAGACTCAGCATAGAGGAGAAACAGGACAGTCTCCACCAGGTTGACAGACTGAGCATAGAGGAGAAACAGGACAGTATCCACCAGGTAGACAGACTCAGCACAGAGGAGAAACAGGACAGTCTCCACCATGTAGACAGGCTCAGCATAGAGGAGAAACAGGACAGTCTCCACCAGGTAGACAGACTCAGCATAGAGGAGAAACAGGACAGTTTCCACCATGCAGACAGGCTCAGCATACAGGAGAAACAGGACAGTCTCCACCGTGTAGACAGGCTCAGCATAGAGGAGAAACACGACGGTTTCCACCATGTAGACAGACTCAGCACAGAGGAGAAACAGGACAGTCTCCACCGTGTAGACAGGCTCAGCATAGAGGAGAAACAGGACAGTCTCCACCATGTAGACAGGCTCAGCACAGAGGAGAAACAAGACAGTCTCCACCAGGTAGACAGACTCAGCATATAGGAGAAACAGGACAGTCTCCACCGTGTAGACAGGCTCAGCATAGAGGAGAAACAGGACAGTCTCCACCATGTAGACAGGCTCAGCATAGAGGAGAAACAGGACAGTCTCCACCGTGTAGACAGACTCAGCATAGAGGAGAAACAGGACAGTCTCCACCAGGTAGACAGACTCAGCATAGAGGAGAAACAGGACAGTCTCCACCAGGTAGACAGGCTCAGCATAGAGGAGAAACAGGACGGTCTCCACCGTGTAGACAGGCTCAGCATAGAGAAGAAACAGGACAGTCTCCACCAGGTAGACAGGCTCAGCATAGAGGAGAAACAGGACGGTCTCCACCGTGTAGACAGACTCAGCATAGAGGAGAAACAGGACAGTCTCCACCGTGTAGACAGGCTCAGCATAGAGAAGAAACAGGACAGTCTCCACCAGGTAGACAGACTCAGTACAGAGGAGAAACAGGACGGTCTCCACCGTGTAGACAGACTCAGCATAGAGGAGAAACAGGACAGTCTCCACTGTGTAGACAGGCTCAGCATAGAGAAGAAACAGGACAGTCTCCACCAGGTAGACAGACTCAGCACAGAGGAGAAACAGGGTGGTCTCCACCATGTAGACAGACTCAGCATAGAGGAGAAACAGAACAGTCTCCACCAGGTAGACAGACTCAGCATAGAGGAGAAACAGGACAGTCTCCACCGTGTAGACAGACTCAGCATAGAGGAGAAACAGGACAGTCTCCACCGTGTAGACAGACTCAGCATAGAGGAGAAACAGGACAGTCTCCACCGTGTAGACAGGCTCAGCATAGAGAAGAAACAGGACAGTCTCCACCAGGTAGACAGGCTCAGCATAGAGGAGAAACAGGACGGTCTCCACCGTGTAGACAGACTCAGCATAGAGGAGAAACAGGACAGTCTCCACCGTGTAGACAGGCTCAGCATAGAGAAGAAACAGGACAGTCTCCACGAGGTAGACAGACTCAGCACAGAGGAGAAACAGGACGGTCTCCACCGTGTAGACAGACTCAGCATAGAGGAGAAACAGGACAGTCTCCAGCAGGTAGACAGACTCAGCACAGAGGAGAAACAGGACAGTCTCCACCAGGTTGACAGACTTAGCATAGAGGAGAAACAGGACAGTATCCACCAGGTAGACAGACTCAGCATAGAGGAGAAACAGGACAGTCTCCACCAGGTAGACAGACTCAGCATAGAGGAGAAACAGGACAGTCTGCACCAGGTAGACAGACTCAGCATAGAGGAGAAACAGGACAGTCTCCAGCAGGTAGACAGACTCAGCATATAGGTCTGAGCTTAGGGGCAAATGGGCTCATTCTGAAATGGTGGAACTTCTGCTGTTGATGGGAAATCTAAGCTGGAACGTCAGGGTGGAGCTGATGGGAGAGGTTGAGTTGGAGACATAGATTGGGAAGTCAGCCTACGGGAGAGCACCCCAAGAGTAACCAAGGAACCCAAGGCAGACAGTGGGGAGACGCTGGATGTTGTGCATGTTGCTAAATCTCAGGGCTGGGTGGCACGGGGAGGAACAGAGCCAGCGGAGTCCAGGAGATGTTGTGGTGGGGGACGCACACGTTTTGTTTGGAGGGGGACTTGGACGTGACAGGCAGTTCTCTGGATGCACAGTGGGGTGATCATGGCCATCCAGGGAGAAACGGCTTCCAGGACGACCCCTGCTGCCCCCAGCGCTGACCCTACCTGCACCATGAGCCCAGCTTCTTCACCAACACGATTATCTTCACAAATTTCACAGCTGGAAAGTAGATAGAGGAACAGCTACCTTTTCCTTAAGATGAACAAAATAAATGATCTTTAGCACAAAAATAAAAATCTTTCTTTGGCCTGAGACACGCACAGTTACCCTCTAGTCACACCCTGATGAGATAGGGCAAGTCAGGGATTTCAAAACCCAGTAAAATTCTAATCTGTTCTTTGAGAATACCTTTTTGCTATCACCAGTGACATATCTTTTATTTTTTGGTAAATTGAACTGGGTTTAGTTTTTGTGGTAATTGTAGTATAAAATCATCATTTTTAGATTTACATTTCAAATAAACAAAAATAAATGCGTAATGAACACACGCACGTATGCAGATGATGTTTGTGTATCTTAATATTGCGTCTTACTATTATTTGTTTCTAATGAAGAATTACAAATACACTTGGCCCCTGTTTCTCCCTTTCTAGTAGAGACTTTCACCAGTGCAGCGTTCACCACTCCCATGTGCAGTTTTATTCTTTATCTACATTTTTGTGTATCTACAAATGTTATAGAATATGAATTTAGTGGGGTTTTTTTTTTAAGTTTTTACAGTTTATTACTCCTCTTGAGAGATGCACACGACAACCGCGGCTGAAGTCATGCAGAATCTCCCTTGGCCACTCTGCAGTCTCCCGCCTGCTGTCTGTCAGTGCCAACACCAGCCCCGCAGCACCCCTCACTTCCTCACTCTGCCCTTGCATTCCCTCTGCTGCTTCTTTGAGATCTTTCTGTCCTCAGACAGGCCACGTGTTGAAAGTCTATGTCTGAATTCATTTTTCTTTGCGTAATCCCAGGAACCCCAAGTCATGACAAAGTCAGTGGCCTTGTCACCTCCCAGTTGGGTTCTGAATCCACATATGAAGATGACGTCTGCCACGGTTTTGTACTCTTTAGTTTAATTAGATCCCATTTGTCAATTTTGGCCAGTCTACCCATCTGACACAGGTCTAATATCCAGAATCTACAAGGAACTTCAACAAATTTACAAGAAAGAAACAACCCCATCCAAAAGTGGGCAAAGGATATGAACAGACACTTCTCAAAAGAAGACATCTGTGCAGCCAACAAACATGAAAAAATGCTCATCATCACTGGTCACTAGAGAAATGCAAATCAAAATCACAATGAGATACCATCTCACATGTCAGAATGGCAATTATTAAAAAGTCAAGAAACAATAGATGCTGGTGAGGCTGTGGAGAAATAGGAACACTTTTTCACTGTTGGTGGGAATGTAAATTAGTTCAAGCATTGTGGAAGACAGCGTGGCGATTCCTCAAGGATCTAGAACCAGAAATATCATTTGACTCAGCAATCCCATTACCGGTTATACACCCAAAGGAATATAAATCATTCTACTATTAAGACACATGCATGTTTATTGCAGCACTATTTACAATAGCAAAGACATGGAACTAACCCAAATGCCCATCAATGATAAACTGGGTAAAGAAAATGTGGTACATATACACCATGGAATACTATGCAGCCATAAAATGGAATGAGATCATGTCCTTTGCAGGGACATGGATGAAGCTGGAAGCCATCATCCTCAGCAAACTAACACAGGAACAGAAAACCAAACACCGCATATTCTCACTCATAAGTGGGAGTTGAACAATGAGAATACATGGACACAGGGAGAGGAACATCACACACCAGGGCCTGTCGGGACATGGGGGCAAGGGGAGGGAGAACATTAGGACAAATACCTAATGCATGTGGGGCTTAAAACCTAGATGATGGGTTGCTAGGTGCAGCAAACCACCATGGCACATGTATACCTATGTAACAAACCTGCACGTTTTACACATGTATCCTGGAACTTAAAGTAAAAAAAAAAAAAAAAAAAGAGTAGTTTTTTAACAATTGCCTTCATTTTCGGCTTCATGTTTTCAGCTGTGCCCACAACAGTTAAGTATGTATCCTTTGCTATTTTGTCTTTCTGTGTCCCACATCTGCATTTTCACCTGCATCTCTGTTATTGCTTTTGTTGGAATATATTCACTATGAGCTCCTTCAGCAAGATTTAAATATTGGTAAGTTTTAAAAATCTGAATCTGAAATATATTATCTTTATCTTATTTTTGTGCTTGTATCAAATTTTAACTAGGTGTCAAATTCTAGGTTTTAAATAATAATTTTTCTAATAAAATTTAAAGGCATTATTTCATTCTCACATAGCCATGCTGTCAGTAACTAATTTCATGTCAGTGTGATCATTGCACCTTTGTACGTAAGCTGGTTTCTTCCCAAGTCTATGGCTTTTCTGGAACCTTGGTAACCTGAAATCTCTGTAAGTCATGTGAGGGAGTGGGCATGCTTGGCGCCGTGAGTCCCTTCCCATGGGAAACTCGGAGTCTTTGTTTACACAGCAAGTCTTCTGTCATTTCTCTGATCATATCTTCTGTTCCACAGCTGTGAACATGTATGGATCTATTTCCCACTTCTTTCAGTCTTTCTCTCATTTTCTTCTTTTCTTGCATTGTCTTCTGTGAAAACAATTTAGCTCCAGCTTCTCGTGTCCTAACCTATTTTGAAAAATTGTTTTGCAATAGCCATTTCAACTTTAATTTCTTTTTTTCTTTTTATTTATTGTTTTTTTTTGAGACAAGATCTTGCTCTGTCGACTAGGCTGGAGTGCAGTGTCGCAATCACAGCTTACTGCTGCCTTGACTCTCCAGGCTCAAGTGATCTTCCCACCTCAGCCTTCCAAGTAGCTGGGACCACAAGCATGTGCCACTATGTCTGGCTAATTTTTTAATTTTAATTTTTTTTTTTGTAGAGACAGGGTCTCACTATGTTTCCCAGACTGGTTTTGAACTCCTGGGCTCAAGTGATCCTCCTGCCTCAGCCTCCCGAAGTGCTGGGATTACAGGTATGAACCACCATGCCCAGCCTACTTTCTTAATTATTATTGTTTCCTTTATTTTCAAGCATGTTTCAGTCATAGTTCTCAGCATCTGGAAGTATGACAGGTTTGCACGTTCGATGTTTAAAATATGTAAGTAATATCTACAGTTCTTTGCTTTTATTAATTTTATTTCTTAATTGACAAATAATAATTGTATCTATTGATGGGCACAATGTGATATTTTGATATATGTTTACATTGTGGAATGATTAAATCAAGCTAATTAACATATCCACCCCCCCCCCGCATACTTATCATTTCTCTTTTAGCAATTTTGAAAGGCATAATGCATCATTATTTATTATAATCACTTTCTGTGCAATAGATCACTAAAGCTTATTCCTCCTGTCTATCCAAAACTGTGTACCCTTTGACCAACATTTCCCCTTTTCCCGCCCAATCCTCCCGCCCCCACCCCCAGCCTCTAATCACCTCTGTTCTACTCTCTACTTCTATGAGTTAAACTCCTTTAGATTTTTCATCTAAGTTAGATCATGCAGTATTTATCTTTCTGTGCCTGGCTTATTTCAGTTAGCATAATGTCTTCCTGGTTCACCCATGTTGTAGCACATGACAGGATTTCCTCCTTTTATATGGCTGAATAGTATTGTTATGTTGTGCCATTGTATCACATTTTTCTTGATCCATTCATTTGCTGATGGACACTTAGGTTGTGTCTTGGCTATTGTGAATAGTGCTGCAGTGAACACAGGAGTGCAAACACCCTTCTGCATACTGATTTCAATCCTTTGGGTCTATACCCAGAAGTGGGATTGCTGGATCATATGGTAGTTCTATTTTTAGTTTTTTAAGGAACCGCCGTACTGTTTTTCATAATGGCTATATTTACTAACCTGTTTTTTAATCTGGCTCTTCCTGCTATTAGAACCTTCTACGGAGGTTTTTGTTTGTTTTTACATTCATATTTTAAATTCATAATATATTTGATAAATTCACTTTCATATCATCTCTTCTATTTGTATGCATGAGCTATCCTTTCCAATTTCTCTGAATGTATTTTTTAAATATTGATTTTGGCACGTTTCTTCGTATTGTTTGTTTTCTCCAACATTGAATGATTCTTTCCCTTGTTGTGGATACAGCTTTCTGGACAAGGGTGTGGGTTGAGCAGATTTAACTATGGGAATCGGTTCTCCTTGCAGGGAGTGCAGGGGCCCAGGCCCAGGCTGTTTACAGGGAGCAGTGAGCGGGGAATGGGGGTGGCCCGATGAGCATCTGTCTGTTGAAGGGTGTTAGGCCTCTGGGTGCAGGAACTCCCTCTTCATGATGGCTGTGGCTTCGTCTGGGCACAGGATTCACAAGTCACAAAAAGATATTTGCAGATCTCGCCTAACTGGAAACGCCGAGGCCAGTGAGTTCAGAAGCAGGACCCCACTTTGTGATTAATCACTGACGTAATGAGACCCCGGGCTCCTTCTTCCAACCTGTGATGTCTCAAATTCTGTGTCTATTCTGACTGAATTCTGTGGGAAAAGCCACTTTTCCCCAGGTTCTTTCTGGCCTGGTCGGGACTGCTGACTCTTTGTTGGTTTTCATCCTCCAAATGGATCCATTCTGTCCATTCACGAGGTATCTTCCAGCGATTCCTTACTGCTCGCTCTGCTGGTGGAAACCTTCCTAAACTCAATTTTTAAAAATTTCTTTTGTCATTTCAATGAGATTTGAAGAAGCAGGAAAAGTGAACACATGCTAATTCAGCCACCTCTTTAAAAGCTTCTCTTTTATTTTTTCCGTATCCTCTTCTCTCAGGACCAAAGTCTACTGGAAGACCTGCTCCTTTAAAAACATCTCATACTTGGGGTCATTCCTGCCAGCCCCAGCGCACTAGTCTGTGTGTGCAGAGTGACACATTGGTATGGCAAAGATGTATTTAAATTGCACCTCAGCCTCGCCACCCCTCCCCAGCTCTTCTGATGCTGAGCTTGAATGTCTTTTAAAGATCTGCAGGGACTATCGATACCATATTTTCCTTTCTTGAGTTGCAAACTCTTCAGATCTGTAATTCCAACCCTATCTTGTCTCAAAAATGGTAAGAGTTTCTAATTGAATGATAGTTCGCTTTTAATTTTTCTAGCAGTGCTATGTACTGATCTATTCCAATTTTTATCTTTTTCTAACATTCCATGTTAGCTCTCAATAAATATCAGCTGTAAAAATCTCAGGATCAGATCTAGCAATTATTGAGTGTTTATTACTTACCAGGCACTTCTCTAAGTGCTTTACATGTATTAACTCATTTAATCATCTTATCATCTTCAATCTTATAAGGCATTATTGAGAGGCCAAGTAACGGGTTCAAGGTTATAAAAGCTACTAAGTACAGATTTGGGATTTGGAGAGAAGAATTGTTAACACAGTCTGCAATCTTAAACAGAGAACCTTTTATATTTTCATTTTATTAACAATTATACAAGTTATTTGTCCTTTAAAGTTTTTTACTGTCTATAATTATTCCTCAGTAATACTAATAAAGTAATACACAGAGTGAGAGAGTGTAATAATAAGCTGACCCCGCTGGGTACCAGTTAGGATTAGTTCAGCTGCATATAACAGTAAAATTTTAAATAATAGTACTCTAAACAAGATCAAAGTTACACAAGATCAATTAATCAGGCTGTTAATTGTGTCCTCTAAAAAGACATGTTGAAGTCCTAACCCTCAGTACCTCAGAATGTGGCCTCATTTGGAAGTAGGGTCATTGCAGATGGAATTAGTTAAGATGAAGTCATGCTGGAGTAGAAGGGCCCTTTAATGTGATGTGACTGGTGTCCTTTTATAAAGAGGGAGATTTGGACAGGACACAGACACATGGGCAGAACAGCAGGTGACCGTGGAGACAGAGACTGGGGTGATGAGTCAACAGCCGAGAAACACTAAGAATTGCTGGCAAACGCCAGAAGCCAGGAGGGGCAAAGAGGGCGTCTCCTCTGCAGGCTTCAGAGAGCACATCCATGCTGACTTTCAGCCTTATAATTTGTGCTACTTTGGGTGACTTTGCCATATTCTAGGGCTTCACTCTCTTCTCATCCCCATTCAGCTTGTAGATAGGAAAAGAGAGGTGGTGGAGGAACCCTTAGGAGATATTTGGAAGCCAGGCTTGAACTGGTAGCCACCAAGTTTATTTCTTCCTCTAGGAAGAGCACACATATAAAGTCCATGGGTAGGTATGGCAGCTCCATTATATCACTGGCCATCTTTCTGGTCTTCTGCTCAGTGTTCGTAAGGGCTGGCTTCCATCCTCAGGTTACCTCATGGTGAAAGGTGGCTGCCTGAACTCCAGCTATCATGTTTGTGTTGCAAGCCACAAGCAGTAGCAAAAGCAGAACAACTAAAGGGCTGTGCCTCTGGCTGAGTCAGCTTCCTGTAATCCTCCTTCTGGAAGCTTCATTTAACATTTCTACTCACATCTCACTGGGCTTACTCATAGAACTGCACCTAACTCCAAAGGAGGCTGACAAACATCCTCTTGTAGCAGGTAGCCAGGTGTCTTGCTAAAACAAGAGGTTACTGGAAGAGGAGGAGCAATATGGTTTGGATCTGTGTGTGTCCCCACCCAAATCTCATGTTGAAATGTAATCCTCAGTGCTGGAGGTGGGGCCTGGTGGGAGGTGATTGGACCATGGGGGTGGTGTCTAATGATTTAGCACCATCTCTTTGGTGTGGTTCTTCTGATAGAGTACTCACGAGATCTGGTTGTTTAAAAGTGTGTGGCACATCCCCCGTCCCTCTCTTCCTCCTGCTCTGGCTGTGTAAGACGTACCTGCTTCTCCTTCACCTTCTGCCATGACTGTAAGTTTCCTGAGGCTTCCCCAGAAGCTGAGCAGATACTGGCACCATGCTTCCTGTACAATCTGCAGACCACGAACCAATTAAACCTCTTTTCTTTATAGATTACCCAGTCTCGGGTATTTCCTTATAGCAGTGTGAGAACAGACTAATACAGGGAGAATGGATGTTGGGGGGCAACCAGCAGCCCAAACCTCCACTACTAACACTTTTTACTTCCCTGGGATAATTTCCTAGGAAAGCAACAGCCTCGTGGGCAGGCTGAGCTGTTCTGCTGGATCTGAAGTTAATCTGATTTGGGTTCTTTCTACCTTGGTAAGCTGCCTTAACTCTTAATTGACTATCATCAGTCCATAAGTCAGTAACAATAACTCATGTAATAATTTTTGAATAAACTGAACCAACTAGAACATTCTTGTTACAAGTCAACACAGTCACATTCTTTTCGCCCAGAGAGTAGGTGGTGTAATGTCCTAGAATAATTAACTGGCCTAGTGATACATTGATCCTATATCAAAGCCTCAATCACAAAAAGAAGATTTTAAAAATTCCTTGAAACTTTATTAAGTAAGATAAATTAATTATAAACATTACAAAACACTTTTTTTGGAGACAGAGTCTCACTGTGTCACCCAGGCTGGAGTGCAGTGACAAGATCTCAGCTCACTGCAACCTCCAACTCCCAGGTTCAAGTGATTCTTGTGCCTTAGCCTCCCTGAGTAGCTGGGATTACAGGTGCACCCCACCACACCTGGATAATTTTTCTATTTTCAGTAGAGATGGGGTTTCACCATGTTGGACAGGCTGGTCTTGAACTCCTGGCCTGAAGTGATCCTCCTGCCTCAGCCTCCCAAAGTGCTGGGATTACAGGTGCGAGCCACTGCGCCCAGCCCCAAACATGATTTTTTTTAATTCAATGCTTAATGTCTTTCTTTTTTTAACATGCTCTTCATTAGCTTAAAGTTTTAGAAATTGTGGGTTTTCACTAAGTTCTTTTTAATTTAAAATTGATATTTTTTTCTAGTAAAATTAGAAGAGACGGATTTACAGTAATAATAAAAGTCTTGCCTCTTGCCTGGCCCTTCAGTCCCATGTAACCATTACCGACCACTGCTTGGACACCTTGCCATTTATGTACGTGTATTTGCACACATGCAGAATCTTTTTTCTAAACATAGAAAGATAAACATTATTCTGAAGCTTGCTGTCTTTGATTTCTGAGACACCTCCACTCTCTCTCCATGGAAGTTCATATAGATTTGCCTCATCAATCCAGACAGTCACAAAATATCCCATTGTATAACTATATCATGGCCCATTCAAGTAGGTTTCTATACAAAACATTTGTTTCCAATATTTTATAATTGCACATAACGCTACAATAACCACCACTCACACACCTTTGCCTATTTGTGTGAGCAAATCTGTAGGCTGAATTCTTAGCGGTGAAAGCATTGGGTCAAACACCGTGCACACTGTAGATTTTATAAATGATGTTACATTTCCCTCTGAAAGACTGTGTGGATATAAATGATTGTATTCCACTCACAGTGTGTGACAGTATGTTTCACCCCACGGGTTTATTAATGCTGCATGCAACTATACTCATTTTTAACCTTTGTCAATTGGATAGGTAAAATTTTTTATGTTGCTGCCTAAAAGAACATAGTTGATCATCTTTAGAAAAATAGACAAGGAATATGCATAATCAGTTCTCAGAAAAAATAAATGCAAATAGTCATGCACCAAAACTCTTAAGCTCAGGACTCTCAGCCTTCCTCCGGTGTAAACACTCGCTGCACTGAGCCCCATGGAGAACTCCCGGACACCTGCCGGTCTCCCCCGCACTTGCCTCATCTCTAAAGATGGGAGAGGTGTCTCTTGATGATTCCATCATTCATTAACTTAGACTATTACAAAGCTGTTGCTTAGTTTGGACAAGAGCAAAACCATTACATAAACATTACATAATGGGAACATTTTTCATACTCATTTTAATTTTAAAAGAGGTTTGGCTTACATGGCCACATTTTTAACATTTTGAGGGTCTTGATTTAAGCATGTCAAGGTGAGGAAGAGAATCGCCAGGAAATGCAACATAACTAGGCATACTTAAATGAGCTTCCGAAAGAGGAGAGCAATACAGTCACTCCCCACCTTTGAGACCAGGAGAAAAAACAAGCTCAAGGAGCATTTTACATAAATTTGTTGACAATCATTTCAAAATCAACTATTAAGGGGAACTCAAGGATGATCAAAAAAGCATTCTTAATCTGTTGAGATTCCTATAATGAAGGTAAAATATACTTTTCTACAAATCAAAGTCAACAATAAATATTTATAGCTGTGCTAAGCACTGTGTTAGGAGGTCGATGAGATGAAAAGTTAAATGTGTTTTCTGGGCCAGTGTATGTTGCAGAAAGTGAAACTACACCGTCTTCCCCACCATCTGAGTGCAAGGCATGGGAGGAAGGAGACAAGGAGAATGGCCCTGTTTATCGAGGGGGTCTCCCCAGAAAGCCAACACTGGAAGACTGGCAAGCAGGAAGCATAGGAGGAGAGGCCCAGGACCCACACCCGGGGGGAAGAGTGAGGCGGCAGGATTGGGTGGAGGGAGGTGCTGAGCTTGGAAAGCCACCACCAGACCTCAGCCTGGCCATGGGAGCTCCAAGACTGGGTGGCCAGCGTGGATCATCCAGTCCTGAAGCAGTCAGCTGGTGTCTCAGTCCATGCAGGCTGCGGTAACAGAGGACCACAGATGGGACAGCTTATAAACAACAGAAATGTGTTTCTCCCAGTTCTGGGGGCTGAAGTCCAAGATCAAGTCGCTGGCAGATTTGGTGTCTGGCAGGGGCTATCTCATTGTCTTATAGACAGCCACTGTCTTCCTGTGTCCTCACAGGATGGCTATGGGGACAGGAAGAGAGAGTATGAGCTCCCTGGGGTCTTTTATAAGGACACTAACCCCATCCACGTGCACTTTGCCCTCATGACTTCATCATCTCCCAAAGGCCCCGCTGCCTTTGGGAGTTAGGGGTTAGGTTCCAGCACATGAGTTTTGGGAGGGCACAAACATTCAGACCGTGGCATCTGTATCGTAGCAACATCCCCTGCAAGCTGACAGCCACTGGGAGGAAGACGGGAATGAGAGAGCAGATACTGCCATTGAAAACCCCCTCCTTGCCCATGGACTGTAATGTAATGGAGGTAGATCGATTCCGGAAAGTCAGAGAAACATCCACGCTCAAGAAAAATAATAGCAACCTTCGTCATCACAGAGGCTGTCCTGCAGCTAGATTGACCGAGTTCAAATTCCAGCCTCACCCGCCACTGGCCAAGTGACCTTGGCCAATTTGAACTCTCTGTGACTCCATTTCCTCAGCTGTAAAATGTGGACACTCTCTTACCTCCTTGGATGGTGGTAAGGATGAATTGAGTTAATATTTGTAAATAATTTAAAACACGGCCTGTTGCAAAGTACATGCTATTTGTGAAGGTTGTATCTGTTATTACTCTGTGGTTCCTGCCTCATCCCGCCTCCACCATTCCTCTCCAGGACCGTCTCTCAGTGCAGACCCTGGCATCTGTTCCGACGGCTCCCACTGGAGCCCAAGTGTCTCTCGGGTGGTCTCTTGCTTCCCGTCATGTCGCTCCTCCTTTTGGAAAGTCTGGAGATGCACACACCGGTTTCCAAGTTGTTGTCTGTGTCCATCCGTTCTTGCATTGCTATAAGGAAATACTTGAGGCTGCATAACTTATAAGGAAAAATGATTTAACTGGCTCATGGTTCTGCAGGCTGTACAGGAAGCCTGGTACTGGTACCTGCTTCTGGTGAGGCCTGAGGAAGCTTTGAACCATGGCAGACGGTGACAGGGAGCCAACAAACCACCTGCTGAGAGAGAGAAAAGGGGAAGGTGCCACACACTTCTAAACAACCAGATCCCCTGTAAACTAACCCAGTGAGAACCCACTCATCACCAAGAGGTTGGCACCAAGCCATTCCTGAGGGATCCCCTCCCCTGATCCAGTCATCTCCCAGCAGGCCCCACCCCCAACACTGGGAATCACATTTCAACATGAGACGTGGAGTGGACACACATCCAAACCTGACCATCATCTCTTTTAAACATTCCATACGTTTAAAACTGGCTCTGGAAAGTTCAGAGTGGCAGGCACTCTTTGTAAGCCACCCCACAGGCACAGCATCCCTCTTCCCAGTAGTAAACATGGACATTTGTTCAGCGGTGATGGAGGCCCCTGGGTCTTCACCATCCCCAGGAGGTAAATCACGTTTGCTCTGCATCAGGGCTTCTCAGCCTCGGCACGATGGGCCTGGGGACTGATAGTTCTTTGCTGTGGGGGCTGCTCTGTGCGGTGTAGGATGATGAGCGCCTCCCGGGCCTTCACCCATGAGATGCTCGCAGCACCCCTCCCCACGTTATGGCAACCAAACATGGGGTCTCCAGACACTGCCAAACTGCCTGCCGTTGAGAATCACGGGTCCAAGGTGGTCTAAGCCCCTCCCATTCACCAAATATTTGCTCTCCTGTTCTCTCTGGAGCTGGGGGCCAATGAAGGGAGTCTCCCAAGAGGCTTTGGGAAAATACATCCTTCCTGGCAAAAATGAATGACCTTTTCAGGAGAAAACCTGCTCCTGCTCCTCCTTCTGACTTAGGACACCTGGAGCTGCTCCATCCACCAGCAGCCCCGGAAGAGGGAGTGACACTCAGTGACGCTGAGCTGCTGACGGGGTGTGGACACTCCTACCTCTGTTCCTCTCGTTTTGTGACATCATTAACTACCATCATCATCTAAGCCATTTTTATTTGAGCATCCCATTATTATTTGAGCCAGACATATTTTTAATTAACTCATGCAAAGGATTTCCTCTGTGTTCACCTTAGAAGTGTCAGGCATCCCCTAAACCCCTCAGAGCTGAAAAATGAGCCCCTGTGTGCGCTCTCTATAATATGATTTACAGACAACAATTTCATTTGCCCACAAATGTTAGCTACTGAGGCTGAAAAGTTCTGTTTTTTAAAATAATTGTAGGTTTTCTATGTAGAAGTGAGACTCAACCAACTATGGTCAACATCCTTTCCTGTGCCTGAGTTGTGTGTCTGTTTTGATCAATTAGGAGGCATGCATAGAGATGTAAGTTATTACACCTTTGCCACGTTTCCAAGGACTGAGTCCCCAGTACGGTGGGGCTTCCCTGGAAACAGCTGCTCTCTCTGGCCTTGCCCATACATGAGCCTCCTTCACTAAAGCCATTGGCCTGCCTATATATATATATTTTAATTGTCACTGGAGGGAACCACAAAGGTCAATGGGTTCACTTTTCCTGCTGTACAGATGGAGAGACTGAGAACCAGGGAAGCTCAATGGCCCAGGGCCCTGCAGCCACCAGGTGGAGGCGGAGCTGGGAACAGGACTCTTTTGTACCCTTTATATTTTTCCCTTTCGTTGTTCTTCCGATTCCTCCCCCCTTCTTATGTTTCTCTACCTGGATATTATGTCCTAAATCACTCATTTACAACATACCCAGGCACCCCCAAGTGCTGTGCCGAGGGCCATGGGATGCACAACAGAGTAACCACCAAGGCGCACTCTCCAGGTCCACTAGCTAACTCAGCTTTCCCTGGGAGAACCCCTGTGGCCCAAAGCCCTCCAGCCTGATAGCAATGACTGGAACACACACAAGCCTCCCTGGAGGGCTCGGTGCCTCCTCAATGTGCCTTCGATTCGGATGCTGCTGCAGAAGAGCTGCGCCATGCCGAATGTGTCTCTGATGAGCTCCTGTGTCTGTGAGCTTCTGCAGGCCCAAAGTGCTTTCCCATCCAGGATGCAAGTTAAGCCTCCCACTAAGGTGGCAAAGTCAATAGGGCAGATACTTTTCTCAACTATAGCTGAGGGTGTTGATGTTTAAGTCCTAGTCAGAGGTCATGCACCAGGGACCACAGCAGCAGCAGGTACCAGGGTCCAGGTCTCAACTTTGTCTGTTCTGGCCAGAGGACCAGCGTCTCCTTGACTGAGCTGCAGCGTGGACTTCTGCTTCTTCTGGGAATCCTTGAGCTTTGCTCCCTTCTATCTCTTAGCAAAATATGTAGTGAGAATAAACTTGACCCTCTGTCCAGTATCCTGACACTCTCGGCTTTTTATTTTGGAATGTTCATAATTTCTGGCTTCCAGATAACCTACCTCTGATGCAAATTGCACAGGAATCCCTCATTCTGCATTGCTGATCCTGATGTAGACGCACTTGTAATTTCTCTATGAATAGACGTCTAAGTGCTGGTTAGCTTTCACAGAGCGGCACGGGAACGAGCAGAAGTGGGCACAGCAGCACATGAATATCAATCACCTCTATTATGATCCACGCACAGTGGAGCCTCCTCGGCAAGTCAACAAAAGCTTGCTTCTCCACTCACGGGGCCAGCATGGATTTGGAGGCCAGACCAAGCTGCAAATGCATCTCTTAGTTCAATACGCACAGAATGGCTTTGTTATGGTAGTTTTAATTTCCGTTTTCCAGTTGTTATATGTGACTTTCATGGCTAGAAATCCCAGTGTTGCAGTTGCCCTCCCCGGGCCCCTGCCTTGTCTGCACACACACTGCGGCTCTCACGAGAGCACATCCCAGCCTTGTCTTGCCCTTTCAAAGGCCACCAGTGACCAGAGCACCAGGCATTGCCGTTTCCACAACTGCATGGGTTTGGCAGGGGGATCCCCTCTAGATAGATTCCTTTTTCTTACCTTGATGACCAAAATCTCTTGTATTACCTTTATCTCACCTACAGCTGCTAAATTGTACTTCTGTAGGCTGAAAACTCATTAATAATTGTAGGACTGTTATCAAAAAGTTTAAGCCTTATTGGAAGATAATGGAAAGTCAGGGAGGTTTTAGTGCTTCATCAGTAACTTTTATAGGAACTCTAATGGGGAACCAAAAGAAATAGCAAATGGGAAAGGATTTACAAATTTGGATTTCTTTCTTTTTTCTTTCTTTCTTTCTTTCTTTCTTTCTTTCTTTCTTTCTTTCTTTCTTTCTTTCTTTCTTTCTTTCCTTCTTTTTCTTTCTTTCTTTCATTCTTTTTTTTTTTTGATGGAGTTTCACTCTTGTTGCCCAGACTGGAGTGCAGTGGCACGACCTGGGCTCACTGCAACCTCCCCTCCTGGGCTCAAGTGATTCTCCTTCCTCAGCCTCCCGAGTAGATGGGAATATAGGCACATGCCACCACACCTGGCTAATTTTTTGTATTTTTAGTAGAGACAGGGTTTCACCATATTAGCCAGGATGGTCCTGATCTCCTGACCTCATGATCTGCCCGCCTCGGCCTCCCAAAGTGCTGGGATTACAGGCATGAGCCACCACGCCCTGCCACAAATTTGGATTTCTTACAATAGATACTTGGAAGTCAACTGAGGCTACTGAGTAGGGGAGTGGCTGGGGAGGAAGGAATAGGTTCGGAGGGAGTAGAGGAATTCCAGGGGCGTGGAATGGAGGCTCTGAAAGAAAGCAGGGGTGGAGTTTGGCTACTACTTCTAATATTTTTATTTCAGATTTTGTTTCCCATTACTTATTGGCATGTTTTTATATAGCTAGGTTAAATATTTTCAACAATTCTTTGACATAGCTGGTCTATTTAAAAGATACTAGAGTACAGAAATACAGACCAAAATATACAGGAAAAGTATGTCTATATGCACACACACACAAAGATATTCTTTGTACATTATCTGTAATAGTAAAAAAGTAAAAACAACTTGTATATACATTAATAAGGGACTGGTTAAAAACTTACGGTACATCTGCAATAGAAAATATGTGGTAGTCATTAAAAAAGATAAGATAGATCTGTGTGTTCTGACTTAGGAATATGGCCACAACGTAGGCAGAGTTATATAACAATTTGTAGAACAATATGTATAGAATAATTGTATTTACAAAATAAATATGTGTGTGCATATAAAAAGCTATGGAAAGGATGCAAACTAATCTCCTGAGTTGCTGTCTCTGTGGATGGGAAATGCAGTGGGTGTCCCCACACTTCCTCCCCTGTTCTCTGCTGTGTTGTTTGACCGTTTCCTACAAGCATGTATTACTTTCTTAATAATAACAGGAATGGTTGAAAATTGTAGTGATTCTATTCTTAAGCATACACCCAGGAGAACTGAAATGATACACCCACGCAAAGTCTTGTATGTGAAAGTTCACAGCAGTCTTAGCAGAACCTCAGTGCAGCTTCACTCTCCCCACGCCGCCTTCCTTCTCGTGGTGCTCCAGGCCCAACAGACAGCGCATGGCACAGTCTGCCGCAGCCTTCCCGGTGGTGCCTTGGTATAGATGCTCCCTGGGGCCAGCCTCAGCTTCGCTACTGTCGTGTTTGCCTGTAGACCTCTACCTCTTCTGTGAGCTAACGTGTTCATGTCTGGTGATGACAGTTCCAGCTAAAGTAGCCATTTCTGGTGCTTTTCCCAAAACCTTCCAACTTTCCATCCTCAGAACAACCCCTCCTTCCTTCCTTACTCATGGATTTTCTTAGTGACAGCGACTGCTGCATGTACCACATTTACCTTTTCTCCAGAGTGATTTCTCCATGTGTCTGTCTCCCCACGAGCTCCTGTTCTCTTGGAGGCAGGGAGTGTCTTGTACACATCATAGCGTTTCCACAATTTCTGGTTCAGTGTCTTGAACTTGGTACATTTTAGTAACTTAATTGGATCCATTTCTGACTTCCCTGAACTTGAACTTTTGTCTGCTACTTTTATAATATCCACATTACACTTCCTGGTGAATCCAGCCTTTGCTCCCCTGAAGTGAACTAATTTCAGGTTGGAGGAATCTTTGCGGTTCCTTATATCCAGGATGAAGCCTATCTTTGAAGTTTATGCAAAAGACATCTTTGAATAGATCATCAATATGTCTAGTAACAAAACAGCATTTTACCCAGTACGATTCTGTCTTTTCTCTGTCCATGAAAAGTGTTCAGTGGATCAGAACTGGAACACAGTTCCTTCAAGTCTAAAATGCTGTGAAGCCCAATGGACAAAGACTGGTCACTGGCCAGTGATCCAGAAAGGGTGCTGGAGACCTTCCATCTGGAGGGCAGGGCAGGCGTGTGGGCTGGACTCTGCTGCACAGGGAGGCATGGGAAGCAGGGTGGTGAGGGATGGGCTTGCTTAGACCCCTAAATGACTGTCAATCTCTCTTCATCCTTTTCCTCTGAGATCCCTCTGGATGATCTGATCTATTCAAACATCTACACACTGATGATTTTTGAGACCGTAGCTCTCCTGAATTCCAAACCTGAATGTTCTTTCTATGGGAAATAGCCATGTGAATGTCTCACAGGCATCCCAAATAAAGTATTAACAAAACTGAACTCCTTATCTTTCTTCCAAAACCTTCTGGTCTTCCTGGGTCTCTATCATGGTTCAAGACATCACTCTATCTTGTCCTACAAGAAACTGCAGGTAAGATTTTAGTCCTCCTTCTTTTTTACCCACACAGAAGCCTGTGACACTACCTGTGAGGCACCTCTGTGGTCCATTTCTCTGCACCCCATGGCCATCCCACCACTCCCAGTCCATGGGTACTTAATAGTGTCCAACACACCTCTCTCTCTCGTTTACTCATTACTCTGATCACAGTGCTATCTTTTAAAAATATAAAACTGTTATGTTACCCTTATGCTGAAAACCTTTGAGGGATCCTGGAAGGTGGGTAGAGCAGAATGGTAGAATAGAAGGTTCCACTGATCATCCCTCCTGCAAGGACACCAATTTAACAACTATCTGCACAAAAAAACACCTTCATAAGAATCAAAAATCAGATAAGTACTCACAGTACCTGGTTTTAATGTCATATTACTGAAAGAGGCACTGAAGAGGTAGGAAAAAGTCTTGAATCGCTGATGCCACCCCTTCCCCACCTCCAGCAGTGGTGGCATGGAGTGGAGAGTGGAGAGTGTGTGATAGGGAGGGGGAGAGTGCAGCAATTGTGAGGCTTTGGATTCAGTGCTGCCCTATTATAACAGAAAACAAAACCAGACCAAACTCAGCTGATGCCCACACATGGAGGGAACATTTAAACCAGCCTTACACAGAGGGGAACTGCTGAGCTAAGCCTTGCCTCTGCAAGCTAAAGTGCTCTGGGCTCTAAATAACTTGGAAGGCAGTCTAGGCCATAAGGACTGCAACTCCAAGGGGAGTCCTAGTGCTGAACTGGGCCCAGAGACAGTGGACTGGGAAGTGGCAGGGGGAGGACATGTGACCTACTGAGAAACAAGCTGGGGTGGCTAAGGGGGTACTGGCATCACTCTTCCCCTAACCCTAAGCTGCACAGCCTCACAACTCCAAAAGAGACCCCTTCCCTCCCCCTAAGGAGAGGAGAAGGAAGCATGGGGAGAACTTTGTCTTGTATTTTGGATACCAGCTCAGCCACAGGAGGCTAGGGGGCCAGTCAGACTTGTGAGGCCCCCTTTCCAGGCTCTAGCTCCCAGACAACATTTCTAGACACACCCTGAGCCAGAAGGGGAACCTGCTGCCTTGAAGGGAAGGACCCAGTCCTGGCAGGATTCATCACCTGCTAACTGAAGAGCCTTTGGGCCCTGAATAACCAGCAGTGATACACAGATACTACATTGAGGGCTTTGGGTGAGACTCTGAGGCTTGATGGCTTCAGGTGAGACTCAGCACATTCCCAGCTGTGGTGGCCATGGGGCAAGACTCCTGCTTGAGAAAAGCAGAGGGAAAAGTAAAGGGGACTTTGTCTTGCACCTTAGAGACCAGCTCAGCCACAGAGGGATACAGCACCAAGTAGGCTCTTGGAGTCACTGATTCTAGGACGTGGGTCTTGGCATTTTTGGACCTGCCCTGAGCCAGAGGGGAGCCCACTGCCCTGAAAAATGAGTCCCAGGCTAGGCAACATTCACCATAAGCTGACTGAAGTGCCCTTGTACCTTAAGGGTACATTGGTGATAGTCTGCTAGTATTCTCCATGGGCCTGTGACAGTGATGGCCATGGGATGAGGCTCCTCTGCCTTTGGAAAGGGGAGGGAAGGGTGAGAAAAATTGCATCTTGTGGTTTGAGTGCCAACTCAGCTGCGGTACAATAGAATACCAGGTAGAGTTCTAAGGCTTTTGACTGTAGTCTCTGGCTCCCAGATAGCACATCAAGGCCCACCCAGAGCCTGGGGGAGCTTGCCATCCAAAGAAGACACAGGCTTGCCTGGCTTTGCTACCTGCTGATTGTAGAGCCCCAGGGCATACAGCAAACATATGCCATAACCAGGGAGTGATTACAGGAGTCCTTAAGTGAGACCCCAATGCTTTAGGTATGACCCAGCACAGTCCTAGTGGTGTTGGCCACAGGGTTGCTTTTTGTCACTCCACCCTCAGTTCCAGGTGGCTCAGAACAGATATAGAGAGACTCCATTTGTTTGGGAGAAAGTAAGAGAGGAGAACAAGAATCTCTGCCTGATAACCCAGAAAATTCTTCTAGATCTTGTCTAAGATCATCAAGGTGGTACCTCTATGAGTCTGCAAGAACCACAGCATTACTGGGCTTGGGGTGCCCCCTAAAGCAGATACAGCTTAGATCACAACACCCAAGTCCTTTTGAATATCTGGAAAGCCTTCACAAAAAAGGGCAGGTACAAACAAGCCCAGACTGAGAAGACTACAATAAATACCTAACTCTTCAATGCCCAGACACAGATGAACATCTACAAGTATCAAGACCATCTAGGAAAACAGGACCTCACCAAATGAACTAAATGAGGCAACAGGGACCAGTCCTGGAGAAACAGAGACGTGTGACCTTTTACACAGAGAATTCAAAATAGCTATTTTGAGGAAACTCAAAGAAATTCGAGATAACGCAGGGAAGGAATTCAGAATTCTATCAGATAAATTTAACAAAGGGATTGAAATAATTAAAAAGAACCAAGCAGAAATTCTGGAGCTGAAAAATGCAATAATAGCAGAATTGATCAAGCAGAAGAAATAATTAGTGAACTCAAAGACAGGTTATTTGAAAATACAGAGTCAGAGGACACAAATCAGAAAATAATTTTTTAAATGGAGCACATCTACAGGATCTAGAAAACAGGCTCAAAAGTGCAAATCTAAGAGTTACTGGCCTTAAAGAGGAGGTAGAGAAAGAGATAGGAGTAGAAAGTTTATTCAAAGGGATAATAACAAAGAATGTTCCAAACCTAGAGAAAGAGATCAATATCTAAGTACAAGAAGGTTATAGAACACCAATCCGATTTAACCTAAAGAAGACTACCTCAAGGCCTTTAATAATGAACCCCCAAAAGATTCAGGATAAAAGAAGAATCCTAAAAGTAGCAACAGAAAAGAAACAAATAACATAAAATGGAGCTCTAATATGTCTGACAGCAGACTTTTCAGTGGAAACCTTATAGGCTAGGAAAGAGTGGCATGACATATTTAAAGCACTGACAGAAAAAATACTTTTACCCTAGAATAGTATATCTGGTAGATATAGTATTCAAATCAAACAATATATACTATTCACTATCAAACATGAAAGAGAAATAAAGACTTTCTCAGACAAACAAAAGCTGAGGGACTTCATCAACACCAGATCTGTCCTACAAGAAATGCTAAAGAGATTACTTTAGTCAGAAAGTAAAGGATGTTGATGAGCAATAAGAAATCATCTGAAGGTACAAAACTCACTGGTAATAGTGAGTTTACAGAAAATACAAAATATTACAACACTGTAACTGTGGTGTGTAAACTACTCTTAAAAAGAAGGACTAAACAATGAACAAATAAAAAAAATAGTGACCACAACTTTTCAAGACATAAGACAGTATGATAAGATATAAATAGAAACAACAAAAAGTTAAAATGTGGGGGGACGAACTCAAGGCTTAGAGTTTTTATTAGTTTTCATTTTGTTTGTTTATGCAAAAAGTGTTAAGTTGTTACCAGCTTAAAGTAATGAGTTATAAAATAGTATCTGCAAGCCTCGTGGTAACCCAAAAATATGCAACAAATACACAAAAACTAAAAAGCAAGAAACTAAATCTACCACCAGAGAAAATCACCTTGCCTAGAAGAAAGACAGGAATGAAAGAAAGAAGGAAGAAAAGACCACAAAACAATCAGAAAACAAATAACAAAATGGCAGGAGTAAGTCTTTACTTATCAATAATAACATTGAAGATAAATGAACTAAACTCTCCAATCAAGAGACATAGGGTGTCTGAAGGGATTAAAAAAAATAAGACCCAATGATCTATGGCTTAGAAGAAACATACAGTCTGAAAATAAAGGGATGGAAAAAGATATTCCATGCCAATGGAAACCAATAAAGAGCAGGAGTAGCTTTACTTATATCAGACAAAATAGATTTCAAGACAAAAACTGTAAGAAGAGACAAAGAAAGTCACTATACAATGATAAAGGAGATATAAAAATTGTAAATATATATGTATCCAACACTGGAGCACCCAGAATACATAAAGCAAATATTATTAGAGCTGAAGAGAGAGACAGTTCCCAATACAATAGCAGCTGGAGATTTTAACACCTTATTTTTAGCACTGAAGAGATATTCTAGACAGAAAATCAACACCAAAACATCAGACTTAATCTCCACTATAGACCAAATAAACCTAACAGATATTTACAGAACATTTCACCCAATAGTTGCAGAATATATGTATCTTTTCCTCAGCACATTGAGAACATGATCATTCTCAAGGATAGATCATATGTTAGATCACAAGACAAGTTTTAAAACACTTAAAAAACTGAAATAATATCAAGCATCTTCTCTGACCACAATGGAATAAAACTGTAAATTAATAACTAGAGGAATTTTGAAAACTATACAAATACATGAAAATTAAACAATATGCTCCTGAATGACCACTGGGTCAATGGATAAATTAAGAATGAAATTGAAAAATTTATTGAAACAAATAATGGAAACACAACATACCAAAACCTATGAGATACAGCAAAAGGAGTGCTAAAAAGGAAGTTTGTAGCTATATAAGTGCCTACATCAAAAAGGAAGAAAACTTCAAATAAACAACTCAATGATACATCTTAATGAAAAAAGCCAAGAGCAAACAAAACCCAAAATGAATAGAAAAGAAACAAAGCAGAGCAGAAATCAATGAAATGATAGGAAGAAAACAATATAAAATATAAATAAAAAACAAAAAGTTGGCTTTTTGAAAAGTTAAACAAAACTGACAAACCTTTAGCCAGACTAAGAAAAAAAGAAAAAATCCAAACAAATGGAATCAGAGATGAAAAGGGAGACATTACAACTGATACCACAGAAATTCAAGGGATCATTAGTGGCTACTATGAGCAAGTATATGCCAATAAATTGGAAAATCTAGAAGAAATAGTCAAATTCCTAGACACATACAACCTATCAAGATTGAATCATGAAGAAAACCTAAACAGACCAATAACATATAACAAGATCAAAGTTGTAGTAAAAAGTCTCCCAGTTAACTCTTTGATCTAATGAATACCCTGCTGAATTCTTCCCCCTACTGCCCCCTGACATTTAAAGCAGAACTAATACCAATACTACTCAAACTATTCTGAAAAGTGAGGAAGAGGGAATACTTCCAAGCTCATTCTATGAGGCAGTGTTACCCTGATCCTAAAACCAGACAAAGACACATCAAAAAAAAAAAAAAAAGAAGTAAGGAAGAAAGGAAGGAAGGAAGGAAGGAAGGAGAAGAAGGAAGGGAGACAGAAAGAGAGAGAGAAAGCAAGCAAGCAAGCAAGAAAGAAAGCAAGAAAGAAAGAAAAAGAAAGAAGGAAAGAAAGAAAATGAATGAACTACAGGTCAATATCTCTGATGAATATTGATGCAAAAATTCTCAACAAAATACTAGCAAACCAAATTCAACAATACATTTAAAAGGCCATTTATCAATACCAAGTGGGATTTATCCTTGGGATGCAAGGATGGTTCAACATATGCAAATCAATCAATGTGCTACATCATATCAACAGAATGAAGAACAAAAACTATATGATCATTTCAATTGATACTAAAAAAGCATTTGATAAAATGTCAACATCCCTTTATAATTAAAACAATCCTAAAAGCTGTGTATGGAAGAAACATACCTCAACATAATAGACACCATATGCAATAGATCCAGCTGGTATCATACTGAAGGGAAAACTGAAAGCCTTTTCTCTAAGATCTAGAGCACAATAAGGATACCCACTTTCACCACTGTTATTCAACATAGCACTGGAAGTCCTAGCTACAGCAATCAGACAAGAAAAAGAAAGGGCATCCAAATTGGAAAGGAAGAAGTCAAATTATCCTTGTTTGCAGATGATATGATCTTATATTTGAAAACACCTAAAATTTCCACAAAAAACCTGTTAGAAGTGATGAACACATTCAGTAAAGTTGCCAGATACAAAATAAATACACAAAAATCAGTAGCATTTCTACATGATACAGTAAACAATCTGAAAAAGAAATCTAAAAAATCCCATTTACAATAGCCACAAATAAAATTAAATATCTAGGAATTAACCAAAGAAGCGAAAGATGTCTATAATAAAAATTATAAAATATTGAAGAGAAATTGAAGAAATTGAAGAGGGCACCAAAAACATGGAAAGATATTTCATCTTCATGGATTGAAAGAATAAATATTGTTAAAATGTCCACACTAGCCAAAATAATCTACAGATTCAATGCAACCCCTATCAAAATACCAATGACATACTTCACAGAAATAGAAAAAAAGACCCTAAAATTTATGTGAAACCACAAAAGACCCAGAACAGCCAAAGCTATCCTAAGCAAAAATAACAAAACTGGCAGAATCACATTACCTGACTTCAAATTATACTACAGAACTATAATAACCAAAAGAGCATGTTACTGGCATAAAAACAGACCCGCAGACTGAAGGAACAGAACAGAGAACCCAGAAACAAATCCACACACCTATAAGTGAACTCATTTTCAACAAAGATGCCAAGGACATACACTGCCAGATAGCAGGGGTTGTTGTGCTCTTCCTTTTCATGTTGCTAAGAACTGGCACAGGCTAAGTTCCCAATAAATGTTTGCTGAGATACAATACAAGCCTTAGGGGCTGCTGACATGTGAGGGCTTTTGTCACATAGCGAAGGAGCTCAGACTACTTTGCTTTTTGAGTTCTTGAGCCTACTTTGATGGTTTTTCTTTCTCTTCTCTTCCTGTTAATCTGTCAGGAGATGGTCTGCTTCCTGCCCTGTGTCCAGAAGCCCCACTTTCCTCTTTCCTAAATTCCTGTCATTCTGCTGTGTTGTAGAAAATGAGATAACAAAGCTTGTTGTAATCCTCAGCAAAATGAAGCTCTTTGGGGTCTGAAAAAAGGCCTCCAAAAGCATCTCTTCTGAGCCCAGTGTGTGAACCTAGAGAGACATTTCCCAGTGATTGCAGGTAGATGAGGTTTCTGGATAATGGGCCTCTAAATAAATTAGGGTATTATAGAATATTTGTCCTTAAAACTTTCAAATGAGCAATATGGCCATATCTAAGTTGTAGAGAATCCCTGGGAGTTTTCAAAACTTGTGGAATGTAAAAGGTAAGTAAAAAGCAGAAGTAGGAATTTAATACTATAAATTAACCCTAAAGTAATTCATTCCATGGAAAAGGTTATGAATGAGAATTATGGACAGACAGCATAGGAATATTTATAATTAAATTTAAAATGATATTAGGAAAGTGTGTTCACTAAGTCAATGACTTAATCCTGTCTACACTTTTTTTCCAGCCATGTGGTTCCCAAGCCACTTTATTCTACTCCATGTTAGAGGATTGTGTATTCCCATGAGATCAGCAAAGTTTTTCTGGAGGTCAAATAATCTCCCCAAGCCACTGGGCCCACAGCCTGTGTGTGTGGGGTGTGCCAGTTTGGCTGTCTGGCTCTTTCCCTGTGTCCTGAGAACCACTTGCCCCAGGTGGCTCCCTGCCAGGTTGGATCCCTGAGTGAAAAGGCCTGTGGTAGAGGTGCAGCAGCCAACTCACCACACATGCAGGGAATAAGGGCTGGTTATGACCAGCCCCTGGGATGGGGATTGTGGTTACTGCAGCAGAACTGACTAATACAAGCATTAAAGTGTATTTATTTACCTATCTCCTAAGCTTTCCATTAGCTTAGCTTTCATGTTTTAGAATGACTTCTGGTGTATAAATATTATAGGAACAGTTAGAGCCATACATTTATTTTAAGCTTCTCAAATCAATAAATTGTCATTATTATACTTCTCATAAGTGTCATAAAATCTGAATTAAATAGGACCCTGGAGGTGACTTAGTCGTCCTCATTCTAAATTCTTCCAAAAGATTGTCTCTCAGCCTCTGCCTAGCTGTTTTCACTGACGTGTGGCAATGCAGATGGGTTCATCGTAGGACAACCCCGATTTGTTGAAAATTCCCCACTGAGCAAGGCAGTTTATCCTCAGCCATAAAAGCATGGACTTGGCTATCAGACAAGTGTTAGTTTTCTATCACAGCTTAACAAAGTACCACACTCTCAGCAGCTGAAAGCAAAACACATTTATGATGCTTCTGTGGGTCAGGAGATTGGGGTCAGGTGGGCTAGCTCCTCTGCATGGGTCTCTCAAGGGCCACAATCAAGGCTGCAGGCTGGGGCTGAAATTCTCATCTAAGCTCACAGGCTTGTTGGCAGAATTCATGCAGAACTCATGGCAGTTTGCTTCTAGAAGGCTGGGAGAAGAATACCTGATTTCTTGTCTCCCCTTTAGGGAAGGCCTGGCTTGCTGGGTAGGTCAGGCACACCTAGGGCCATCTCCCTAAGGTTGAACTGAAAGTCAACTGAATAGGGACCTTATTTACATCTTCAAAATCCCTTCACCCTCACTGTAGACATAACCTGATCTTGGGAGTGGCATCCTAGCCTGTTCACAGGCCTCCCCACACTGGGGAAGAGGGGCTACACAAGGTGTATACACCTGGGGTGGACTCTTGGGCTGGCTCAGAAGCCTCCTAGCACACCTGCCTTCAGGACTGACCTCTGGAGACTGTGGCTACATCCAGTTGGTGCTGTGCTTCATCTACCTGCTTCTCAGAGTCTTCAAAGACAGAGACAAAGATAAAGCGTCTTTACTGCAGGGCCGTGATGAGGGCTCCCACGCAACACAGCCCACAGCATGCTTGGCATGTGATAAACCCTAGCATGTTTCTAATGTTACCTTGGGTTAGAATCACATGAATGAGGCCAATCCTTCCCCAAGTAAGATGCTCTGGTATTTGAAGTCAACCGCCAGCTTCACTGGCGCAATTCTGTGGCCACAGCCCGGGACTCTCCAGGTGCTCTCTGTCCACCGTTTCTTGGAGAAGCTTCACTGTTAATCTGTTCAGTGTTCTCTAAATGGAACACAATATTTGGGCTGAGATGCACTCTCCTCAGAATGAGAAGGTGCCTGGTCTGCCCTGACATGGCTTCCTGGGGACGTGGGCAGAGGGGGGTGTAGGTGGTGAAGCCGTTCTCCTCTATCAGCCAGTGTTGTGCTCAGTTAACCCTTGGGTGCATTTCAAATGAACGACAAGGGAGCCGTCCAGATCTGAACCAGACAACTGCGGGGCTGTCTGGAATATAATTTCTTTGAATGCAGAGAGAGCTCAAAAGTGTGCATTTTGGACAACAAATATGACATGCCCTGACAAGGACGGGCACTCTGTCACCAGCAGCAGAACGCAGGAGGCCTTCAGGGCTGGACCATGGAGGCGGGCGCAGCATGAGGCTCAAGCGTCACGTTCGCTGGGTGACCTCACTGCACTGCGGGAGACGCGGGGGTTCTGAGCCTTGATAATCTCCCACTAATTTGATTTTTCCAAGACCTTACAGAACACTAGTTATATTTAGTTCCAGAAGGCCTCCAGGAAAGAGATGGCTGCTAACATTTCCATCTTTAAGAAGATGAAGTGGGTTCTTAAACAAATGAGATGATGCTGACTTTCCTTTTTGCGGGGTGTATGTGCAGGGGTGGTGTGTCCTGGGTGTCAGGTAGGCATCTTTTGTAGGATTCTGGATGTTGCCTTTACCTTGAGGAATAGTATTACAAGTCCCCGCACAAAGGCAAAAGCTCTGGTTGCTATGGCAATAGCCAATCTGAGGAAGCTGTGACCTAAATCATGACTGAGAAAAATAGTACCTTGTCTGTATCATCGCCGCTATCGCTTCCTTGGATTAGGCGAGGCAGCATTTATTACCTAAAATGAACTCTTTTACCTCAGGAAAAGTGAAACAGTGATATTTTTCTGCAGAAACTTTTAGGGAACACAGGTCATAAAAACTGTGCTGCTGCAGAATCAAAGAAGGGGAAGAGATGGCCCAGGGCTTTCTGCTCCCGGGTAAGGCCCTGCCGCTTTCCTTGCACAGGGGCTGCTCCACCTGCCCGGACCTCCAGGAAGGGCTCCAAGGGCCCAACCTGGAAGCCGACCACCTGCCCATCCTCACCAGGTGTGCCTGTCACACACCTGGCTCACACAGCGCACACACACGGCACCTCACCTCACACAGACCATGCACACAACACACTGGGCACACACACAACACACCTCATGCACACAACATGGCTCATGCACACACACGGCACACAACACACGCCAGGCACATGACTCAGACCATGCACACACACAGCACACACACGCAAGGCACACAACACACACCAGGCACGCAACACAGACCATGCATACACACACACGGCACACGCACAGTACACACAATATACACCAGGCACATAACTCAGACCATGCACACACACACGGCACACACACACAGCATACACAACCTACACCAGGCACACAGCACAGACCGTGCACACAAACACACAACACACCATGTACACACACTGTGCACACACTGTGCACACACAGACCATGCACACACACACAAGGCACACAACACACACTATGCACACAAAACACACACCAGGCACACAACACACACCAGGCACACACACAGCACATACAACACACACTACACACACAATACAGACCATGCACACACACACACCAGGCACTTATCATGCACACACACAACACACACCATGCATGCAGGCACATACCGTGCAGACACAACACACATAATGCATAGCCCTCAACACATAAAACACACCACACACAACACACACAAAACAAAAACACACAACACACACACACCGTACATGAAACACACACACACTACCTCAAACACCACATATCCCACATACACCCCACATACCACATGCACCACACCGAAGCACCATGCATGCACACACCCCCCCCACACACACACACACCACACAGTGAGAGTGCCACGTGCTCTCTTGAAGGCCTCTGCGTTGCACAGATGCGGTGGTGATCTTGATCAGTTCTATTGAAATCTTCAATAGAAGGATTCAGGATGATTGTCACTTTCTGCTCTAGTGAGAAATGCCTGCAAGCTCCCTGACTGTGATGCCTCCTTTGGTCTGGCCTGGCAGCCTGGTGCCCGGGCAGGAGTGGTGCTGAGCCGGTGAGGGCAGACCTCCCCTCTTCAGCAGCCTGGCACGCATGGACATGTGTGTGTGTGTGTGTTGGGGAGTTCACTCAACCCTGGCACATCAGAATCCACAGTCTCACTGTATAGCCCCACGTCCCCTTGTTGGTGTTAACTAAGTCGCCCCCGACATGGGTTTGGAAATTGGGGCTGAAGTGGAGGCCGACCTTGGTGAAATGGTCCACATCCCCGACCGCCTTTGCCTTTTTTGTTCTTGCTCAGCCTGAACATCCAGGTGATGAAATCCTGAGTGCTGGGGACAATTAAGGACCTTCGGGAATCAAGGTTGATGTCTATGCTGCTCTCAGGGACGTTGACAAAAGCTCTTGGCCTGGGAGAGATGATGTTAAAATTGCCTGCCTCCCTAGGCCACCTGCTCTCTCCAACATCTGCCGAGAATCTGGCTCTGAGGCTCCGGCAGCTCCAGGGCAGTGTGCACCGCACGGGACGGGTGTCAACGCTGCAGACAACTGCCCCACACGGGGCACGCTCAGGGGAGCTGCGCTGCAGCCTCGTCAGCTTCCAGGCTCTTCCAGGCTGTCCCTGTTTTTAGAGGGACGACTGAGGATGCTTGGGACTCACTTCCTTAATAAGGATTTCCAGTTGCCCAAACTGACGAGACTTTATGCTGTGTCCAGCACAAAGAGTGCATGCAAACTGGTGGTGAGGACACTGCCCTTATTCAACCCATGCCACTCTCAGCACCGATCCTCTGCGCCTCAATCAGCAGAGCCCATGGAGCTGCTCATCTCTCCTCTCTCTTTTATCCTCCTTGAACAGCAGGCGGGGACGGTTGGGATTTGTTACAAAAATAGGAACAACTACCCAGGAGGCTGAGGCGGGAGGATTGATTGAGTCCAGGAGGTCGAGGTTGCCGTGACCTGGATCACACCATGGCACTCCGACCTGGGCAACAGAGCGAGACCCTGTGTCAAAGAAAATAAAGACAAAAATAGGAACACCATCTCCATTTACTTTTTTGTTACTCCAAAAGCAAAATGCGTTTCAGATTTGCTTTGTTTTTTCACCTGGAGGGTTTGACGTGGGCACGATCTTCTTTTCCCCCTCCCCTTCCATTTCAGCGTCTCCAACCAGCGTGGTCCCCCTGCATCAGGCATGACAGTGCTCCCTGTGGAACAGGAGAGCCATCAGGAATAGGTCCATAGACTTGAAGGTGTTTGCCATATTCTCCATCACTTTCACTTCCTTCCTCCCAGCCAGCACTTTCTTGCCCTGTGTCCTACCCTTCAGAACTCTGCAGTGGTGGAGCTAATGCTGCCAATCCTCAAACATCCAAGTTGATAATCATTCCATATGTCACTCCTGTAGAGGGAATGTGCATTTTGTCATGGTCTCTGAAGCATTCGTTTTAGGAATGCTCTAGTGCTACAGGGTCAGGTGCATTCAGTAGCAGGTAAGTAGGGAATGCATTTGAGGAAGCGGCAGTTGGTCCCTGGGCTGGTCTCACATGTGTGGTTGTCAAGGTGATAATATTTCAAAGGGTAGTGAAGGGTCCCTTGTCCTCACTGCCCTGCTGCAGTTCTCTGTTATCCTACCTGAACCAGCCTGGACTTTCAGCAAAGTCCGTGCAAAGACTCCATCCCTAAATGACCACTTTGTCTGGTTTGTTGCTGCATTAAGTTGTTGAACAACAGTGCAAGTAAAGTAAGGTCCATGAAAAAAAAAAGCCATTTGAATGATGAACTTGCTACAATAATCTATGTGCACAAAGATACCCAGACTCACTGGTCTTTTAGGGGTTGGGTCTTCAGAATAAGCATCTGGGTGGCTTGGCCACGTGAGTCTCTATTCACTGGGCCGATAGCAGGCTGGCCAGGGCAGAAGCCCAAATGCTTTCTGGGAGGGGCTTTTGGTGGCTTGTCCCCTCACAACATGCAGCCACTGGTTTTTATGAGATTAGGAAAGGCTTGGACCCTGTTCACCACTGAGGCCCAAAGTAGAAAAGCCACATCCTGAAAAGGAGGGAGCAGAAAGAGGCAGACCTGGCCCAAGAGGGGCCCTTGGCTAGGACACTGTCCACTACAAAGCCTGGGAGGCCTCTTTCCGCATTGCGGCTGAATAAATGCACAAGCGCAGTCTGCTAGGATGCTGTCCACTATGTAGCCTGGTAGGTCCCTTTCCACACTGCAGCTGAATAAACGCAGAAGTGTGATCCGCTCGCTCTCCTTGCAGTGACCACGTGAGACAGGGGGCATTTCCAGGGCAGAGGTCCAGTAAAAGCAGTGAGGGCCCCTCCCCACCTAGGACTGGGGTCTGATTTCCTGCAGCCATGCCATTCAGGGTCTGTAACCAATAAGATGGGGGTAACATGTGGAGTCCACTCATTGGGTGTGTGCTCCCAGCCTTACCACTTTGCTCAACTATAAAGTGGGGCTGATAACCCCATAGGGTTGTTATGGAGATTAAAGGGTTTCGTACTTGTAAAGCACACAAAACAGTGCCCAGCACATCTGCCATGGGAGCGTTAGCACAGGCGTTCGTGTTAGTGGTACCATGAGCGTTAGCACTGTTAGTATTAGCATCAGCATTACCATTGGCATTCGCATTAAGATTATTACTAGCGTTAGCATTACTTTACTCTTGGTATTAGCATTAGTATCAATGTTCCTATTAGCATGAGTATTACTAGTGATATTAGCATTAGCATTATTACTAGTGTTACTATTAGCATTACTGTCGGTATTAGCATTAGCACCAGCATTAGTGTTACTATTAGCATTAGCATCACTACCTATATAATCATAGTATTAGAATTAGCATTAGTGTGTGTTGTTATTAGCATTATCATTAGTGTTAGCATTATTACTAGTATGAGCATTAACATCTGGTATTACTATCAGCATTAGTATCGGCATTAGCATTGACATTAGTATTAGCACTAGCATTAATAATATTACCAGCATTAGCGTTACTATTGGTATCAGCATTAGTACTACTATCAGCATCTAGCATTTGCATTACTACTGGTATCAGTATTAGCATTAGCATTAGTATCCATGTTACTATTGGCATTACTGCTGGTGTTAGTATTAGCATTTGCATTGGTATTAGTGTTACTCTTAGCGTCAGCATTACTACTTACATTAGTACTAGCATTAGCACTGGCGTTGGTGGTACTATTGGCATTAGTGTTGCTATTGGTATCAGTATCAGCAGCAGCATGTGATTAGCATTAGCATTCTGCATCCTAGAGCAGGGAGAAAGATCCCACGCAGCAAGTCAGAACTGGTGGCAACATGTGTGGCTTCTCCTCCGTCTACTGAATTTGAGAGTCACCTAGAGGTTGTCACGGTGGACAGACGCCACAGGGGAGACAGAGAAGCCGCATCCCATGTCCCATGGCTGCCCTCATTGGAAGTTCCACCTGTTGTGACCCCCACCTCTGTCCAACCATCTCTTCTGTTCTCTTTGACTCCCTCCCAGAACACGCTCCCGCAGGGCCCTCCAAGCTCTGGGGACCTGACTTTATCACATAAGCAGCCTCTCCAGGGAGGACACCTGTTTTCTTTCCCCGTTCCCCGCAGCCCTGCACGGGTCCTGGTGGTGGCTCTACCTTCCAGGCCAAGTCCGCCTGCAAGGTCTTGGGGCTGCCCCTCCCCCTCCCCAGAATGGCATCACGAGGCCCGGGCCTCCATGCAGACCTGTCCTGTGCCGTTTAAGCCGCCCAAGCACCCCCTGCCAGCGGTGGGGCACATCCATCCAGGGAGGCCGGGACCTCGGGGAGAGCCCCCCCTGCTCCACTTCTGTGCTCCCTGCGGGCTCTGTGGGTGGAATGCGCCGCTTCCCACGTGCTGCCCTTGTCGTTGACATTCTGATACAGTCTGTAATCAACGCAAGCTTCAGCTCCTCTCATTACTGGCTCTTGAAGGGATTCTTCAGACTCAGCAAGAACAGCCGCCTCGTCAGAGGACAGCATCTGCTCCCCCCGACCCCGCCCGCCGCCCGCGACAGACAGGGGGGTGCGCATTTGCATTCGGGTGCTCAGCCCCGGAAGGTGCCCGGGAGGTGCGGCCTGCTCTGCCGCTCCTGTCCGGGCTCCGTGGACTCTTGCCCTCACCTGAACCACAGGTGGCTCCTGTCCTGGTTCTGGGTCACGGAACAGCAGGGTTCTAATGTGGACACTGGGCACTACGGTCCCCACTCCACCTTTACAACATGGAATCTGACTGGAGAATGGGACTGGGGGCAGGAGTGTGTCCTCATGGATTTACGTAATTTAAGCCCCACATATTCCCAAAAAGGACCTATCACAATTCAATTACAATGCACATATAATGATGAATTAAAAAACTAAACGGACATTAAGAAATGCATATGTGTGCACACACATGTAAGCGTGTCTGGTGGAGAACAAATGTGCAGAATTGCAACAGGACCAGAAGCCAGCAGGGAAGCAAGCAAGTGCTGTCAGATCTAACGTGATTTTTAAGACGGGGCTGTAGGTTCAGCTCTGATTGTACTAAGAGGGAAAATGAAAAAGGAGTTGTGACATTTTCCAAAGTTTATCTTTGTTTTGAGCTAAAGTCACACCAGTTGCAAGGTCAAGAAAAGGTGACTGAAGAGGATCTCAGTGCTCAGAAGGGGACACAAGGTGGGTGCAGCCAGGCGGCAGCCAGGCCCTCATGAGCGTTCTACAGCCGGCCAGGTGGGTGCAGGCTGGCCGCACCCACAGAGGACCCTGGGATTTCAGGCCAAAGAATTCTTCAAGGGGAGATAAAAAAGAGACAGCTTTTTAGTGTCTTGGCTTAATGGAGAGATAAAGGCAAAACACCTAGAAGAAAAGATGGGTCTGAGCAACTTGTCCCAAGTCACAGTTAGTGAGAGGCAGAGCTTGGCCCCGAACCTGGGTGTCCTGACACTGTGCCCAAAGGGAAATGCCAATCTCAAGCTGCTTCCAGCTGCCATGCCTCTCCAAGCCACACCTGAACACCTGCCCCTGTGGCATTTCTCTGTTCCCTGGGTTCACTAGATGATGATGTCATGGATAATTGAATTCCATTGTCATTTCTAGTTTGTTTGTTTGTTTTTTGAGCAGAGGAGTCTCGCTCTGTCGCCCAGGCTGGAGTGTAGTGGCGCGATCTCAGCTCACTGCAAGCTCTGCCTCCCGGGTTCACGCCATTCTCCTGCCTCAGCCTCCCAAGTAGCTGGGACTACAGGTGCCCGCCACCACACCCAGCTAATTTTTTGTATTTCCAAGTAGAGATGGGGTTTCACTGTGTTAGCCAGGATGTTCTCGATCTCCTGACCCCATGATCCGCCCGCCTTGGCCTCCCAAAGTGCTGGGATTACAGGCGTGAGCCACCGCGCTCGGCCCGTAATTTCTAGTTTTATCCTTTCCCACCATGAACATTTAAGTCCCATTAAGAAGGCTTAAAGTTACCCATGTTTTTAGTGGTTTTCACAGCTACCTTAAAACAAACAAGAAAGCATCTATAAGTGTTTTATTTTTGGTGTAATTTCGAATTCATCTGTTGCCTCGTTTGAGACTAAGAAGCAAAAGATTAAAAACAGTCTTCCTAAGGGACGGTAACCAGGTAAGCCACAGTGGCTGTTCTTCCCAAAACACTGAAAATGTCTTTGGTTTAAGAGGCAGACATCTGAAAATTAAATGGAGAAAAGCTCCCTAACGGGGACCACAGGGTAGGTTGCAGCAAAAGTTTTCTCAATAAAAAAGGAATTTATTTGGTTTGAGAGGCAGACATTGGAGGAGCAAAGGGAGATGCTACAAAAAATATAGCCTGTCCCACCACAGAGAAAATTCTGTGCAAGGCACGGCCATCACTCAGAGACCTGCCCTAAATTTATAGAAAATATAGGCCAGAAAGGGGTAGAACTGAAGCTGAGTTGTTTGTTATTCTCCTGAAGTGAGTAAGAGCAGCTAAAATCACCTTGATTGGTCGCGAGCCCCTGCCATTCCGTGGAATAGCGGTGCCAATGGGACACTTTACTATAACACAGTCCTGGGTTTCTTTTCTCTACCCTCCCCACCCCCACCGTGGGACAATGGTTTGATTAGACTGTATCAGCCCAGAGTCCCCTGCCCAATCAGAATTCAAAAGTTCCTTCTACCAGAGATACCAAAGGATCCATTTCTTTATGTATATATAAAAAGAAACCCATAGTTTATATTTTGAGGGCCTTTTCTTAGTCACATATGCACATGTAAAAAGAAATTCAAAAATTATAAAAAATATAGAGCAAAAAAGGATTTTCCTTCCCACTGCTGTCGTGTTGCCATCTGGAACCCTCCATGGAGGTGGCTGTTGGGCTCTTCCAGAGGTGAGTTACACATACGTGGGTGCGCGGCGGGCACACGGTGGGCACGCACACCAGCGCATGCCCGTCCCCCTTATGTCGCATGCTCTGTATGTCCTGCATTAACAACAGTTATAGTAGAATTTTGTTTCATATAAAAGCATCTAAAATGGCTCTGTTCTTCACACCTGCATGACATTTCATTGCGTGGCTATAGCGTGACTTCTTTGACCTGTTCCCTCTGCTGTTCTCAATCTTTTGCAATTAAAATCAGTGCTACATTGAGTGTCGTTGTATGTATGCCATTCTCATGTATAGGACAAATCATTAGAAGTGGAATTGCAGGGTCAATTGTTTGAGAGATTTCAGTGTTTATAGCTCTTACCAGGTTGTTCCCCTCAAAGCTGCTCCTATTTATGTCATCACTGTACCGCAGAGCCCGCTTCCCCAGCTCTTAACAACGTAATATGTCGTCAAGTCCTTTAATCTTTGTCCAACTGACAGACTTCTAAAAATTATTTCCTTGTATTTTTAATGTATACTTCTCTTATTCTGAGTGAGAGTTTCTTTTTATATACCTAAGAGTTATTTGGATTTC
The DNA here is from genome assembly GCF_000001405.40 of Homo sapiens. NCBI lineage: Eukaryota > Metazoa > Chordata > Mammalia > Primates > Hominidae > Homo > Homo sapiens. The sequence continues at coordinate 156,230,264 of NC_000007.14, read as the reverse complement.
CTTTTCAATGAAGTACATGCTTGGAAAAAATTGCCAATTTTTCTATTGTATTTTTTGGTTGTTTATTTGAAAAACTCTTTATAGATAAAAATTCTCTTTTCTATGTTATATCTTGCAAATATTTTCTATTTTCCTACTTTGAATTGTTTTTTGACTATATTTCCCACACTTTTCCTTATAAAGATAATATTTTATATTTTAAATATTATATCATTTTTTATGACTTCTGATTTTTGTATCATACTCTAAGATTTAAAGAAACCACCCCATATTTTCTTAGACTATTCTTATATTTGGGGTTTTATGTGTAAAATTGTATCATTCTAAAATTTACATTTGTTGAAGAAGTAAGCAGTGCTATAACTGTTTTTTCCGATGCCAACCCACTTATTACAACACTATTCATGAGACCATTCATCTTTCACTCTACTGATTTGAATTTTCACTTTTATTCTACATGAAATTCTATATGTATTTGGTCCTATTAATGGACTTTGTCTTCTGTTACACTGATCTATTTATCTATTCACGTTCCAGTGTAATGCAGTTTGATAATTGTAGCTTGATTCCTTGATTCCTTTCCATTCATTTCTCTTCTGCAAAGTTGTCCTAGTATAATAATTTTTGCAGGTTTTCCTTTCTTTTCTTTTTTTGTGACCTGAATCTGGCTGGTACTTTTTTTTTTTTTTTTGCATCCTTTTATTTTCAAAATTTATGAGTCACTGTTGAGGTGTGCTTCTTGTGTATTACGTTGGCTGCCATGGTATCCTATTGATATACTCTACCTGATCTTTTTCTTTAAATATGGGAGTTTATTACATGTATACTTCTTAACTAATGGATGTTTGGTTGTAACATTGATCCATATTTGATGTTGCTGTGGTCTTCATGTTTGTGTGCCTCTCAAAATAATAATATGTTGAATTTGAATCCCCAGTGTGTTGTTGAGAGGTGGGGCCTTGGGAGGTGAGGAGGTCATGAGGGTGGAGCCCTATGAATGGGATTAGTGCCCTTTTAGAGAACGAGCTTATTTATTCCTCTTGAGCTTCTGCCACGTGATGGCACATAGAAGGTGCCATCTATGAGGAATAGGCTCTCACCAGACACCTAATCTTCTGGCACCTTGATTTTGGACCTCCCAGCCTCCAGAACAGTGAGCAATGAAGTCATGTTGTTTATAAATTGCCCGGTCTCAGGTATTTTGTTACTGCAGCCCAAGACATATGTCAGGCTTTGGATATTTATTGGTTCTTTTGTTTCATAGTCTGTTATATTATTTTGTTGTGTGTTTTGCTTTGGTGTGTTCTTTATGCTTATAGATTTGTTTTTATTTCTGGAAAGTTTTTTTGAATTATATCTTGAAATATTTTTATGCCCTGTTATTTTAGTTCTCCTCAGGGATGTTAATGTATGTATGTCAAGAGATTTCTTTTGTCTAGCTTTCAAATCTAACATTCTGTCCCTGTCTTTTTCTCTTTATGCAGTAGTTCTATTTCATTTTCACTTCTCCATGTCTGTCACTGTGTTCACAGATGTGTCTCATCTCCTTTGTGCTGTTTCTGATATGACTTCTGGTCTGTGGTGATTTTGTGTTCTGCTCATTTCTGGAATGCCTCCAGCTCCTGATCCATTCTGACGGGGGTCTTACTTTGTGTTCGTAACCACTAACTTCATGTGCCACTTCCTTCCCCCGCCTCACTTATAGCAAAACTCTACAAAATGCTTTTCTATCCTTGTCTGACCTTCCTCTTCTCCCATTTTCTTTTTAGCTCACTCCAACCAGCCATTTAGCCTTCCACCATTCCATGGAAATTTCTCCTCCTCAAGCCACCAAAGGTCTGGAAATTGTCAAGTCCGGGGGTAGATTCTCAGTTCTCACCTGACTCCACTTATCAGTGGCTTTCACTAAGATGCTCACAGCCTCCTTCTTAAAAGACACGTCCAGGTGGCCTCCAGGATATCCATCTCTCTTTGTTCTCAACCTACTTCACTGGTTCTTCCTTCTCAATTTCCTTTGATGGTTCATCTTTTGGCCCCTAAAATTTTCTTGTCCTGGGGCTTCCTTTGGTCCATTTCTCTTCTCTGTGTACCTTCATTCTCTTAGTGATTTCATTTGACCTGGGAGCTATATTATAATACTATATGCTAAAAATTATGCAGAATCACACGTTGAGCCCATATGTCTACCCTGAAGTCTAGAGTTACATTATCTGAATGCCTTACCTCATCATTTGTTTGTTTTTGGACATTGCAAACTTGGTAGATCAGAGGGCTGATCTCTATCCCTTCCCTGCCCTCCTCCTTTTGATGTCTTTCCTACTTGGAAAGTGAACCCAAACCACTGGAAGAATGCAGTTCTTGAAACAGTGACCACTCCTGGGCTGTTCCTGGAAAATAAGGTGTTGCCCTGGGACTGCCATTGGTCAAAGGGTCCTGGAAGTGGCAGTGATGGACCACAGCTATTGGAACAATGCAAATCTATTCCTTCAACTATTCAGGTCCAAACTCAGACTCATCCACAACTTCAGTCTTTCATATCTCACATCCAATCTGTCTGCAATTCTTGTCAACTCTACCTGCAAAGTATACCCAGAACTTAACCACTTGTAATCATTTCTAACACCACAATTGGGTCCAACCCATTCATACAAAATGAAGCAAACATGGGTCTGATATTTCTGTGATTAAAGTCTGTGCAGATTTGATTGCATGTGCATCATTTCTGCTGCCTTTTCTTCATGGTGTCTTGCTTTCTTGTGCACTTTTTGTTTTTGAGTCTGAGCTCACATTTATTGGAATTTTATCTATGGGGATTTTCTGAGGCCTGGTTTGAAGTTAAGTTCTTGTGGAGAGGATTTTCATTTGCTTCTTCAAATGCCTGGGTTACTACTAAGCCCAATTCACCAAGAACAAAAATGTTGGCTTGAGATTTTATGGACCACTGGATAATACAAATTTGAAAGACAAACTTGCATGGGGACTGCTTTTAGTTTTGAAAACTCACAAGAGATATTTTCACCTCTTCTACTCAAGATGGAAAATGCCAAGTCTCCTGAGAGGTATTTTTCCTAAATGCTTCATCTGAAGTCCTTTAATAAGGGCAATGAAAGTTCATGGAGAGAGTTCCTCTAAACACCTCAGGCTGCCTTGAGCACTGTCCTCTTTCCTCCAATCCTGAGAGGCGATGGGAACCAAAGGTCAAGTCCACCTGGTTTATCAAGTCCGGAATTAGCTTCTGTCTTATTCTTTCTTCTCTATTAGGCCTGATGAACCAAGAGGTCACTAGCTGATGCCCCCATCCCTGACCCCTCTGGCACTTGCCTGGGACACTCCTACCCTCATTCTTCTGCTGGCTCAGTAGAGCAATTTTTTAAGGGCTGCTGCTCACTTTTTTGGGCATGATCCTGGCACCATCTCTGGCTCCTGTAACCCTGTCTGCTCTTCTATTTCTAATTCTGCGGTAGTACTGTCTCTTAAGTGAGTTCTGTCTTCTGATTCAGTCCCCCTCTATACTGCCATTTGTAAGAAGAACATCACGCTTCACAAGGAGATCCTGAGTTGTGGCATGGAACAGCTTGAACTTTGGTTTTCAGTGGCTGGCGATGACCTGAGCCCTGTGCTGAGAGAAGCTGCTTAATCACAATGGGTTTGTAATGTGGTGCTTCGTAATCTCACATGGCGCTCCAACAAGGGCCCAATGGAGTTTCTTCTGTGGTGACTTATATATACTCACGGAATTTATACTCAGAAAACAGAATGAGTGTCTGAAGAATATCCCATGACACTCACAGAAACAGCAAACCTCCACTGACAATCCTTTCAGATAGAAACCAAAAAAGCAATCACATGTGTCATACCCTTGGAATTCTGTGCCATGTTCACCTCACAGTGGCCTGTTCTTTTCCAGAGCTTTGAAGGGTAGTTGAAGAAAGAAAACATTGGTCATGGTTTTAAAAAGAGACAAAGCAAAAAAACTAGAAAAGAAAAGAAGGCACTATACTAAAAAATGCCAGGTACATTGTGAAATTGTGCATGTTTTACAGTTGCCTTCTATGATTTATATTCTGTGGCACACATTTCTGTTGTTGGTCAGCCTTGAAAGATGGCTCTGTTTAGACAACTATGTAGAGATGACTGGCACTTGGAGTTGCTTCAGTATGAGCCCTTGAAAATGAGTATGCAGAAGGCTTGTTATTATTATTTTTAAGCTGACTTCTGAGACATATTCCTATGGAGCCTGAAGTTTTGTGGTACGTAGATGAGGAAATGAATGGCTGTGTCAGGCTCTTACCACCTTCTCTTCCTCCTCTTCCAAGCTGGTGCACCTTGTCATTCAGCTGGGCCACACAAGCCCTGGCAGTGAAACTCCAGGGTTAAAAAAAGGGAAGGGTCACTTCTCAAAGATTGCAGGCAGGACCAGTGCTCAGTAAGTTCATGAAGTGGTCTGATTTTCTTTGGTACCCTTCACCTCCTCTCTTTTTCTCTTGTTCTATGGTCTGGCTACATCTTCTAATTTCTAAGGATGTACCAGCTACCTTTGCCATGTGTCTCACCAATGTTTTCCTAATATTACAAATGAGTAGCTAAGCCTATCAGAATTTCTATATAGATACAGGAAGTTTGAGCTGAGCTTCTCCTTTCTTTGACTCTGATGGTAAAATAGGACAAGAAGTACCTATTTGCAAGTACCAGGTAAAACAGGAGGATTCCAAGAAATGAATGGCTCATAAACTGAATATTCAATAGGATTTTGCTACCGCACAAGGTTGCATAACCTATTGAAAGTATGAAGGAAAGAGAAATGCCTTGGTTTCAACTTGGCCATTCTCCCCTTTGCCAACTTATTAAAAATGGAGCTCAACATTAGTTACTGAACACATAACTATTATGCCTGTAATTTCTCCTTCTGAAAAATAATTGTGTTGAAAATATAAAGATTCATTACAGTCATAACCTCTATTTAGTTAGTTGGAGTGGATTAGTAATCTATAACTACGTAACAAATTACCACAAACTTAGTGGCCTGAAAGAACAACATTTGTTATCTCATAGTTTTTATGGATCAGGAGTCAGGCATGGCTCAACCAGGTCCTCTGTTTCTGGGTCTCACAAGTCTGTAGACAAGGTGTCATCCAGGGCTGTGGTCTCATCTGAGACTTGACTGGGGAAGGATCTGCATCCAAGCTCACTCACATGGCTGTTGGCAGAATTCAGTTTCTCACTGGCTGTTGGCCAGAGGCCATCCTCAGCTCTTTTCCAGGAGGGCTGCTCCAACATGGCGGCTTGCTTCATGAAAGCATGCTGGACAAGAAGTCAAGAGAGAGAGTGCCACAGAGATGGAAGTGACAGTCTTTTGTCACCTCATCACAGAAGTGACATCTCATCAATTTTGTCTTATTTTCCTTGTTAAAGGCAAGTCATTAGATGCAGATCACACTTAAAATAAGGGGATATCACAGAGAAGTGAAGAGAAGGGAGCTTGGGTTACTGAAGACCATCTTGGAAAGATGCCTGCCACAGCAAGGTCTGCCTGCGTTTCACCCCAGTTTCTTGTTCTTTAGCAGTTTTCATCTGGTCCTGGCAAGGCAGGGCAGCCTGCTCCTCGATTCCTTGGAACCCTTTCATGACAAAAGACAGTCTGGGCTTTTCCTTCCTGCCTCCCTCAGTCTGGGAGTGGGTTGGGAGGCAGCAAGAAGCTAAGGAAGTGTGAGTCCAGCAGCCCCACTGCCTCAAAGCAAGCCTAGGAATGCCTCGTCACCATCAGAACAGATTCTCAGTGTTTGAGACAAACGCTACAGCCTTGGCACAGGGCTGGGGATTTTATGTACCCCAGTAATCCCCATAAAGTACTGTGTCTTTAATTACACAACCCACAGAAACTCTTAAAGTGGATGATTAAATAGGAGATAATTAATGACTTTCCATGGAAACCTGCTCATTTGCCAGTGGAAATCATTGGCTAGAGAGCTGCCTGAGTGTTCATGCCAGCTAGAGAGTCTGTGTCCTAATCTTCCAAAAGGCTGGGAACCTCCTGCTTCTGAAGCCCCTGGCATCTTACCCCTGCTGCACCCAGGTTGAGCACCACTGTGTGGCTCCATGGGCTGGTCTCCCCTGGGAAAGCCTGCGAGGCCTCTGGGGCTCCAGGCTGACGTTGTCACTGCTCCACTAACAGCCCAGTGGGAGGGGGATGCATTGTTGCCGCGGTACACACCAGCAAGCAGAGGCCAGAATGCGGGGCTTGCCAGGGAATTGCCTGGTTCCCCACAAACCAGAAAATCCTTGAGCAAACTTTTCACTGATAATGGCTTCGCTTTAGACTTTGGGATTGAGCCTTCAACTGTGAAAAGCTTAGCCTACTTCTCAACCAGTGGAAACAATTGTGTATGTGTGTGCGTGTGTGTGTATCAGACAGTGAGAGAGAGAGAGAGAGATTCAGAGATAGAGAGAGATGGAAGAGGTAGAGAGAGATAGAGATGGAGAGACAGAATCAGAGACAAAGACAGAAAGAGGCAGACATAGAAAGGCATAGAGACAGAGAGAGCAGAGACAGAAAGAGACAGAGTCAGAGAGAGAAAAAGGCAAAGACGCAGAGACAGAGATAAAGAGAAAAACAGAGAGAGATGCAGAGACAGAGAAGGAGATGGGGAGGAGAGGAGAAGAAGAGAAAAGAGAAGAGCAAGTGAGAATACGAAAGAAGATGGTTGTTACCAACCTGTGGTGTTTTATCCCAGCATTATCACTGACACTGATAGAGGGTGAGCCAATGTTCCTGAAAACGCCCCAGGGTGGTGCAGCCCCTCCTGTGAGTAGCTGGCTACAGTTGGTGTTGCTCCAAATTAAAGGGCAATTGTGACACAATTGAATGTATCACTGTTACAATGAAAGACAAATGCACCAAGAATCAGAAGCAAAGGTGTCTGCATATGATTCTTCTGGAGAACAGCCTATTTTTTTACTCATAGCTATTGTCCTAAATGGGGACTTTTAGTACATGGAAGTCAAGAAACAGTAAAGGTTTCACACAAGTGTGACAAATCAACGCATTACACTCAGATAGACGTTTGCCCACTGGTTCAATAACATAACTTCCTAGGCTGTTACTCCTTATTACTTTGTGGTTGATCAGCGGAGTTGCTGATTTGCAGACTTAAGTTGTGATGACATTTTTCATGCAGCTTCTGCTGAGTTTTTGCTCAGAATCTTAATTCCGCCTTACAGGAGTCATGTTACTACAATAAACTGAAATGCCCTTCCCTGCAGTTAAACCTGTCCGCACCATTGGGCCTCTCGTGCTTCCTGCACAGCCTGTGTCCTGTGGGTTCGCTTGGTCATTGTTGCCTTCTCGTAGGAGGAGTGAATGATTTGGCCTCAGCACCATCCACTACGTTGGAAGCTGGAAAGGAATCTGCCTTTCCTCTTGCCTCAAGCCCCCCAGGTCCTGAGCATTTGACCCTTTCTACAAGCAGAGGAAAGCCGTGCACAGAGCAGCTTCTGCAAAAACCCGTTGTGCTTTTCCTCCATGTTCACTAATCACAGCTTGGCCTACTGCAATTCAGGATGAGGCCTGATCATAGGGGCTGCCAGGTAGCTTCTAGGCAGCACCCATGGTGTGGGTCCAGGGGAAGGGGAGGGGAAGCTGGTCTTCAAATGGAAGTGAGATCTGAGTCTAGTTATCCCCAGTCACCCAGAGTGTCTTGAGCACTAGTTATGTGCAAGGCATGAAGCTTTGTGGCCAGAGAAAAGAAGTCTCTGCCCTCAAGCAGATTTTAGAAATGGAGGAAATCCTATGTAATGGGAAGGTGCTATTCATTATTATGCCTGGGGCAGGCTCTTCTCTGGAACTAGCACAGGGCCAGTGTCCCCAGCCAGGTGCACAAGCCTGCCAGGACTGCCGCAATCAAGTCCTGCAGATTGCAGGACTTGGACAACTGAAATTCCTTCTCTCACCATCCTGGAGGCCAAAAGTCCCAGATCAGGGTGTCAGCAGGGTTGGTTTCTCCTGAGGCCGCTCTCCTGGGCCGGCAGATGGCCGTCTTCTCCTGGTGTCCTCTCTAATGTGTCTCTGTTCTCATCTCCTCTTCTTAGAAGGACACCAGTCATATTGGATTGAGGCCACCCTAATGAGCTCATTTCACCTTAATAACCTTTTTAACGTCCTCATCTCCAGGTACAGTCACATTCTGTGGTACTGGGATTCAGGACTCCAGCATATGAATCCGGGGATAGGGTGGGATAAAATTGTGCCAAAATGCCAGGCTTTTTTTAAGATGAGGAGGTTTTTACAGGCAGGGAAAAAGAAGTAATGTTTGTGGAGCAACAGATAACAGGAGCAGAGGCAGCATGGTGGGCTGTACACAGTGTGCACAAGCGGCTGCCCCGTCCAGAGCCCGAAGCCCACTCCAGCAGAACAGGAACCTTACTGCAGCCTCTGATAAAGAAAGGTTTTCTTTTGCAACCAAATCATCTTTCAGAGGAAAGCCTTAATAAATAGGTTCAGCATAGTTTGATACCCATTTATAAGAAGATACTAAAACAAAAATTAAAGGTAAAACATTTATTATATCAACATATAATCTGTTTGTAATTTAGACTAATGACAGTCTTGAAACCTGTCATTTTTAGGCCAAAGTCAATACCAACATTAAAGAGGGGAACATGATCAATCCAGGTGTTTCCTTTAGCAGGACGATCTCAGCAGGGAGGGCCCCGCATTTCAAAGTTGTTTAGAGGATGCCTAAACCATGGGATTTGTGTCCAGTGCAGAGACCCAGTTGATAAGAACCCTACGAGTCAAATCCTTGCTTCCATGAACTCAGCTGCCTTCTGCCTGTGCTGGAACTCCCTTGCATCTTATTCTTCTCTGAGCCCTAAAAGTCTCTCATTTTAAAAGCATGTGTGTGCTAACAGCTAAGAGCTGTGAGAGATTACATGGCTCTGAAATGTACAAAAAAAGGCATGTATTTTCGCAGGCCACAGGCCAGTCCCCGGGGAGTAGAAGTGGTCAGTGTGGCCGTGGCCCCAACCCTATTCTTCCTAGCAGTGTCTTCTCCCCATTCTAACCTTCAGAATTGTTTTATAAGCATGGTTGCTTTGTATACCATGGGTGCGTATATGTTGTGTGTGCTGTGTATTTGTTCTATGCACATACCACACAGCCATCTGTGCACACGCATCATTACACACACAGTGTGTGTGGTGTCATCTATGCTGTGTGTGCATGTGTGTCTATGAATTCCAGGTTATCTCGGCCTCGTTTCTCCAGCAGTTGAGATGACGGAGATTAAAATGTCAAAGCTCTGAGCTGACGAGTGGGTTCTCACAGTGCATATCACCTGTCTGTTTTGACAGTCTTTGGCTGTTAAGAGTGATTAATGGAAGGCATCACAGAAATGAATGTGTCTCAATTCTGTCCCATTCTTTGCAGCTAATAGCCCCAGTATATGAAAATGTTAACGTGTGGCTCCCAGGGAAGCGTCACTGATCCTAATATTGTTACTGTCGTGGTAACGTCCATGAAGCTCATGCTGGAGCTGGAGCAGCTGGGGCCTGCGGTACAGGGTGGAGAAAAGCCTGATGCCTCTGCCTTGTTACCGTGAGCCCTGCACCCCAACATCCTCTTGGCATTTGGGTGTTTGAGAGGAGCAGGGAAGAGGGTCTCTGTGAGAAGAGCAGGGAGATAAGAGGAGGCGGGGAAGGGAGTGCTCAAGTAAGAAGATGAGAGCTGGGGACGGAATAGATGTGCCAAGTATTCACCCAAACCAGAGGGCAGTAGGACATTCCGGAGCCACCTTCTTGCTCTTTGGAGATGCATTTTGCATGTCGTGCCTTTCTTGGAAAAATCAAGTTGTCATGGAGTCCCCAATCCTCCTGGTGCAGGACTGGCTTCACAACACCCCAGAGCGCTCACCCCGAATGCCTGCTCACTGTGTTCACACGCTCTGGAGACACACACAGCACACAGCCTGCGGCTCACCGCATTCACATGCTCTGGAGACAGCACACAGCCTGCGGCTCACCATGTTCACACACTCTGGAGACACACACAGCCTGCGGCTCACCGCGTTCACACGCTCTGGAGACAGCACACAGCCTGCGGCTCACCACGTTCACATGCTCTGGAGACAGCACACAGCCTGCAGGGTAACTCTATTAGCACCCTTTTCTCCTTGGATTTTCCTGAATTCCCTCTCCTGTGTGTCTCTTAATCCTCAGTCTTACTAAACAAAAAAGAGCAGGAAGAAATCCTAGGCACATGTGAAGGCAACTCCCCTCTTTTCCCTGGGTTTTCTGTGGCCTCTGCTGGAGCACTGGGTCAGGAGCAGTGTCTGCTTCTGTGGCTCAGCCCGACTGCACCCTGGCAAGGAGCGGGCAGGCAGAGGCCGTGCAGGTTACAGAAAGCATCCTCAGAGGCCCAGAGGGGCAGGTGTGGGAAAATCAAACTGTCTACCACATCGGTCACAGTTTATGAGGAAATTGTTCAACAACAACAGCACCTCCAGCCCAGCTTCTCTGAGAAGGAGTGGGCCATCTGAGGCTCGCGAAGCAGGTGCTGCTGTCATCCGAGCCGGACTCACCAGTGTAAGTCAGCCTGGTGCTTAAAGGAAAGGTGAAAGCCTTCGGGATCCCCTGGGACCCATTGCAAAGGGCGCACAGAATGGAATAAATAGTGAAGACCAAAATAAAAGGACCTTAAGGGATGGGGGGGACGTCAAAGTCCGCGTTGGATTGAATGTCTGAACAAAGGAGACCAAGGAGAAGCAGGAGAGTCGGAAGTCCTGGGCCCATGGGACAAGGCGGGGATGCTGGGGAGGAAGCAGCAGGGCCCATGCGTCACTGTGGGGTAGGGAGAATCACAGGCTCAGAGGATGCAGCCTCAATACCTCCTGCTGCCGAGGACCTTCTCCTGCTCCGTGCTCCCTGCAGACTGAGGACCTCCTGCTCCATGCTCCCTGCAGACTGAGGACCTCCTCCTGCTCCGTGCTCCCTGCAGACTTGGACCTCCTCCTGCTCCGTGCTCCCTGCAGACTGAGACCTCCTCCTGCTCTGTGCTCCCTGCAGACTGGGACCCCCTCCTGCTCCGCACTCCCTGCAGACTGAGGACCTCCTCCTGCTCCGTGCTCCCTGCAGACTGAGGACCTCCTCCTGCTCTGTGCTCTCTGCAGACTGAGGGGACAGTGGGGCGGTGCTCCTTCTGTGGGGCCTCAGCCGGGACGCATCAGCAAATGTGCACCCCCCTTGACAGCTGTCCATCTGCTGACGCATGTGGCAATGAAAGTGGCACCCAAAGGAACCTGAAATAAACCCAGCAACTCGTCAGAAAGAGAGCTCACCTCTCAGACACGTAGGCAGATGTCTTCATGAGGGCATGTAAGAATTAAGCCTTCAGAGTGTGACCAACCTCAGTTTGGAGGCTGCTTCTGTTGATCTCCAGTTATGTGACCTTGAGCAAAGTCTACCAGATTCAGCTTTTCCTCTAAAAAACAGGAAGAATGACGCTGCCACTCAGAGCTGCTGCAAGGACTCAGCCAGATGAAGCAGGTGAACGTTAGGCATAGTCTAATACACAACGCTTGCTCAGTGTACAGGTACCCACATTTTAGGATAACAGAGGAAAAAAGGTTCAGATAAAATTACAAAAGCAGAAACTACTTTGCCCCAAGACTGTGCCTTTGAACACTTAGCTAAAATTTGGAGGATATTTATCAAATATGTAAATGTACACAATTAACATGTTGCATATTTAATCCAGTTTCAACAAGATTGCAAGAGCTTTAAAGATTGCCAGGTCTTTATGCATGAATTTCACTTAAAGCCATTTACAGTAAGAAAATAATCAGAAGTGCACAAAATGATTTATGAGAGTGTTCATTGCAGATTGATTAATACTATGCAAAGATTAGAAACAACCTAAATATCCAACAATAAGAGTTTGGATCATTTTTATTTCCTTGGTTATACTTTTCTCTCTTTCTAAAATTCCTATTAGAAATAAAGGAAGACTATTAAAATAACTCAGAAGTCTATAAAAATGACTAAACTGTGACAAGAAGAAATGGAATATGAGTTCATACAGTCTTTTGTAGTTGGGTCCAAAAAGTTAACTCTGTTAAAAAAAAATAAGAGAAAAATACTTTAAAATATCATTTTGTGAGAGATTTTGTTTTCACTGACCTCGATAGGAGTTGTCAATGAGACATAAGTTCCCCAGGAATATTTCTTAAAGCCTATTATTTACTCTTCATTTTTGATGACCGAGGCAGTTCATAACATATCTCAAGAATCACATCATTTCTGGCGATAGAGTTGTAGGAGAAGGGTCGATAAGGAGCCTGAGGAGGTGGAGAAGCCAGGTAGGGGTCCTGGGACCTGTGCCATGGAGATAGTTGAAAGATGCCCCGGAAAAGAAGATACAGAGAGGATGGGAAAGGTGTCTTCGAGGGCTAGAAGGGCTGTCACCAGGCTTCTCCTGTCTGGCTCCAGCGGGAAGTCTCCAGAACTAAGGGTGAAAATTTGTGTGGAGGCGGAGCTTGCTGAGCATGATGCTGGCTTCCTCAGCAGGGATCACCAGGGAGGGTGGGACAGCAGGAGCCCGGAGGCCTTGGGTCCCTCTCCAGGAGGCGTGGGAGTATTTTTCAGGTTTAGCCTTCCCTAGTCCCTGTGCCGTGTCAACTAGTGTCTAGACCCTCCATCCCCTTGACCACAGCAAATGGCCAGGGTGACTGATGCTGATGTGCTTGCTCCCCAGCTTCCAGGCCCAATGGGTGGCAGCCGGGTTGGGTAGAAGAAGCTACAGGAGCAGACAGCTGCTCAGAAAAACAAAGAGGTTCTAGAACATAGACAGAAGGTCTTTATCATCCAAGATCACTCAGCACAGGGAAAAGGTCGCTCAGAAAGAATTCGGTTAAAACATAAGCCAGTATGTTTTAGTAAATAGTAAAAAAAAAGAGTCGATTGGAAATTTGTCTAGGAAAAATAGGAAGCTAAAAATATGAAAATATATTCCTTTCTTCTAGTCAACAAAACATGCTATCATTGTAATTATGTGCTAATTTTTAAAGTAATAAATGAACGAAGTGTTGACTAGCCATGTCATAATCTTCTGGATAAAGTTGTAAGGTAGCATTATATAGTATCCCATACTTCACATTTGAATTTCCTGACATCATCTAAAGAGAATCTTTTTTTTAACATACAACAAGAAAATCAAGAGTAGCATCAATTTTACCAAGAGGTTCTCTAAAACTTCTTAAATCAATCTCTTCTGAGTGCATATTTTATAACTATCTTTTAAATGTCTTCTCTCCTGTTGTTCATAAGTCAAACTCTGCCATATCTTCATTTGTGAGCTGTGTCCATTTGCTTAGAACGTGGAGAGTTCTACGTCCCTTTCACTGACTTGGAATCTGACATGTTGTGTCACGCTCTCAGCGTCTCCTTGGAACTGACTCCTGTTGCCTTTGCCCTGTGTTCTTGGGTGTTTGCAACCTCAGACCATCACTGACTCACTGGCCAGGGGAGAATTTGACCTCATGGATAGAAGAATGGAGGCTACATATTTTAAGCGTTAAGTTCATTAGTGAATGTTTTAATCCTTCGATGTTTCCTTGTTCTGTCTGTAGCCTCACGATGGAAGGAGCTCAGATGCTGAACATGGGGGAATCAGGACCATTTATTTCACCTGCAGGCGGGGCAGGCATTGGAGACTCAGAGACAGACAGGGCCTCGGGTGAAGGAAACCTGTTCTGTTGATGGAAGACAAAAGCTACCTCCAGTGGGGTTCACTCTTCCTTCTACATTTGAAACCCTTGGGACCAGAAGTGTTTCAGAATTCAGAGTGGCTGTGATTTTAGAAAGGTGATAAAGTGCACACAGTGAGGATTATGCAACAAACCCAGAGAATCTGGAGTGCCCCCGAATCAAGCACATGAATTCTTCTGCAAAGAAACCTGAATATTCACATTAAGTGGAATAAATAAAGACTAAAAATAGTTCCGTGTCAGTTCAGAAGAGGATTCACCGAATGAGTGAGAATGTTCAGTGCTTAGGGTGTCGAGGTTGGGCTTCGGGGTTCGAGGCTGTGAACTGGACTGCATGTTGCATTTGAGGACCTCGAGGTTAGAGGATCCTGTGGTCTGTTCCTATTTATGCAGCTCGTGGTGGAACTTGTGTTCCAACCCAGGTCTTCTGTCTCTGACTCCGGCGCGTTCTCTGCCACACCCAGCTCTTGGGGTCGTATTGACTAAGGTGGGTCCGTAACTGTCACTGCAGTGGGCACTCAGGGGAACCCTGGAAAGCCACAGAGAAAATCCACTAGCACAACTGCACCTTGGGGAAAGCGCTTCGTGTGTTTGCTTCAGCTATTCAAGGAGTCCTGAGCTCCTGTACGATGAAAATGTTTCTTCATCTCTGACACTTCTGTGGGGCTTCGCATACAATGCTGAGTTACATCGCGAGTTATCAACAAACATTTCTGGAATGAATGATCCACTGAGTTGGGAGAGAAAAGCCAAGGGGGGATTTTAACACAGGGGGCTTTCTAACTGGGCCTAGAAACTGGTGACTCCATGCCCCTAGGAATAAAACAAAATAGGAGAGAACTGAAATACAAGGTTACACATCAACAAGAATTCCACATTTTAAAAAGAGAGAGAGAGATGAAAGATCTACAGGGGCTGTGTGTCAGACCCTGATGTCTCACCTCTCGGAAGGGCCTTCCTGGACTTCAGGCCCCAACTGTCCTAGCAATTCCAAGAAAAGGAACTGGGAAATGAGGACCATCCATCCAGGAAGCATGTTTCTGGTCCCAGGTGGTCGGTCACTAGGCGTTCCTCCTCTGCCCTTAGAAACATGCCAGGGGCCGTATTTCTCACAGAGCTCCAGGGGCTGGGGTGGCTGAGGGCAGGAGGGTGGGGCCTTCATCTGCAGCGTTTACTGGTTTCCACACTGTAAATATTCCTGCTAGGACCCGTGTCACTTAAACTGGCTGGCCAAATTCTTGCACATTTCACGCTCAGCTCTCTCCAGTCAGCCTCACACACCACTGGGAACTCTCTAAATCTTAAGGTTTTTTGTTTGTTGGTTTTGAGGCAGAGTCTTGCTCTGTCACCCAAGCTGGAGTGCAGTGGCACGATCTTGGCTCACTGCAACCTCCGCCTCCTGAATTCAAGTGATTCTCCTGCCCCAGATCCCAAGTAGTTGGGATTACAGGCGTGTGCTACCACACCCAGCTAATTTTTGTATTTTTAGTAGAGGCACGGTTTCACCATGTTGGCCAGGCTGGTCTCGAACTCCTGGCCTCAAGAGATCCCCCGATACCTCGGCCTCACAAAGTGCTGGGATTGCAGGTGTGAGCCATAGTTAAATCTCAAGTTTAAGGAGGCATTGCCCAAACAGGGGAGCCATCCCTGAAGCATACATAGTATCTGAAGTAGCATGCATATCCTTCCCATACACAGTATCTAAAATGAATATGCTGGCTGAATTTGTGTCAGCAAAGACTCCAAATTCTGGACCTCTGGTCAATACTGAAGACATGCTCATGAAGGAAATGGGTGAACAAACACCAGCGATGGCAAGGACCATGCCAATCCCACCACACGTTTCCACAGATCTTTATTTTTTAAGGCACTTACACAGCTATTAGATCATTGGACATCCTCACATCTCTATGAAAGGGACAGAGTGATTATTATAATCATTTGCAGATAAGGACATGAGACAGAA
The DNA here is from genome assembly GCF_000001405.40 of Homo sapiens. Taxonomy (NCBI): domain Eukaryota; kingdom Metazoa; phylum Chordata; class Mammalia; order Primates; family Hominidae; genus Homo; species Homo sapiens. The sequence continues at coordinate 156,214,541 of NC_000007.14, read as the reverse complement.
AGATTAAATGACTTGTCTAAGATCACACAACACATTAGTTCCAATTAGGCACAGATTTCAGGTTTTCTATTTCCTGATCCTTTTCCTAATTCTGCCTCCCCCTACCCCCAGCTCCCAACAGGGCTAAATAAGTCATTCTTAACAGTAGTTTCACTTGAATTTTACTCAGAAAACCTCTTTTACTTCCCAGACAGAATACTTTCTGGTTGCTCTGCAAGGAGGAGAGTGTCTGTGCTGGTGATCTAAGCTGCAGATCATGCATCTAGATTTCACAGGCCATTTCAGACCCCTCCTGCAGGCCCACGAGTGGCACCCAGCAGCTGGAACGAGGTCCTCGATCAAGGTCTCTACCGATTCCTTGTAGACTCAACTTCCGGCCCTGCGGCACAATCCAAGCCCTGCAGCAGGGAGAAGGGGGGTACATCCCTCCAACCCAGGCCAAGGACCTACCCTCTCACCCACAGAAATGCACGTCAGTCCCAGCATCATTGCAGTTGGGCCTCGGGCCAGTCCCTCACGAGTTCTGCCTGTTATCCAAGGCCTCGACCCCACAAAGCTGGGCTTCAGAGGCAGCCCAGCCTCGGTGTGTTAGGCAGAAAACTGGAAATTGCGATACTTGCCTTCAGAGTAAATCTTCGGAAGTTGCAAATTATTTTTTCACTATGAAAAAGTTAACTTGTGGCCCGGCGAGGTGGCTCACACCTGTAATCCCAGCACTTTGGGAGGCCGAGGTAGGTGGATCATTTGAGGTCAGGAGTTCAAGGTCAGCCTGGCCGACCTGGAGAAACCCATCTCTACTAAAAATACAAAAATTAGCCAGGCATGGTAGTGCTTGCCTGTAATCCCAGTTACTCGGGAGGCTGAGGCAGGAGAATCACTTAAGCCTGGGAGGCAGAGGTTGTGATGAGCCGAGATCACCACTGCACTCCAGCCTTGTCGACAGAGTGAGACTCCATCAAAAAAAAAAAAAAAAAAAAAAAGAAGGAAGGAAGGAGGAGTGAGTTTGTAAACTGAAGTCTGTGCTTGGGCAAGACCTCATATGCATTGTGCCTACCTTCTGAGTCAGCAGGTGTCTCCCAGGAGCTCTGTGGGGTACATCTGACAATTCCTGTCATGGAGCTCCTAACCCAGAGACATAGAAACACTGAGAAGAGAGATGCACAATTTGGCTTTTCCTCAAGGCTATGAGTTTAGAGAAAGAAGCAAACCAAATCCAGGAGGTCTCAGAACCCCTCATGGGAGACGTGGGCTCTGGGACTTGTGTGGCAGTAGATAAACACTGGCTCTGGGCCTGTGTCAACCAGGGTTCGAATCCTAGGTCTTTTCTCATGGTTTTGGCAGATTCTCCTCTGGCAGATAACAACAGAATCCACCCCATAAGGGGTTGTAAATGTACCATCAGGTTTTGCACATTTCATTAATTCTTAAGGCAGGCATTGATAGAAAAACAGAATGCAGACTGGCAGAATGAACGGGAGAGAGCAGCGTGAATGTTGCGACGGAGATTGAAAGTGTCTAGCAGACAGATTTGCCAAAGCACTTGTGGAAAAAGAAATCAAGTTGGAAAATCAGGTGACCTGGCTGTGGAGAGGCCCTGAAGTCTGACTGGGGAGACTTCTTGCTGTAGAAAGTCAGGAGCTAGAGAAGAGTTTTTGAAGATGGGAGTAAGCATCATGAATTAGGTTACTGCAGTCTAAAAGAGTCACTGCAGGCTTTGCAATATGCTCAGGCTTTGCAGGTGTCGTTTAAGCATTTTCAGCGTGTACGCTGATTGATCACTTCTGATGGAGGCTTGTAACTCAGTTGTCTCACCTGTGCTGTCTCATGTTAATACTTGCTAAAAATTCTGTCTCCAGTGTGGCATCTTTTCTTTATAATGGGCCCCTGCCCTACCTCCATGAAAATCTGCATACCATTTGTGTGTGAATTTTCTCTCTCAACCATCAGTTACAGCCACTGCTAATTGGGGATCAGAGACCACATTCTAGCTGTTAGGAGAGCAGGTTCATAAAAAGAAGAGAGCAGGTTCAGAAGCAAACTTCCTGGGATCACATCCTTTGTCCGTCACTTGCAAACTGAGGGCTGGGCTCGGACAAGTCAGTGGCCTCTCTCAGCGTCCATTTCCTCATTTGTAAACGGGGGTCCTGACAGTGCCTTACCTGGGTTGTTGTAAGGACTGAAGCAGGTGGCACAGGTAACCCCACAGCCCCTGGCTGTCATCACCATTGTCATCAGCACCTTCAGGGTACCTTGACCAGGCGGGGCTGGGCTTCCTAAAACTGCCTACTATTCATACTGTGGCAGAAGCCTAATTCCACCAAGGCTGAAGTCGATCATTGTGTGAAGATTAGCAAATGCTGCTCTATTAATGATTTGTAACTATAATTTTCCATACACTTAGGGCTAGTGTGTACATCTAGAGTGAACCAATGAGCTGTTTTGGAGTGGTACAGATTCATACTAAAATTCAAAGATTCATAGTAAAAGTAGTAAAAGTCTGAATCTTTCTGTACCTTATTTTTTATTGTTCAATTAAATGCCATATATTCTACGTCACCTGTTAGGAAATTTTTTCCTGGAATATTGAATGTTCTTTTTGGCAGAGAATCAATGAAATGTTTGGCATCTATGAGTAAAGGGTGCATATGATGTACACCTTAGCTTCACTGCCTTTATGTATTGTGTCTGTGATCACTATTGTCTTAGCTGGGAATTACGACGCAAACATTTTAAACATTGAAGGATTACTCAGGATATCCACTGTTGTGTGTATGCATATCGTGTGTAAAGCAACAGGCCTGAAGTTTGAGCAAATGTGCAATGTTAGATCCCTAACTGTGAAAACAGCACGCAGGTGTCCAGCCCACACCGAAAACCTTGAGCCCTGATCTGCTTCCAACCAATGGGGTGGCCAGGGGAGCTGTCTGGGGACTCTGGGTGGTGCAGGTTGACAATAACTTTCATCCACCTGTAATGATCTGGTTTGGTTATTGACAATGGCCAGAACCACTGAAGAACAGCTCCTTATCTTCTTTCTTTGGTGAATATAGAGAGACCTATGCCAAAATAAAACAGTATATGACATTTTCTTTTGATACTTGAAAATAAAAATAGTTTGTGGTTCTGTTAAGATTTCTTGATCATATTGGGCAAAATACTACATTCAGTGAAGTTATTGTGTTGTGCTTGGTTCAGGCCCATGTTACCAAGAATTCAACTGTGGAGTCCAACCTTCAAATTTCTGAGAGTGTGATTTTATTTTTTGGCTTGTCTTTTGGATATTAGAGATTTTCTGATGCCGAATGCTATAAATTCAGTCTCCAGTTGAAAATTTTTCTTCTTTGTAAATATTTGGTCATTAATGAAAAGAATCTGGAGCTTTGGGGACTTTAAATAAATTTCCCTAATTTATTCAACCTAACCATAATTCCTGAGATGCTCTAGTGAGTGCTGCTCTAGTGAGTGCTGCTCTAGTGAGTGCCGGTAATTTGGCTGTGTCTTCTCCCATCTCTCTCTCTGGCACAAAGTGTACGGTAAGTCGTCACTTAACTTCCCTGGGATCCAGACGGCAGTGTTTCCCAGAGAAAGGAAGAAGTGTCGAGTCTCAATGCCCTTTGGAACATTCTGGTTATTCATGAGTTAACTGACAGGTCCCATAAATAAATTATAGGTGCGTTTTTAGAGCACTTTGCTAAGAACAAGGATGGCAGAAAGGATCACAAGGCTGTCAAGTCACATTAAAGCTCGACTACTCGCCATCTCTGTGGGGAAAACGGACAAACTATACTTTTTGTCATGTATTAAAACCTATTTTACTGATTGGCTGCTTGGAAAAGAAATTTATCCATCACTGTTTCCTTCACTCAGAAGCAGCCTTCTCCCAACGGCTTGTTCTTCCTCTACTGTGTAGGGCTTAGTCAGGGACATATTTCACAGACATAAATATCATCCATTAGGGCCTTTAAAAGTGTAGATAATATCATTTTTAATGTGGATTCCATTATGGAGAAAGCTGCCCAGGATGGGGGTTCTGTCTCAGCGCCATCTGCTCGCCTCGGCTGGATTCTCGCTGCCGCTCCTAATGTGGATGCCCCACCCCTTGGAGCCCTAACCTTCAGGTCCCTCACTGTGGGAGCTGGGGTAGGAGTTTGGGCAATTGCACAAAGGAAGTGATTTAGGACATTACAGGCCAAGAAGAGGAGGAAAAAATCAATATCCATCACCATCAGATGGAAGCTTGTCACCGTGGCTGTGAAGCAGGCCATTTTCCCTCAGCCCCCACTTCTCATTGCTGTGGGAAATAAACTCCCTTCCTGAGCCCCATGGATGCCCCCAAATATCACAGATCCACCAGGTCTACATGAACCTCCCCCATCATCTTTTCTGCCTGTGTCTGAGGCTTTTTTCACTTGGCAAATATGATAAATATTTACCAAGCACCTACTGTCTCTCCGGCATTGTTCTCCAACCCTCACTCTATCGTTAACTAAACCAAAACTTTTATCTGAGAAACTGTATTTTTTTCAGCTACCTCATACTGCATGTGTAGTCTGACATGTGATAGGGATGAATTTTTAAAACATTAAAATAAAAAAACACAAATTTTTAATGTATCCAACGTGGTCTACAATTCATTAATTCAATCTTTCATTTATTCCACAATGTTTACAGTGTCTCCACTCTTTAAAAGCTTTTCTGCAGGAAAAAGTCTCCTTCAGACATTGATGTCAGGTCTGGGGTGGATCCAGGACCCTGGGAACTGCAGGATCATTTAGACCAGAGCGCTCAATAGGGTAGGAAGGGTCTAGGTAAGAAGTGACCATGGTCAAGAATTTAGCTCCTGGAAGCACAAATCGGGAGAGCATAAAAAGGAACCTGAAAAGAGCTGATGGGTGTCAGAGTCCTAGACAAATTGGATCTAAGAAGCTCATTCACTGCATAGCCTGCGGCTGGGGAAGAGTAATGACCTGAGGCGGAAGAAGGAGGTGCAGGGATTGGGACTCCCGATCTGGGATCCTGGGTGATGCCAAACCAAGCCTGGAGTCTGGCTAAAAGTACAGAAAATTTCCCCAAAACATGGGCAAGAGGATCAGAAACCCACAAGCACTAGCAGAGTCCTGTGATGCTCCAGGAACTCGGCACAGCCAGGCTGGCGAGGGGGCTGAGCTCGCCTTCCCTTTTCTGTCTCTTTCCTCCAGCGATGTTCTCTTCCTCTTTTCCAGCCTTGGAAAACGAGAGGGTTGGTTCCAAGAAAATGGAGATAGCAATCTGCATCAGACTTTGTTTTTGCCTCTGACCTTGGCCTTTCTCCAAAGATAAGGAAGAGAAGTTTCCCAAGAGCAATTCTCACCAAACAACTGGCCAAGCTGGAGATAATCCTGTCTGGTAACTTCCAGTTCTGAGCCCCTTCCCTTTGCCACAGATGCGGAGACGTGAAAACACCCATGTCTGAAAGGGTGGATTTGAAGTCTGGGAGACCCCTGTTTATATTTTTGGGACCTGGGAAGATGTTGTTCCCACTGGGGCTCTTTTTATGGTCAACCAAAAGGAAAACCTTCACAAGCCTCAGCATGTGGCTGGATTAAAATGCTTCTCCACCGGAACCCGGTCAGGTCTTCCTGAGTGGCATAGCTTACTGGTGCTTCCTGCCACAATCAAGAATTAAGGTCACCATGAACTGTCCATATTCACCAAACTAGATCAGGGGTTAAAGATCCATTACTCAGGAAATCTCTCTCTTTCTGAAGAATCTTAAGGCCATTGCTTCTCTTCCAGAAGGTGGTACCCAGTGTCAGTTTAGGTTCTATTCTGCAAGCCACAGGAATGACTTCTAACTTATTAAAAAATTGAGAAAATCAGAAAAACCAGTGCTCGGGAAAGGGAGGGATTAGGGCAGCTCTAGGAATCTCTGCAGGGGGTCCTGTGGACTTCCCATTAGGTGCCACCATCAGATGTGTTGGCACTGACTGTCTTCTGTTTATTTGCACTCAATGTACAAGTCCCATGAGAGAATTCCACTTCTTCATTTCCTCTGGTGCTCACCCAGTGGGCCTGCCACCTGATTGGGGAGATAAGATGCTATGATCAACCCAGTGAGTTTCACATGCCTGCCCTGTGGCCAAGAGATAGGACTTGCTACCTGAATAGGGTCGGGAGGGGTTGCTAGGAAGACTAAAGACACAGCCATGGTATGGTCCACGGCTTGGCCACCTAGCACATACCACACTCTCTTCTTCGTGTTGATGTCCACGTCACCCCCACCTCCACCCGCAACGTAATGGAGTTCTGCTGCTACAACTGCAACCATGTGCTCACTTTCTCACCCATGGGAGGAAAACCCAAGGTTATATACAACCCTCTCACCCACAGTTGGTGCCATGGAGTCACAGCTCTCCAGGTGGACGATCTCGGCTGATGTGCATCCCATCGTGATCCTAGCAGGATCCTGCCTGTGGAATACATGGCATGTTTTGCCAACATCAATGCATTATATATATGTGTGTGTGTGTATATATATATATATACACACACACACGACGTATATATATATTTATATAAAATTATGTATATATATGTTTTTTTTTGAGACAGAGTCTTACTCTGTCGCCCAAGCTAGAGTGCAGTGGCACCATCTTTGTTCACTGCAGCCTCCGTCTCCCAGATTCAAGCAATTCTCTTGCCTCAGTCTCCTGAGTAGCTGGGATTACAGGCGTGCACCACCATGCCCAGCTAATTTTTGTATTTTCAGTAGAGACGGGGTTTCACTATATTGGTCAGGCTGGTCTTGAACGCCTGACCTCAAATGATCTCCCTGCCTTGGCCTCCCAAAGTGCTGGGATTACAGGTGTGAGCCACTGCACCCAGCCCAATGCACAATATATTTAAAAATGGTAAGCAGAAAGAAGAAAAGAAGTACTTTTTAAATTATATGAAACAGCCAGGAAGGTAAAGCAAAATCAGGAAGCCTAGTGATGACAGCTGGCTTAGGCTACAGCCAGTATCACGTGCTTTCGTCCTTGTCCTTGGCTCTGTCTCTTTCCTCCTCCTGTGGACTGGGCCATTTTGCTTGCCAGGGGTGGCAGCATTTATTCCTACAGGGGCTGGGTCTTGGCCGTTCTTCCTCAAGAGGGCTGTGGTGCTTTTCCACTGCTGTGATCACTGAACACGATACTCTAAGGAGAGGCCTGCAAGAGTCGCCATATTTCACCATATACTTCCCATCGATTTTGATTCAGAAGTTGTATGTCGCTTTGTTTGGTCAGGAATGAAATCACCCGGGTTAACCTTGCACCACATGACTCGTCTGGTGGCAGACCGAGGTCCCAATTCAGTGGGGAGAAAGAGTCGCATACCCTGGAAGATAATCTCTCTGTTGAACACCAAGCTGTCTGGTAATGAGAGCTCATAATTCCAGGGCCGGGGGCACAATCCTGGAAGTTTTTTCAGTACATAGCCATGAGACAACCATCGCCTCTTCCACCAACGTGACTTGTGACCAAAACAAGGCTAGAGGGGAGTAAAACCAGAACACAGGGGAGTCTTTCACTGGGGTGGCAGCCCCTCTGTTTAGTGACCTTCTGTTCCCTTTAATGGTAACCTTCAGGAAAGGAGGAATTTGATGCCAACTTCTCACCACTTGGAGGAGAAAATGGTTACCAATATGTTCCATCTCACTCAGAGCGTTTCCTCTTTAAAGCCTTCTTCAATTATGGAAGACAAAACAAAACAAAACAAAAGTACCTCTTTCTAGCTAAAGAAATTTCAAATACCATTGATCTGGCAGGAGAAGAATTTAGAGGTGGGGGTGAAGCTGGATTGTATAGGCTGCCACTGTTTTGCCTCTGTCTGACTCTGGCTGGGCCTTCTCAGCTCTGTCTGTGTTGCTGTTTTTGCTGTTGTATTATGTTAAACTGAGATCCAGGCTGCATTGTGATTAGACAATGTAGGAGCAGTGAGTGAGGTATATGTCTGAAGAGGTGAGTGGGGAAAGTATGTTTCATCCTTCCTCAAACAGTGTAGGGGACTTCTAACAAAAGAGCCCTGCTCCTGAATGTTGTCCTGCCGGTCATCACAGAAATCACAGATGTCTATGGCCATGACGATGACCATCTTTATACTCTCAGCCCAAGCCTGCATTCAAACTATTGCCTTGCACTTAGGAAGTAAATGCAGGCTGGGCGCAGTGGCTCACGCCTGTAATCTTAGCACTTTGGGAGGCCAAGTTGGGCAGATCACTTGAGGTCAGGAGTTCGAAACCAGCCTGGCCACAGAGACGAAACCCCGTCTCTACTAAAAATACAAACAAATTAGCTGGGCGTGGTGGCAGGCATTTGTAATACCAATTACTCAAGAGGCTGAGGCAGGAGAATTGCTTGAACCCAGGAGGCGGAGGTTAAAGTGAGCTGAGATCACACCACTGCACTCCAGCCTGGGCCACAGAGCCAGCCTCTGTCTCAAAATAAATAAATAAGATGCAGAGTAAAAAAAAAAAAAATCAATACTCTATATAAGGCACATTAAAATGGAGCATTGGAGGGATGAAGACTCTTCTGTTAAGGAAAAAAGTAAATTTGGAACTGAATTATTGGGACTGAACAGCTGGAATGGTCTGATCCGCCAGACAATGTCCTCCCAGATAACTCTTCTCTCTGCTCGGACAGAACTGAGTGGGCCCTCAGTACCACAGAGGACCAGGCCAGAAGGCACCTGTCGTGTTCAGGTTCCACGTGGTAGAAAGAAGCTGTCATTAACGACCTTTGGAAGTCTGTTTAAGTGGAGCTTCATTGTCCTCTGAGCTAGGACCCGAACCAAACTGGTTCCCTACTTGCTTTGATTCCCATAAGTAATTTGAGCCCTTTCTCAGAGCCCAGGAAACCACTTTTCCACTGCCTCCTTATTCCTGCTAGGATTTCTGTGGCTTTTTATTAGTTTTAATTTGTGCAGTATTCTGAAACTTTGAAGCAATTTGAAACACATTCTAGATCTGCTGGAATTGACAGAGTAGGAAAATATGAAATCAGGGATCCCCATAGGAGAAAGGGCTGGGAAGGCCAGGTGTGGTGGCTCACGCCTATAATTCCAGCATTTTGGGAGGCCGTGGGGGGCGGATTACCTGAGGTCGGGAGTTCGAGACCAGCCTGACCAACATGGGGAAACCCTGTCTCTACTAAAAATACAAAATTAGCCAGGGGTGGTGGCACATGCCTGTAATCCCAGCT